>NC_000006.12:33090303-33393333 GCF_000001405.40 Homo sapiens
AAGTTCATTCAAAATGCTGCATAGAATGTCAGACTGTTAAACAATTTTGTTAGAGTAAAATGACTGTAAACAAATGAGCTAATTATGTGAATTAAGAGGATGGAAAAGCAGAAAAACAGCAAAAAGAAAATACATGTAAATAATAAGGACAAAAGCTGAATTCAATGAAATATAAAAATAGAGAAGATAAAATCAAATTTTGAGGCAATGAAAACTTTAATGAGACCTCTGGCAAGACTCCTAAGGAAAATACAGGAGATTCAGAACGAAAAGGGTAAATGACATTTATACACATTTTAAAATGCAAAATCTTACGACCAACTCTATACATATAAATTTGAAAATTTAGATAAAACGGATACGTTTCTAGAAAGATATAAAGGTCAAAACTACAGGAAGAAATAGAAAACTAAAATAGAGTAGAGAATATCAAAGAAATTGTCATGGGAAGCAAAGAATCGCCTTCCAAAGGGCCCTGTCCTGATCTTATTGCAGATGAGGGTGTCCTCCCACATTTCCAGGAGCAGATCATGCCTCTTACACGTGTGATTCTAGAACATAGAATGGAACAGAATTTTTGAGATCATTTTATGAGGTTGGTTCATTTATATTTCCAGAGCCAGCTAAGAATAGTACAGGAGAACAGGATTGTGGACTAATTTTAGCCATGTCACTGAATCCAACAGTACATTATAAAAACAATACGTTTTGACCAATTTTAGATTTATTCTAGGAATGCAATGATTCTTCAGTGTCAGAAAATATATAATGTGGTTAACACATTAGTGGACTCCGCAAAATTCATATTAATTTAAACTGAATTCAGCTCAAGACATAGACAGAATTTAATCAATTTCATGACATGTTAAAGGTAGTGAACCAAAAATCTATAGCATATATATTTCAAAGAAATGAGGTGGATTGCCTTTGAGATTGTGCAAAAGATAGGATGTCCTTCGTTGCTGGAAATGTTTAACATAGCATTGGAAGTTCTGAACATCACTCTGCGGGCAGAAGAAAATTAAGGCTGTGTAAAATGTAGGAAGACAGATAGTGACTGCAGATGAAATAATCTAAATACTGGACAAGACTGCAGCCACTGCAGGCCCAAAGCCTGGGTTTAAATCCAAGCTTTGCACTTTGAAGCTGTGTGGTCTTCACCTCTCCCGGTGTCTGATTCCTGCTCTGTAACATGAAATAAATAAGAACCAACCTCCAGATGTAAATAAGTGAACACATGAGAAGCACTTAGAATAGTGCCTAGAACATAGTAAGCAACTCAATGAATGTCATTTCTCATTACATTTGTTAATGTTTTTATCCAGCCCAATGGCAGTAAAACATCAATGCTCAAAGAGCCCCTGGTGAAGTGTTTCTCTTTCCCACTCTTCACCCCTAACTTGTTACCTCGTCTTTTCCACTCTGTCCCTAATACACCTATAGGATGACTCATAGGAGCCCCTGGACCCGGGGATGCTGTCAGATCGCTTGGTCTTTGAGACAATGGTGCCATTAAGGACCCCCGCCAGGCCCACCAGCAGGCCGAGGGCACAGACCAGCATCTCCATGGTCTCAGGCACCTGGATTAGTTCATGGACCTCTGGGGCACCAAGGGAAGACAGAGTTATAAGGTACAGAGAGCAGGGGCTGGCCTTGGATGTGGGAGGTGTTGGGTATTCGAAACCATGAGATGGTGAAATTTGGATAAAGTGACCATAAAACATGGGATTGAGGAAGGCAGGTGCTGAGGGGCGATGGGCCCAGGAAATAAAGGTGGTGCCAAGGCCGTGAGGGCAGAGGGAGGGCGCTCCATACCCCAGTGCCTGAGGAGAGGCTGGTGCAGGCCCCAGTGCTCCCCCTGGAGGTCACAGGTGTCCTCGGCCATGGGAACGAGGGTCAGATAGTGGAACCTGTGTAATCTGAGTTTCTTGCTGGGCAGGAAGATGGTCTCTGCAATACCCTCAATGACTGGCTCCCCATTGCGCAGCCACGTGATGTTCAGCACTGGTGGGAAGAACTTGTCAACATGGCAGACGAGGGTGTTGGGCTGGCCCAGATCCACAGGCTCCTTGGGAAAGACGCTTACCTCGGTGGGGGCTCCAAAAGGGGATAGAACCCAAGGAGCCTACTGCCATTGGCTGATTCTTAAAGGTTCCACCACCCCAAGTCCTATATTCACCAGATTAGGGGCCACCTCTCCCAGGCCCATCCTCCTGCTCCCCTAGGGCTCCTGGACAGGGTCACAGCTTCTCGTGCTCCTGACCTGGCCCCCTCAGCCCAGCCTTTCTCTTGAGTAAGAAGAAAATGCCTCCTCCTCTGCTGTCCTAAGAACCCAGCTGTGTGGACCCAAGATTTCTCGCTCTCAGGGAAGGGGCTCATTCATGAGTGGGCATCATGGCCTCTAGTTCTATGTGTGGCAGAGAGGCCCTCCCATCCCTCCAGCTGGACTCTAGAGGAACAGGCAGCTATAGGCAGTGCCATTTGTGGCCCAAGTCTGTTTGGACCATTGATCCGGGTGTTCAAGTGCTTCCTTGCCATGACGATGCCAGCAATACCCCTCTGAGAGGAACAGGCAGCTATAGGCAGTGCCATTTGTGGCCCAAGTCTGTTTGGACCATTGATCCGGGTGTTCAAGTGCTTCCTTGCCATGACGATGCCAGCAATACCCCTCTGAGCACCAAAGTCAAAGGTGTGAATAAACTCTGGTAGAGGCCAGACCATCTCCTTCTCATCCAGGTTCACGTAGAACTGCTCCTCCTCATCAAATTCAAACATATACTCCCCAGAGGGTCTGTGCGTCTGCACAAACTCCGCATATGTTGACACATGGTCTGCTGCATGAAGGAGAAGATGGAGAATGGGTGAATACGTAGGATGCTACACAGAATGCAGGAAGCAAACAGGTAACAGGAAGGTTATTGGGAACATGAAGGAATAACACAGAAAATGAGAAATGCAAATGAAAGAAAAGAAAAGGAGTGAGAAGAAACAAAGACAGAAATGACCCATGGACGATATAGGTTGTTTCCCTTGTCCCTGAAGACTTAACATCCGTCTATGATAATGGTAATGCTGAATACAGTAAGATAATATTTATTGGGCACTTACTATGTGCTAAACTTACTCATTGAATCTTCACACCCCCATGTAGAAGAACTTATTTTCCATAGTAGGGAACTGACCCCAGAGGTAAAGTAACTTGTCCAAGTCACACAACTCCTGGTAGAAACAATATTGAGTAGTCCTCCTACCTCATTCCTGTAGGATCTCAGAAACCCTACAGGACAATACATTAAAAATTACTGATATAGCCATAAAGCAAGGCAGGGAAGTGGAAGGATGGAATAAATATTTCAGAGTGGAACAAAATCGTGAAGGACATGAAAATACCTCCAGAGTCTTAGTGACATTTATAGACTTCAAGTTACATTCTTACTTTTAGAAGAAAAATGATACCTTCTATAATTTTATCCACAACACTTACATTTTAGGCAGAGTAAATTTAAAAGTATTATCATTCACATAACATTCACAAAATTGTCTTGTGGAGTGTAGTTTTCAAGTGTAGTTTCACCTGGAAATACAAGTTGTTGGCATTTGAAAGACCTATGGGATAGTATCTTAGCTTTACCTGATACATAAGAAGCAGCAACTGGTTGATAACAAAAAGTGAATTATTATTACAGTGAATTACAGAGAGTTTAGGGTTCGGCCTGGAAGAGGAAGTGAAGCCAAATGACACTGCATGGTTGGTGGTCCCTAAGTGAGGATTTCCCCTCCCAGCCCAGCATGGGGAGAACCAGTCCTCTACTTAGATGCATAGTGTGACAGCAGGTTCAGTGCCGCACACGGATGGTGAGGGTCCCCCACTGAGTTTAGGGTCTAGAGGATTACTCACCTACAGAAATGAATCCCAAAGGAAAAAGAAAAATACATGGTGTATAGACTGGGCTACACAGATGTAATTGGTTCAGCTTAGGTTACTTTGTATTTATTATATTTACAAAATCTGAAAACTAAAGGTTGGCACATTTTGAAGCAAATTCCACACTTCAAATGTTAATTTTCATTCAGTTAATAAATGCTTTTTGTGAACTTTCACTCTCTAGGTAATAAGGATGAAACTCTAAAGATGGGAACTTTGTCCTTAATCTACTTGAAATTCAAGAATAAAACAGACAAAGAAAAGATGATTGCTACATGTGTGGTTTGATCACCACTGAGTATCACAAGGTATACACAAGAGCTACTCAGGAGCAAAATTAAAATACGATTTAGGAAAGGTTCCTAGGGACAGTGTTCACCTGCAGATAGCAAAACAGAGAAAGGGGAAATGGCATTTCCAGCAGGAGAAGCAGGCTCAGGAGCAGAGAGGCATGAAGTTGCAAGGAGAACTGCAGTTCTTCAGTGTGACTGAAGCCAGGGGAGATGTGGGCCAGGCAGCACTGTAACCTGCCTTGTGTGCTGATGGCAAGTGTTTGCATTTTATCCCACAGGACATAGGAAGTTGTGAAGTATCTTAAGCAGGAGAGTAACACGGTCAGATTTGTGTTTGGATGGGGCACCTGTAGGAAGGATGGGCTGGAGGAGGCGGGACTCAAGGCAAGACCAGTAGCACTTTTAAGCCCTCTGGTGGGAAGTAATGAAGGCGTAGGCCAGGGCAGGAACATGGGGTGAGGAGGACAGCAGATGGATTTGATGGCAGTAATGACATGAGAGGCCACAGGAATCACTAAATCACATGCCAGAAGTAGGGATATGAAGAAGTCGAGAATAACCACGCAACGTGGAGAATTGTGGCATCCGTGCCTGCAAAGGTGATAATTAAGTGATTGAGAGAAGGTAAAATTTTCTGTTTGAGACATACTGAATTTAAACTTCTAGGGGAAAACATACAGTTGATTTGAAGGCAGTGAAATAAATGGATGAGTGTCATGCTACATTAGGTTAGTGACATAAACTGGAAGGAGGCTCATGGTGGGTGAAGTTCTAATTTTGGGTCAGGTCACTCAAGAAAAGTACACAAAGTCAGGATAGCAGGGATCTGAGTGTGTGCTCCTGCATCCAGACAAACACAGACATGAAGAAAGAGGCTGAAAAGCAGAGGACTAGAAATTGGTAGGAAAACAGAGAGGAAGTGGGTTCATAAAAGACAAGAGACAGGAGAAAACTTCCAGGAAAGAGGAGAGGGGGCATCTCAAACACACTAATGACACACATAAGACAGAAACAGAACAGTGACCACTGGCTTGAGTTGTATAAAAGTCATTAGTTGCCACCCTGAGAGGAGCATCAGAGATGAGGGAAAGAAAAAGAGAGAGTACATTGGGTTGAGGACTGAATGAAATGGGAGAAAATCGATAATAGGCTGGGCACAGTGGCCCATACCTGTAATCTCAGTGATTTGAGAGGCCGAGACAGGAGGATCACTTGAGGCCAGGAGTTTGAAAGCAGCCTAGGAAACATAGTGAGAGTCCATCTCTAAGAAAACAATTTTGGATTCCCTGCCTTCCATGAGCAACACAGCAAACATAAGCTCTGCAGATGTGCTCAGACTTGAGCCTGACTCACTGAAGAGAGTGTGGTGCTGCCAGGCCTCAGACACCAGATTATAATCAACCTCTTCCCAGGCCCTGCACAGGAGAGGCCCACTCTGTGGGGCATACAGTGCCCAGGGGTGGTACAGGCCCTGCAGAGACCACAGACTGTTCACCTGACAAGAAATATCTTGAGGAACTCACTTCACAGATCCCTCAAGAAAGGAACCACTGCAGGAGAATACCCAGAAAATCGAAAGAATTCACAGATCCTTTTAAAGAAGGGAGGGGCCACTGCAAACTCCACCAGACAAGTGAAAAACTGTGCGTTCCCAAAGCGTGAGAGGGGAAAAACCTGCCTCCGGACCCATGTCCCCACTGGGGAACTCGAAAATCCAGATTACAGGAAAAGGATTTAACTTTACCTAGACCTGAAACAGATTTAGCATGAAATACAAAAGTACGCCGGGCGCTGCCGCTCACACCTGTAATCCCGGCACTTTGGGAGGCCGAGGCGGGCGGATTACAAGGTCAGGAGATTGAGACCATCCTGGCTAACACGATGAAACCCCGTCTCTACTAAAAATACAAAACAATTAGCCAGGCGTGGTGGCGGGCGCCTGTAGTGCCAGCTACTAGGAAGGCTGAGGCAGGAGAATGGCATAAACCCGGAAGGCGGAGCCTGCAGTGAACCGAGATCGCGCCACTGCACTCCAGCCTGGGTGACAGAGTGAGACTCCGTCGCAACAAAAAGAAAAAAAAAATATATATATATGGTAGATGCAGCAGTGAGAAGAGCCTTGTAGGCACGCCCAGTCTTTAGCTCAAGCCCAGGGAAGCCACCCCTGACTATATCTCACAAGGGCCCTGGGGGAAGGCAGACGGCAAAATTTGGAAGGGGTCACAGTGTGAAAGGAGCGTCCAACTGAAATTTGTTATAATTCTGACTGGGCACAAATCCTCTGGAGCAGAATCTGGGGGCGAACGGAACTGCTGGAGAAAGAGCAGAAGTTACTGCCAACATTGTGGGCAGACAGGGAGGCACATGGCCTGAAAGCTGTGCTTGCTTTCTCAGCAGGAAACTTATAGCCTGGAGTGAGGTCTGAGTCCATCCTGAAGGCTGCAGGGAGATAAATTCAATGCTGTTAGTGTGGCACAGCAGGAGCAAAACCTGCCTCGCCAACTGCATGGGAGCTGGGTGAAGCCTATTGCTACCAGGTTTCCCCTACTTCTCTGGTGACAGAGGCAGCCATAATGCCCTCTGGAACATAATTCCATTGGCTGGAGAAAAACCCTCCGCCCCATCCCTCACAGTGGCTGCCGCAAGCCCCCCGCCCGAGGAGAGTCTGAGCTCAGACCTGCCTAACCCTGTCCACACCTGAGGGCATTTCTCTACCCACCTGGTAGCCAATCACAAAAGACGTAAACTCTTGGGAGCTTTATGACACCACTCATTGCCTGAGAAACTGAATATTTATCTTGGCCAACTTAGGGCAAGCTTATATCCACCTTCTACTATTGTAGCTGGTGCCCTCTTGAAAGCACCACATCCTGGCTGGAGGCCAACCAACTCAGGACATTACAACAATTCACGACAGAATAACTGCTCTAAGAAAGGAGAAAACAGCTAATTCCACTGGCTGAAAAATCTTGACTAACCAGTGGTCTTCGGTCTGTTCACATGACAACTGCACTGCTAGCATAACCAGCATTTGAGAAAGCCACCACACTAAGTCTATCTACAACCAAGGATTCTCACAGAGTCTACTTCACTCCCCTACCACCTCCACACTGGACCCCAGCAATAGATCCAAACTAAGAAGAAATCTCTGAATTGCTAGATAGAGAATTCAGAAGGTTGATTTTAAGCTACTCAAAAAGATACCAGAGAAAGGTGAAAAACAACTTAAATAAATTTTTTAAAAACACAGGATATGGATTAAAAATGCCCCAGGGACGTAGATATCATAAAGAAGAAACAATCCAACTTCTGGAAATGAAAGACACACTTAGAGAAATACAAAATGCACTGGAAAGTTTCAACAATAGGATCCAACAAGTAGAAGAAAGAACTTCATAGCTCAAACAACAAGCCTTTCGAATTAACCCAGTCAGACAAAGACAAAGAAAAAAGAACTTTAATAAATAAACAAAGCCTCCAAGAAATTTGGGATTATGTTAAATGACCTAAGAATGATTGGCATTCTTGAGGAAGAACAAAAATCTAAAAGTTTGGAAAACATATTTGAGGGAATAATCAAGGAAAACTTCCCTGGCCTCGCTAGAGATCTACACAACCAAATACAAGAAGCTCAAAGACCACCTGGGAAATTTATCACAGAAAGATTATCGCCCAGGCACATAGTCATCAGGTTATCTAAAGTCAGGACAAAGGAAAGAATCTTAAGAGCTGTGAGGCAAAAGCATCAGGTAACCTATAAAGGAAAACCTATCAGATTAACAGCAGCCTATAAGCCAGAAAAGACTGGGGTCTTATCTTTAGCCTCCTCAAACAAAATAATTTCCAGGCAAGAATTTTGTATCCAGCAAAACTAAGCGTCATAAATGAAGGAGAGATAAAGTCTTTTTCAGACAAACAAATGCTGAGAGACTTCACCGCTACCAATCCAGCACTACACAAAATGCTAAAAGGAGTTCTAAGTCTTCAAACAAAACTCCAAAATACACCAAAATAGAACCTCCTTAAAGCATAAATCTCACAGGGCCTATAAAACAGTAATGCAAAGGAAAAAAATAAGGAATTCAGGCAACAACTAGCATGAGAAATAGAACAGTACTTCACATCTCAATATTAACACTCTCCACTTAAAAGATACAGAATGGCAGGAAGGATAAAAATTCAGCAACCAAGTATCTTCAGTCTTCAAGAGTCATCTAATGTGTAAGGACTCACAAAAACTTAAGGTAAAGGAGTGGAAAAAGATATTCCATACAAATGGAAAACAAAAGCAAGCAAGAGTAGCTATTCTTATATCAGTCAAAACAGATTTTAAAGCAACAACAGTTAAAAAAGACAAAGAGGGACATTATACAATGATAAAAGGATAACTCCAACAGGAAAATATCACAATCCTAAACATATATGCACCTAACATGGGAGCTTCCAAATTTATAAAACAATTATTACTAGACATGAGAAATGAGATAGACAGCAACACAATAATAGTGGGGACTTCAATACTCCACTGACAGTACTAGAAAGTCATCAAGACAGAAAGTCAACAATGAAACAATGGACTTAAGTTACACTAGAAGAAATAAACTTAACAGATATTTACAGAACATTCTACTCAACAACTGTAGAATATACATTCTTCTCATCAGCACATGAAACATCCTCCAAGATAGACCACATAATAGGCCACAAAACAAGCCTCAACAAATTTAAGGTAATCAAAATTATATCAAGTCCCCTCTCAGACCACAGTGGAATAAAATTGGAAATTAACTCCAAAAGAAACCTTCAAAACTATACAAATACATGGAAATTAAATAATTTGCTCCTGAATGATCTTTGGGTCAACAGTGAAATCAAGATGCAAAATTCTCTGAACTGAATGATAATAGTGACACAACTTGTGAAAACCACTCGGACACAGTAAAAACAGTCCTAAGAGGAAAGTTCATAGCATTAAATGCCTATATCAAAAAGTCTGAAAGAGCACAAATACAAAATGTAAAGTCACACCTCAAGGAACTAGAGAAACAAGAACAAACCAAACCCAAACCCAGCAGAAGAAAAGAAATAACAAAGAGAGCAGAAGTAAATGAAATTGAAACAAAAAAATACAAAAGATAAATGAAACATGAAGCTGATTCTTTGAAACGATACATAAAATTGATAGACCATTAGTGAGATTAACCAAGAAAAGAGAGGATCCAAATAACCTCAATTAGAAACAAAATGGAAGAAAATGCCACTGATATTACAGAAATATAAAATATCATTCAAGGCTAATATGAACACATTCACAGGCACAAACTAGAAAACCTAGAGAAGACAGATTCCTGGAAATATACAACCCTCCTAGAATAAATCAGGAAGAAATAGAAACTGTGAACAGACCAATAAAAAGCAGAAAGATTGAAATGGTAATTTTTAAAAAACTGCCAACGATAAAAAATCACAGATTCACATGGACTCACAGCTGAATTCAATCAGACATTCAAAGAAGAGAATTGGTACCAATCCTACTGAAACTATTCCAAAACAGAGAAGGAGAGAATCCTCCCTAAATTATTCTATGAAGCCAGGATCGCCCTAATACCAAAACCAGGAAAGGACATAATAAAAAAGAAAACTACAGACCAATATCTCTGATGAAAATAGATGCAAAAATCCTCAACAAAATACAAGCTAACATAATCCAACAGCATATCAAAAAGATCATACATGGTGATAAATTGGGTTTCATGCCAGGGATGCAAGGATGATTTAATACACACAAGTCAATAAATGTGATAGATCACATAAACAGATTTGAAAACAAAAATCATATGATCTCAATAGATGCAGAAAAAGCATTTGACAAAATCCATCATCGCTTTTTTATTAAAACCCTCAGCAAACTTGACATACAAAGATCATAACTTAAGGTAATAAAAACCATCTATGACAAACCCACAGCCGACCTTATACTGAACGGGGAAAAGTTCAAAGCATACCCCCTGAGAACTGGAACAAGATAAGGATGCCCACTCTCACCACTTCTATTCAACATAGTACTGGAAATCCTAGCCAGAGCAATCAGACAAATCAGTAAATAGGAAGTCAAACTGTCACTGTTCACCAATGATATGACTGTATACCTAGAAAACCATAAATACTTATCCAAAAAGCTCCTAGATCTGATAAATGAATTCAGTAAAGTTTCAGGATACAAAATCAATGTACACAAATCTGTAGCACTGCCATATACTAACAGTGACCAAGCTGAGAATTAAATCAAGAACTCAACCCCTTTTATAGTAGCTGCAAAAAAATAAAATACTTAGGAATATACCTAACCAAGGAGGTTTACTGGGGGAACCAGCCCCCAATATTTCAAAGTATGTTCTTTTCTATTTTCCCTAAGTGTGGGCCAGTCTGAGAAATAAAGAGAAAGAGTACAAAAGAGAGAAATTTACAGCTGGGTCTCCGGGGGTGATATCACATGTCAGCAGGTTCCATGATGCCCACCTGAGCCGCAAAACCAGCAAGTTTTTATTATGGATTTCAAAAGGGGTGGGGGTCTATGAATAGGGAATGGGTCACAGGGATCACATGCTTCAGAGGGCAGTAAAAGATCACAAGGCAGAGGGCAAAACTAGAATCACTGATGAGGTTCCACATCCCGCTGGGCACACATTGTCATTGATAAACATCTTAACAGGAAACAGGGTTCGAGAGCAGAGAACCAGTATGACTAGAATTTGCCAGGCTGGAATTTCCTAATCCTAGCAAGCCTGAGGGCACTGCAGGAGACCAGGGCATATTTCATCCCTTATCTTCAACCATGTAATTCAGACACTCCCAGAGTGGCCATTTTAGAGACCTCCCCCGGGAATGCATTCTTTTCCCAGGGCTATTCCTTGCTGACAAAAGAATTCAGCGATATTTCTCCTATTTGCTTTTGCAAGAAGAGAAATATGACTCTGTTCTGCCTGGCCCTGCAGGCAGTCAGACCTTATGGTTATCTCCCTTGTTCCCTGAAAATTGCTGTTATCCTGTTCTTTTCAAGGTGCCCAGTTTTCATATTGTTCAAACACACATGCTTTACAAACAATTTATGCAGTTAACGCAATCATCACAGGGTCCTGAGGTGACATACATCTTCAGCTTACAAAGATGACAGGATTAAGAGATTAAAGTAAAGACAGGCATAGGAAGTTATAAGAGTATTGATTGGGGAAGTGA
This sequence comes from Homo sapiens, assembly GCF_000001405.40. Taxonomy (NCBI): domain Eukaryota; kingdom Metazoa; phylum Chordata; class Mammalia; order Primates; family Hominidae; genus Homo; species Homo sapiens. The sequence goes on from NC_000006.12 coordinate 33,101,758, forward strand.
TAAATGTCCATGAAATCTTCACAATTTATGTTCTTCCACTGTGGCTTCAGCCGGTCCCTCCATTCAGGGTCCCTGACTTCCCGCAATAGAGGTTAAACACCTGTACGAGGAAAATTAAAAACACTGCCGAAAGAAATTATAGATGACACTAACAAGTAGAACCACGTCCCATGCTCATGGAAGGGTAGAATCAACATTGTGAAAATGACCATACTGCCAAAAGCAATCTACAAATTCAATGCAATCCCCATCAAAATGCCATCATCATTCTTTACAGAGCTAGAAAAAAACAATCCTAAAATTCATATGGAACTACAAAAGAGCCCACATAGCCAAAGTAAGATTAAGCAAAACGAATAAATCTGGAGCATCACATTACCTGACTTCAAAATATACTGCAAGGCTATAGTCACCAAAACAGCATGGGAATGGTATAAAAACAGGCACATAGACAAATTGAACAGAATAGAAGTCCCAGAAATAAAACCAAATACTTACAGCCAACTGATCAAACAAAAACATAAAGTGGGGAAAGGACAGCGTATTCAACAGATGGTACTGGGGAAATTGGCAGTCCACATGCAGAAGAATTAAACTGGATCCTCATCTCTCACCTTATACAAAAATCAACTCAAGGTAGATCAAAGACTTAAATCTAAGACCTGAAACCATAAAAATTCTAGAACATTGGAAAAACTCTTCTAGACATTGGCATAGGCAAAGAGTTCATGACCAAGAACCCAAAAGCAAATGCAAAAGAAACAAGATAAATAGATGGGACCTAATTAAACTAAAAAGTTTCTTCAAAGGAAAAGAAATAATCATCAGAGTAAACAGCCCACAGAGTGGGAGAAAATATTCGCAAGCTATACATACAAAAAAGGACTAATATCCAGAATCTACAAAAAACTCAAACAAATCAGCAAGAAATAAACAAATACTCCCATCAAAAAGTGGGCTAAGCAGAGGAACAGACAATTCTCAAAAGAAAATATACAAATGGTTGACAAACATATGAAAAAATGCTCTACATCACTAATTATCAGGGAAATGCAAATCAAAACCACTATGTGATACCAACTTACTCCTGTAACAATGGTCATAATTTAAAAATAAAAAAAAAAATAGACGTTGGGGTAGGTGTGATGAAAAGAGAACACTTCTATGCTACTGGTGGGAAATTAAACTAGTACAACCTATGGAAAACAGTACAGCGATGCCTTAAAGAACTAGAAATAGATCTACCATTTGATCCAGCAATCCCACTACTGGAGGAAAAAAGCCATTGTATGAAAAAGACACTTGCACACACATGTTTACAGCACCATGATTCACAATTGCAAAAATATGGAACCACCCCAAATGCCCATCAGTTAATGGGTGAATGAAGAAAATGTGATATATATATATGTGATATATATATATGTGATCTATATATATATAGATCTATATATATATATATATATATAGATCACATATATATATATATGATCTATATATAGATCACATATGATATATATGTGATCTATATACCTTAGAATACTACTCAGCCATAAGAAAGAATGAAATAACATTTGCAGCAACCTAGGGGGAATTAGAAACCATTATTTTAAGGGAAGTAACTCAAGAATGGAAAACCAAATATTGTATGTTCTCACTTATAAGTGGGAGCTAAGCTATGAAGACACAAAGGCATAAGAATTATATAATGGACTTTGAGGACTTCCAGGTATGAGTAGGAGCTGGGTAAGGGATAAAAGACTACACACTGGATACAGTGTACATTCCTCAGGTGATGGGTGCACCAAAACCTCAGAAATCACCACTAAAGAACTTATCCATATAACCAAACACCACCTGCTCCCCAAAAACTATTGAATTAATTTTTCAAAATGATTTTTTAAAAAACTTTTATTGGAAGGACCCTCCGGAGTTCTGAGGAGGAGGCCTGAGCATATGTGGGGAAGGCACAGATGAACACATAGGAGGGATCTCTAAGAAAACAATGGCCACCAGGTCACTGCTAGACTCACCACAGGGCCTTCTAAACCAGGGGGCCCCTCCACGAGCATACCCTGTGGAGTCAAAGGTTAAAACTCACAGGTGACAGGGCCAGCACACTAAACCCCACTTGCTTCTCCTCTTTCCACCACCTCAGCCCTGTGACCAGCATGACTTACAGGTTCCAGCACTGCAGGCTCTCTCTTCTCTCCCTTCAGCCCCCGGGGCCCATGGGCAGCCTAAGGGAGACACACATGTAACCCCAGTGGGGCCCATGAGCAGCCAGGACACCAGGCCTGCCCCCATCTCAACTCCAACCTCGATTTTGGGTCCTCTGGAGACCAGACCAGCCCTACCCACAAGCCCCACAGGCTTCCTCTAAATACTTCTGTTCACAAAACTCTCATGCCTGCCAAGGAGATCTCAGGGTTCCCTGCACCCCAGTTCTCAGTCCCACCTCAGCAAACACAACCTCTCCAAATCCTGAAGAGCCTCTTTCAGAAAGAGGACTTTGAGTCTTTCAGTCTTTCTCCAAAAAAGAAAAGGTATATGCCCTTATGCACAAAATTTTATTTAGAATTTGAAGGAGTTCAAAAATGTAAAAACCCTGCACAGGTTAAGTATCCATACTCCAAGTAAATTTGGAGAGCATTTCCCAGAGATATTCCAAACTCAGGCCTCATAACTGCCTTTTGCAAAACATACAGTTCTTGGGCTCAGTTATCCAAGCCCCAGAGCAGCCCCCTACAATGCACCCCACAGTTCCTCTCCCAGCAGGATGCTTTGCCCTTCTTCTGGCCCTCATGTACACTCCAAGCCAACCAGTTCCCTCCCTTGCACACCTCCATTCAGATGCCTGTTCCCAAATCCAGGCCATAGCCAAGATAAGGGTGGGGAGAAGGTGAAACATTCACCACCACCCCAACTCCCCAAAACAAAGATCTTCAGAATGCCCCTCTCCACCTTCATCCTGACAGCAATGATCCGTTTCAAAATTCTCCCAGATCCCACATCAACCCCAAAGACCCAGACAGCAGCATAAAGGAAAGGCAGCAGAAGCTCACGGGTGCCAAGAGCAGGAGGTGTGGGATGCAGCAGCAGGGTAGAAAAGGCAGCCATAACTGCAAGGCAGGCAGAAGATGTAGCAGAGTAGACAGGAAGCAGTCCAACTGACAGAGAATACTGGAAGATATGAGAACAACTAAGGGACACAAAATAAAATGACAAACACTTGGATGCAAGAGTGATGCCAGGGCCAAGGAAAATTAAACATGGCCAAGATGGCCACAAAACAAACTGGACAAACAGGAAGTGGCTGTACAGACAGGAAGCAGCCAAGAAAAGAGGATCTGGGAAGTGAACCTTCAACAATATGGCTACCATGACCCAGAGTGAAAAGAAAGGCACAAAACAGGTACAATGGGACTCCTGCAGAGGGAATTATGCATGCAAGGCTTAGTGGGTAGATGAGCGGGAGGTACAGAGTAGATGGAATCAGATGAGTGAATAGATAGATGGGTGGAATTGAATACATGGTTGAGTGAACGGTTGGATGTGAAGTGAGTGGGTGAGGAGATGGGTGCATGAGTGTATTGAAGGAGAGAGTGGTTGAGTTCCAGGAAGGATAATGGATAGATGGGTGGCTGAACAGATGCATGCATCCTTGTATGCATGGGTAGATGGGGTGTGTGAGTGGGTGGGTGAGTGAATAGATGGATGGATAAGTTGAAGAGGACAGATGAACAAAAGCATAGTCGAATAGATGTGTGTAAAGAAGGGGAGAGTCATTAAGCAGGGGGAGGATGGACAGGTGAGTGGATATAAGCCTTCATGCATGAGTAGATGGGTAAGTTTGTGATGCATAGGTGGGTAAATGGTTGCGGGAGTGGGTGGTGGATGTGTGCGTAGGTGGACTGGTGAATGAGTGGATGGATGGGGTGGATGAGGAGAGAGATAGGTTCAAGGGATGGATAGATGGAGAGATGAAGACTGAAGGATAGAATAAGTGGCTGTGGACAGTCCTGCCACATAAGTGGACATCTAGTTATTCTGCAGAGATCAGCAGTCCTGAAGATAGGAAATGCAAATCAAAATTCACAAGAAAAAAAATGAAGGCTTAGGAAATAGGAACATTGCATACTGGGGCCAGAAGAGGAGTGGGCACAAAATAAGGGACCAGAAGTCACTCCTTTCTCTGATTTTTGTGGTAACCTCAAAGACTTTCTTCATCTGGGATACAGGCACCAACAATTATCACCCCACAGGTGTCCAACACTGGACTAGTTCTTCAGGGGAGAGGCCGGGTGACTCACATCTTGCAGTCAACAATGAGGGTGACAGACTGGCCCTTCATGGCCATAGCCACAAGGTGCCACCTGGTCATGGAGTGAGAGGTTCAAGTGACTGACTGAAGCAGGGGCGTCAACAGGGTTGGAGATCTGTTGATGAAAGTTGAAACCAATGACGATGAGAGCAGTAATCACAATAGCTGCCATTTATCAAGTGCTTACAGTGCAACAAACACTGTGCCATCACTTTCTCACTTGTTTGTGCCAATTCTATTTACTGTCCATCCTAAGATGTAGAAACTGAGGCTCAAAAAATTTAAGTAACTTGCCCAAGGTACAGGCTAACACAACTTGCAGAGAAGGATGCACTCTAAGCCCAAACTCTGGGCTAGAAGTGACTGAACTTTGGGCAGTGCGTAGGTGTGTTGTGGCCAAAAGAAGGAACAGGGTTTCACAGTTTAGAGCGTACAGGTTCTAGGGCACTTTCTCACAAAAGTGTGGGCCAGGCAGACCAGAGGAGCAAATAGACTTACTTGCCAACTACTAGGGTGAGGCCTCAGAAGACGGGCTAAGCAGGTTGAAGTCGTCCAGTCTGATCCTCATACAGGAAGCTGACAAGTTGGCCTGGCTCCAGGCTCAACTGTTGGACACCTGGGCACTGCAGAGAATCAGGAGGGGAGCTTGGAGACCAGGACGGGTCCAGAAAACAGTCAGGAGAAAGAAATCTTTAGGAAATCCTCCTGGTACCCGAGAGAAATACACACAGAGTGAGAGGCAAAGAGAGCCACCACCCCTTTCCTCCTGGTGTCTGATTCCAGACCCCACCCCATTACCTCCCTCACCGTGTCACTACACTTAGGAAGAGGTAGAGGGTGGGTGTGCTGAGTTGGGCAGTTTATGACACTCAGTAGATAGACAGATACCCCTTGCCCTCCAGACACCATCAGGGAAGTAGGGGAAACTCAGGCCCAGGAGCAAATCCACAGGGGGTGCACCTGGGAGAGTCCATGAGGGTCAGGGGAAGGGACACGCCCTCAGGAGGGAATAAATGGGGGACTTTGTCTCAGAAGGGAGTGCAACTTGCACTTGTGGTCACAGAGGGCTGCTAAGAACTCCTCAACAGGACAGTTCAGTTATGGAAACTGGGAAGGGGTAAGACTAGGAAGAGAGGAGGCTGGAGAAGTGTGTGATGTCGCTGAACAGTGTGCAGCAGGAGGGAAGGGGTGCAGATGAGAAGAGAACTTGAAGGGTCAGCAATTCCATCAGCCTTTGGGGTAGAGAGCACATGAATTGAGAAAGAAAGCTGAGATATAGCTTGTAAAACAGCTGGAATTCAGATCTCTCCTAAGTCCTCTTCCTTTCACATATTTTGTCACCTGCCTCGAGACACACACAGTTACTGTCATCCCTGGGTTCAGTACTGTAAGCCCAGACCCATCTTCCCTGCTCCCTTTATACCTGATCCTCCTATTTCTCTGCCCTGTTTAGGTCCCAGGCAGAAGCTAGGTGGTCATCTCTGTGCCCTCTCTGGTCCTCCAGGTGAACAGAACTTAGCATTCAAGGAGTTCCCTAAAGTCAATTAATTTCACCCCCAAACCCCAGCTGACTTTGAGGGCATCCGCATGCATCATGTCGCCAACATATCCTGACAAGGGGAAGGGCCACATTTCTGAAGCCAGAGAAGAAGCTCAATTCTGGAATGATGGGGATGAAGGAGAAATAATTGCTCACATTATGTAAAACTGCTCTCTGAAAGGATTTCAAAACCAAGGTAAGATTTCTGAAATGACTTCTGTTGAACTTCTGACTCCACTCTACTTCCTCCTTCCTGGAAATCTTTACCTCCTTGGCTTATGTGCCAGTATATTCTACTAATTCTTCTGCCTCTCTGCTTCTCCATTTTCTTTGAATAGTTCTCTTTTGACATTTTGTTCATTATATATTTTCCATTAATTTAGATTTCTTAAGATATTTCATTAAAATATGATTGACTTTTATTACTGAGTTCTTTTGGTATCCTCCTAAATTTTGCACCTAAGGTAAGTGCATCCCTAGTCCCAGCCTGGCTTTCCACACTGTCTCTTAATATCTAACATTCTCTATTTATTTCATTCATTTCATGTAAATAATTGTAAATCCTTATAGATAGAATTATAAATGTGTGTAAACAATGAAAAATTGAAAACAGAGAGAATATATCCTATGTCCTACTGGATATTAACATATACTACAATGTCATAGTAAAAAAATAGTATCAAAAGCCTACTATATGTCGAACATTGTTAGATGCTAAATATTCAAATAAAAGTAAGACATAGGTCTTGTCCTCCTGATGTTTACAGTTCACAGAAGAGAACACAAGTGACAAGACAACAGCAGGCCCAGATGGATAAGTGCAGATATGGGGCAGGCACAAGATGCTGCTGTCAAGGCATCAGGGAAGGTTTCCTGGGGAACAGATGGCTTCAATGTAGGCAGTCCGAAAACAGGGCAGAAGCCACTTCTCACACAGGAGGAAGCAGGTTCAAAAGTGTGGGCCCAGTGTGGCAATGACATATCTGAAGAACTTCAGCTGCTTCAGTATGAATGGAGCCAGCTTTGGATGTGGAACAGCAGCAAGAAAAAAGGAAAAATAGACAGGCAGGGGCTGGATCATGACAGATGTTACATGCAAAGCTCAGGAGTGGCTACTCTGTCCTGGAAGTCATAAGGAATCATTGAAGGATTTTAAGCAGGAGAGTGATGGCGCATTTGCAATTTAGGAAGATCACTACGGCAACAGTGGGCAGCATGAGTGAAAGAAGTTGGTTCAAGAGGCAAGACTAATAGTGCCTGAACAAAGAGTGAGGAAATGGGCATAGGAGTAAAATGATGGAAGAAGAGGACTTAATTTGATTGACATTAAAGGGATTATTGGTGAGTGATGTCGGTGGCATCCGACTTAGAAAACTCCCAGATAACTCTTATTCCTAGACTGGCCAATGCAATCATCTCTTTTGTGTGTGTGTGTGTAAGTGTGTGTCACTTTTCTAAATTATTTTGATTGACAAAAATTATTTATATTTATCATGTATAATATGTTGTTTTGAAATGTATGTACATCATGGACCGGCTACATCAAGCTAAAGAACTTATGGCTCACCTCACATACTTATTTTTTGTGGTGAGAACACTTAAAATCCACCCTTTTAGCAATTTTCAACAATACATTGTTAGCAACTATAGTCCATGTTATACAATAAAACTCTTAAAATTATTCCTCCAATCTAAATGAAATGTATCTTTTGAAATGTATCCTAAATGAAATGAAATGGATGTATCCTTTGACCAACATCTCCCCAACCCAATGCAAACATCTTGATTCCATTCATTAAAAAGGGTAATGAGAGAAGACAGCCTGACTGAGAGAAGAGACTGAGTTCAGTGTGGGGCTATTGCACTTAGAATGTCTAAAAGTTATCTAAGGAAAAATAATATGTAAACATTTTTGTATGATGGGTGGTCTCAGTAGAGGAGTTTAAGCCAGAGAACTGAGAGTCATCAAGCATAGGTGCAGGTTAGATGAGCTTTTCCAGGAAGAGTGCCAAAAATCAGAAATGCAGGGATCTCAGGGTATGATGAGAGAACATAATAATTAAGAGGAGATTTCAAAGGATGATAAGGAGGATTCAGTAAATAGGAGAAAAATAAGGACAGAGTAGCTCATTAGAAAGAAGTGGATTATGGTGCAAATATTATCAGTAACTCAAGTCAGAGGCACTGACAAGAACCCACTGGATTTGACCTTCTACAGAGGTTTCTGATGGCCGTGATGAGAGGATCCTCAGGGGTGTACTGGAGACAAAAGTCAGAAGCTTAGCTCCAAGTGTGAGGACACAGAGAGAGTGTCTCTAGGGTAGGATGCAGACTGAAGGCAAGGTTGTTTTTTATTAGTTGGTTCATGGTTATGTTGCTTTTTTCCCCCGTAGGTTATAGTGGTACAGGTAGTATTTGGTTACATGAGTAAGTTCTTTAGTGATGATTTGTGAGATTTTGGTGCACCTATCACCTGAGCAGTATCCCTTGCCCCCTCCCACCTTTCCTCTCAGGTCCCCAAAGTCCATTGTATCATTCTTATGCCTTTTCATCCTCTTAGCTTAGCTCCCACATATCAGTGAGAATATATGTTTAGTTTTCCATTCCTGAGTTAGTTCACTTAGAATAATGGTCTCCAATCTCATCCAGGTCGCTGCAAATGCCATTAACTCATTCCTTTTTACGGCTGAGTAGTATTCCATCATATATATATCACAGTTTCTTTACCCACTCGTTGATTGATGGGCATTTGGGTTGGTTCCATGATTTGTGATTGTGAATTGTGCTGCTATAAACACGTATGTGCAAATATCTTTTTCATATAATGACTTATTTTCCTCTGGGTAGATGCCCAGTAGTGGGATTGTTGGATCAAATTATAGTTCCACTTTTAGTTCTTTAAGGAATCTCCTCACTGTTTTCCACAGTGGCTGTACTAGTTTACATTCCCACCAGCAGGGTAGAAGAGTTCCCTGATCACCACATCCACACCAATATCTACTGTTTTTTTATTTTTTTATCATGGCCATTCTTGCAGGAGTAAGGTGGTATCACATTGTGGTTTTGATTTGCATTTCCCTGATCATTAGTGATGTTGAGCATTTTCTTATGTTTCTTGGCCATTTGTATATCTTCTTTTGAGAATTGTCTATGCATGTCCTTAGCCCACTTTTTGATGGGGTTGTTTGTTTTTTCTTACTGATTTGCCTGTGTTCATTGTAGATTCTGGATATTAGTCCTTTGTCAGATGTATAGATTGTGACTACTCTGTGGGTTGTCTGTTTATTCTGCTGATGGTTCCTTTTGCCGTGCAAAAGCTCTTTAGTTTAATTAAGTCTCAACTATTTATCTTTGTTTTTATTGAATTTGCTTTTGGGTTCTTGGCCATGAAATCCCTGCCTAAGCCAATGTCTAGAAGGGTTTTTCCAATGTGATCTTCTAGAGCTTTTATAGTCTCAGGTCTCAGGTTTAAGTCCTTAATCCATCTTGAGTTGATTTTTGTATAAGGTGAGAGATGAGGACCCGGTTTCATTCTCCTACATGTGGATAGCCAATTATCCCAGCACCATTTGTTGAAAAGGGTGTCTTTCCCCACCATATGTTTTTGTTCGCTTTGTCGAAGATCAGTTGGCTGTAAGTATTTGGGTTTATCCCTGGGTTCTCTATTCTGTTCCCTTTGTCTATGTGCCTATTTTTATACCAGTACCATGCTGTCTTGGTGACTATGGCAGGGAACGTGAGCTTTTTCCCCGCAATCCTATACTGGCCCCTTCTACTGCATAATTATTTTCTTCTCTTGAATTTTACATGCTAGTCTTCTATTTACATTTTAACATTTATATAAACAAATGATGCCACTTTTACATTTTCTTTATTAGATTAGGAGGTCGTACAGGATCACATTTATAGGTCTTTAAATTAAGGAGTAATATTCTTTGAAAGTTTATGAAACTATTCAGTATAAACACCACAGAATCAGATGTTTTGGAAAATGTAGGGTCTTTTATGACATTTTTTCATTTCTTCCTCATTCACTGTATAATTTTTAGTCTCATTTTTCCAAAGCAATTACAGATCCGTTGATCTAATTTGACCTTAAGAGCCCTGCTGTAAAGGCAGGTCATATCATCCCCATACTGAAGACAAAGAACTGAAGTCCAAGACAGGCAGTGTCCTTCAAGCTGCATACTTCCATGGTAGTGTAGGTGGTGTGTCCATGCTCCCAGGTGTAAGGCCCCTAGACTGAGCCCTGCTGACCCTGATGACAGTCCTATGGAAGGAGCCAGTATCCCCCGCACATCTCAGGACTCACAGACATGTGGGAGGAAGAAAATATGAATGTGCACTAATCTGAAGCACGGCCTTGAACAAAGGCAAAACAGACTCCAGGCCTCATTTTCAGTTCTGGGATGGATACTCTAATCTCTCTAAATCATGCCACTGAATGACCTTTTACACATTGAGATAGCATTTCTTCCACACCAGGCCATGTCCTGTGGGTGTGTGAGGTGTGGCAGAATTGGGGAAATGATAATCCCTGTAGGTGGGCCAGCAGAATATCTGAGATCACCTTCAGAGCAAAGAAAACACATCATCTCCCCAAAACTCATGACTCTGACTGGTTAAAATGAGTGTCAGTGTTCTCCATCTGTCCTCGTAACAGCATCACTGGCTCTATATTGTCAGATCTTTAATACTAACTTTCTGCCCAGTGAGCAATGACTCATACAAAGCTCAGTGCCCATTGGTTCTTTTCTCAGAGTCTGTCCAATCCTAGGGTCACAGAAGACTGCTTGGGTTCATGGTCTCTAATATTTCAGACAGGAGCTCCCTTTAATGAGTTCTTGTTTTCCTGACTGCAGCTCTCTTCATTCTGCCAACCTTTTCCAACTCCATGATGATCCTGCAGGTTTCAGGGGGCCCCTGGACAGTGGCTCTGACAGCATTACTGATGGTGCTGCTCATATCTGTGGTCCAGAGCAGGGCCACTCCAGGTAAGAGCAGAGCTGCTATTCCTGGAGGGTCTGGCTCAGGGAACAATTCCTAGGGGACTTTCTCTTTATGGAACCAGACTCTGAGACAGCATGTGGGGCTCCTGCCACGGCCTAGTGTCCTTCTATCACAGCTGGAGAATCAAACTCACCTCCTATAGGATAGGTTGCTATCCACCAGGTCTATTCTCTCTCCAGGAACATGGACACAGTAAATAAGGGGAGGTGCTCAGGGGTCAAGTTGCTTGTCTATGGGGAAATGGGGCCAAGAGGTTCAGGATAACCTTGGACAGACAAGGTTTCAGAGAGAGAGGTTGGCAAGTGCAGACTCCTGGGTGTGCTCACATCTGCATCCAACCTTGAGGGGACTCAGGCAGAGAGCCCTTAGCTGGTGTGTCCAGACTACAAGTATCACTGAGGATTCAGTGCTCACAGAGAATGCCTCTCATTCTCCAGGGTGGAGCAGGAGCCAATGCTCCCTGGACAATGAAGGCAAGATGGGAGGGAGGGGGACAGGTTCGAGCCCCTAAAGGCACTCTTGTTGAAGGTATTTCTCCCAGCCTCCCCAGAACTTGGTTAGAGTATTAGGATGGGTTGAAACCTGTCAGAAGAATGAGATAAGGATGTGTGAGTACGTGAAAGAGATTGAGTGTAGGTTATCAGACAGCCAAGAAAGCAGTAACCAAGGGAAAAACCTCTGTCTCCTGCTGTCTCCTTGTGGCTGGTGTAATATTATGGCTTCTATGACCCATTGTTTTTCTCTCAGGATGTTCTTACTTTTCTGGTCCAAATTTACACCAACACCCTGAGAGGAAGGACTGCAGAGTAGGTGTCTTAGTTTTCCACTGACTTCCACCTTTCTGCATAGACCCTCCCTCTGAGACCCTTCCACATCCACCTAGGACACCCCTAGAAAGTGCTGTTCTCATGTCACCTCCTCATTTTCCAGGGTAACAGTATTCGAATCTCCTGAGGACAGCCCCTCAAACCCCAAAGCCCCTCACCTATTACCTCAGGTTCATTGTCCGGGAAAGGGTGGACAAACTGCACTTGTAGTCACAGGGGTGCTGAGAACTAACCAGCAGAATGGCTCAGCCCTGGGAACTGGAGAGGGGTGAGGTTGGGGAGAGAGGAGGCTGGAGCAGCGCTGGTGACACTGAACAGTGTCCAGCAGGAGGTCCATAGCAACAGTGTCCATAGGCAGAGTTGTTTGTAGGATGAGGGGTGGTGTTGGGAAACGCCATGGAAACCCTCAAGGTGCGGGGTAGCAGAAAGCACAGGAGGGAGCGTGATGATGGTGGGCAGTGAACAGGTGGACGGGCAAAGACTGGGTTGAGGTTGGTAGGGGAAATGAGATGAGGCAGTGGAGCCATGTGACAGGAACCGAGGGTGGGTTACCAGAGCTCCCCGTGTAGAATGAATGTCCAATCAAAACCTGCTGGAGGGAGAGCTGGAGCCATAGGGGAGTGGGTAGAGTGGGCAGGGCCAATTCCACAATTCCCTGCATGCTCTTCCAACTCCACACACATCTCCATCCTCAGAGCACAAGAGGAAAGGCACAAGGAGCCAGGCTGTGGCTTAAAGTGAGAGAGGGGAGGGTGGAGAAAAGCTTGGCTGAGACAACACCTAGGGAGCAGGAGATGACACGGCAGGTGAAAAAACCAGACTCCTGGAGGCAACACCCTTTTGTCTCTGACAAGCTTTAAAATGGGCTTTTTACAGCTGAGTTTCTTACCTCACCCCACCCACTACCCCAAGCATTAGGGCCACACTCCCGAGTCCTCCTGTCACACCAGCTGGGCACTTGCAGAAGCTCATTGTGCATTTGAGTCTTTGGGTACTCACTCTTCTGTTAATCTAACTCCTCAAATAAAATCCCTAGCACAAAAGAGAGGGGGGAAGATCCAGTCAGCAAACAGCCAACAAACACTTTTCAACCATTAAGATCTGGTGCCCATGGAAAGTCTTCTTGAGGTTTTCCAGTAGCTCATAAGCTGATCCAGTTCCTCTTTCATATGCATTTATTTAGAATTTTGCTCCTATTCAAACAGGTCACACAGTGAAAAGAGGAAGGGAACTAAGATAGATTGAGCAGTAACAGATACAATACTATGTATTTGACATATGTGAGCTCATTTGGTTCTCACAGCAGTTTTGCAAGGTAAATAGTATTATTACTATTTTGCCTTTCAAGAAATGGAGAGTTAGAAGGTTGTTTCTTGTCCAAGATAACTTAGTAATCAGTCGTAGTGCAAGAACTGGAATCCCTACCTGTGACATGTTCCTTTTCTTACCCATATGGACTCCATTATATCTTTCTGCAATTATATTTTAATATAACCTATTCTGAGTGAGAGATGAATTCACTCAGATCATTGGTTTTCAAATTGTGCTCTGGGTAACTCAATTGTCAAAGATTCCGCAAACAGGATAAAGTTTTCCATATACAAAAAAAAAATGAAGTTTCAAATTCCACCATATACTCATCACTTATATCTGCTTTGCAGGTAAAATTCCCTTTAAAAAGTTAAATGTTGCAAAAGAAAGTTTTGAAATTCTTACTCTTGACTAAAACATGTTCTCTTATTGGTGAATGAGGAAGAGGAACAAAGACTAACAAATTAAAATGAGAGGATACACACTCAGAGTGGGGCACTTGAATAGGGAGGGGCAGACTAAAGGGGCTGGGGGCGATGGGCCTGGGTGTTTAGGGGGCTGGAGCCCAAGGCACTAGGAGAAGAGGCGGGTTAAGATATCTAAAGTCCTGGGATCTTGCCTTAGAGATGACACTGGAAACTACAGGCCGAGTCTACGGTGCCGCTGTGCCCAGCCCCACCCCTTCTCTACTGTCCTCTGCCACCAGCTGTGCATCTTCTATGAGGGGTGAGGTTAATAAACGTGAGTTGCTAATTTGTAGAACATGAAACAGGTGTCCAAAACAAACCTTAATTTGCTGTGTGCAAATCACAGCACCTTAATTTCCCCACTGTGACCAGGAACAGATCAGGTCTGAAGAGGCTCAGACATGTGCTGGGTCATTGCTACTTCTGTATACACATGCACCTGCCGGACACTGCCCATGGTGCTCCCTAGGAAGAACTGCAGGTGGAAAAGGCTGCCACATTTCTTTATGTAAAAATGACACCATCAATGCCTCTAAACCTAAAGGAGTCCAGTCACTTAGCTTTCTGGTTGTTCTGGTGATTTTCATTGATTAAGATATTTTCCAGGTGTTTTGAGATCAAGTCTTTCTACAGCCATGTTTGAAAGTGAAAATTAACTTTCAGGCTATATAGTCTTTCTTATGGCAAACTTCAAGAAGTTTTAAGAAATGCATTTCTGGCCAAGTGCGGTGGCTCACGCCTGTAATCTCAGCACTTTGGGTGGCCGAGGAGGGCAGATCTCGAGGTCAGGAGTTCGAGACCAGCCTGGCCAACATGGTGAAACCCCATCTCTACTAAACATACAAAAATTATCTGGGCGTGGTGGCGCACACCTGTAATCCCAGCTACTCAGGAGGCTGAGGCAGGAAAACTGCTTGAACCCTGGAGGCGGAGGTTGCAGTGAGCTGAGATTGCACCACTGGACTCCAGCCTGGGCGACAGAGTGATACTCTGTAGAAAGAAAGGAAGAAAGGAAGGAAGGAAGGGAGGGAGGGAAGGATACTCCATTGAAAGAAGAAAGAAGGAAGGAAGGAAGGGAGGGAGGGAGGGAGGAATGCATGGAAATGCATTTCTGCATTTCCAGCATGCAGAGATGTCCAGCATGCAGAACAGCAAGAGCAACTTGAGGTATTCTCAAGAAACTGGCAGAGAAGAGAGAGAACCTAGCTGTAGAAAGGGAAAGAAGGAATGGAGGGCTTCCTGGAGGAGGTGGCATTTGAGCCAGGACTGACATCAGGATGGAAATGTCAGGCAGGGAGTTGGGTAGGGGGAGCAGCTCTGCCCTCCAGGTCCCCAACTCCTCCTATCCCTACTGTTTCTCTGCCTGAGGGACCCTCCCCCTGATGAGATTCTGCTCCTCCCTGAGACGTGAAATGTCTCCCCCTCCTCCTCCAGCCGCCAGCAGAAAGGGCTGCTTTCCCTTCAGCGTGCGCCCCTCCCTAATGATCACTCAGCCACCCTGAGCAGTGAGTCTCATTCTTTTCAGTAAATCCTCTCGCTGCGTGGTGAGAAAACTGATGCCTGGAGTCTGTGACCTGCCTAGGACCACAGAACTCGGTAGTAGGAAAAATCGTATTTTTAAATCCAGTCCTGAGTGGGAAGATTTGAGGAAATAGCTAATATTGAGGAGGGGGGTGTTGTTGGGAGTGGCACCACCCCCATCTCTCCCTGCTCTTCACAGAGAATTCCGTCTACCAGGAACGGCAGGAATGCTATGCGTTCAATGGGACTCAGCGCGTTGTGGACGGGCTCATCTACAACCGGGAGGAATACGTGCATTTTGACAGCGCAGTGGGGGAGTTCCTAGCAGTGATGGAGCTGGGGCGGCCCATAGGCGAGTACTTCAATAGCCAGAAGGACTTTATGGAACGGAAGCGAGCCGAGGTGGACAAGGTGTGCAGACACAAGTACGAGCTGATGGAGCCACTCATCCGGCAGCGCCGAGGTGAGGGCTGTGAACCAGGGCTCCTGGGGCAGCCGTGGGGGCCGGGCCCAGGGAGTAGGGGCAGCCGGGCCGGCCTAAGGGACCTTAGTGCCAGGAGGGAAGGGGACTTTGAGCTGGGGATTGATGGGAGGAGCCCAACCGGAGCTTGTCAGGAGGGTGAGCACGGAGATTGGGCTGAGCATGGAGTGAGGAGGATGGAGGGAGAGAGACCCCTGGGACTTCATCAGGCCTGGCAGCTGACTGCATGTGGGGTGAGGGGAAACGAGGCCACAGGACATCGTGCAGGGGTGCGGTGTGGAGATGAAGGTGGAGATGGCACAGCAGGCCACGCAGAGAAGAAACCTGCAGGGAGATGGCCGGGTTTGAGGTGCTTGAGGGGCCAGATGGGTGGTCTGATGGGCAGGTGAGAGAAGAGTTTGCAGCGGGGGAGGGGCCTGGCCTACATGAGACCACCCAGGGAGAGGGGACCCATCGGGAGGAGCATAGGACTGGATCCTGGGAACTGGACATTGTGATTTTGTAACGGCTCCATTGTCTGGGGTATATACCCTGGTTCTTTGTCATGGCCGAGAAAATTCACGACACAGACACACGTGAGGAGTGGGTTTGGGAGTGGAAAGTTTAATAGAAAAGAAAAGAGAGAAAAAATCCTTCCTCATGCTGAGAAAGTGGGTTGCCCAAAAGAGGGTCTGCGGTTTGTGGTGGAATGCAGTCGGTTTTGTACAGAGGTTGAGGAGGCGGTGATTGATTTACACAGCGCTCAGGGAATTGGTTTGACCAGTTGTGTCATTTACATAGCCCACGAAAAGACTGACTCTCCCACCCTAGTCTTTTATTATTCAAATACGGTCTCCAACTGGTGGTGGACAGGATACCTGTACATGTGGTTTTACCTGGAGGCTGCCATGACACCTGTAAACGTGGTGACAAGGAAAAGAGAGTGGGAACCGCCATATTGGATGTACCTGACTTCCAGGTACAGCTGCCAGCATTTACATATAAAAGCTTCTAGTTTGCATATCTATGCCTGAGTTTTCAGGCTGCTTCCTGTTAGAGAAGAAATGGTTTGGGGCTGCTTTTTATTAAAGGAAAATTCCACTGAGAATTTTTACCCTTTCTAGCTGCCTAAAAATAATTTCTTAATAACTCCTGTATTATTTCCTCCCTCAGGAGACGTAACCATAACTGCTGTTAGGGGGTGTTGGACGACGATTCTTTCTGGCTACTTCCTGCTGAAAAGGGGCGTCGTGTCGGGGGGCTGCAGTTGGGGCTCCTCCTGAGGTTGATCTAAGGCTTCTTGGAAGAATGGCATGTCCATGTGTGGCTTTGTTTGCAGCACCATTTGAAGTTTGATTGCTTCTAGGCAAAAAGAGATAAATTTTACAAGAAGGTTTAAAATATAGGGTTACCATATGAGTATTAAGATTACCACCTATAGACTGTAACTATGGCAGTAGAGTTTGATACCTGTTACACCAATGGATTGTAATACTGGTTTGTCTCCACTAGATGTCGCTGTACATTACCAGAAACGTTAATATAAAAGCATCATTTCCTTTGAGAAAACATGTTTCCCCCTTGACTTGCTATTAGGGCATAATTTTTGGTTTAGGCCATTCTTTATAACTTATGATATGATTGGGAGAAAAACGTTATTGGGTGGCTAAAATAACTTTGGTGTTAATCTTGGCAATTCCTTTCCTTTAATTATTAAATTTCTTAATTATTAAATTCTTTCATGACTTTCACAGACCCTCTTACAATGTACTCAACTTTCTGACTTGTCTTAAACAACCAGTCATTTCCTTTTAGGACAAGAATTTACTATACAAGATCCTTTCTTATATAAAATCCCTTTATTTGTAACCTTCTTTCCATAGCTTAGAGTGCACCATTTACCAATCTTCAATAAAAAAGTCCTATCAAACTTAGTGATAGTAAAATTTTCATGCTTACTTCTTGTCTGTAACTATTACTCCTGCTATAAGCAAAACAAACTTGACCAAATCCTTCCTGCAATTATTAATTCTGTCATAAAGATGATAATTAGGCAAAATATTACAGGAATTAGAATTTTACAACCAGAATTCCACATTGTGGGTGCCACAGTATACAGTTCTATTGCAAATAACAGCATGATGATAACAATTCCCACAAAAGTGACGTAGTAAATAATTTCCATTTAAAACTTTACTTGCCAAGATATAATGTTTCCCTTTGGGGATTTACAAAGTAACAAATGCAGTCCCATGTATAATTAAAATCTCTCTGCAAATATGCATTAAAAAAAAGTTCTAATACTGAGCAGTGAATTTTGAGAGGAAAGGTAGAAATGATAAAGAGTACCTGGTGAGGTAGGATTGGCGCTAAGGCGAGTAGCCCTCACTCATTTACTTACCTTTTATGATTTTCAGCTTAAGATCTTCTATATCTCCACATTGATATTCAGGATGTTCCTCTGGGCTGTCAAAGGTTGCTCCCTCAGCTTTTCAGGCTTTGACTTGAGTGTGATATATTCAGAGGTTGATACTTGTAACTTTTACTGCTGGGGGGGTTGAAAGAAGAATTGTGTAGGGCCCTTCCCAGCCTGGCTTAGGGAAGGAGAGAGAGATGAGTTTTCACCAATACCAAATTTTCTGGTGGTCCAATTTCCTGGGGTTGGCCTTTGGCTAGTTGTGTCAATTTCTGTTGGAAGTGAGCTAGAGAGGTTACATTTTTAAACAACTTAGAGGTTTTCTGCCTGAAAACAATCTCTGAGCACACTGATGATAAGTTTTATCCTTTCCTATGTGAAAAAGCTTGGTGAAGGATTTTAAGGACTTTCCATTGACTGGAGGCCAGTAAATGGAGTTTGTCATCCTCAGGGCTGGAATACCCTTAAGAAGTGGCTTATTTTATTTCTGCAGGGGAATACTGAGGTTTAATTTCTTTTATGGAGGCTTCCGAGATTAAAAGGGCTTGAAGTGTGTTAATGCCTTGAGGCTTCCCTGCCGCCTGCTTAGCTCCCTGCTCAGCTAACCTATTTCCTTTGGCTACTTCATCTGTTCCTCTTTGATGTTCCCTATAATACATTACTGCTATTTTTCGTGAAAGGAAAACTGAGGATAATAACCTGTTAATTTCCTGGTGATATTTTATAGGAGATGCTTTAGTGGTAAAAGAATGTCTTTCCTTTTAAATAGCAGCATGAGCATGGAGAACTAAGAAAGCATACTTGGAGTCAGTGGAAATGTTAGCTATCTTTCCCCTGCTTAATTTAAGTGCACTTGCAAGAACTATTAGTTCAGCTAATTGAGTGCTTGTGTCTGGGGAGAGACATTAGAGTGACTATTGCTTGTCCTGCCTTATGTATTTCTTGCTTTACCTGCTGTTTGTTAGCTAAAGTCTCCCCTAGAGGACAGTAATCCTGCTACATTATGTGGGGTGTAAACAGTTAAATTATTTCCTAGGGTTAATTTGGAGGCTTTTTTGACTAGTAGAGCCACCGTGGCAATGGCTTGGAAGCATGTGTAAACAATAGGTCCTCCTAACTGCAATTAGGAGGTTGAGAAAAATATTGGAATAGAGTTTTTCCTGAGACACCCCTTACACTCACGCTATGGGAAGAAGAGAGGCCTGGATTAAAGAGGAGAAAAGAGAGAGAGACTGGCTCGAGTGTTTAGAAGGAGGTCTAGTTTCCTTCCTTCAATTTCCAGAATCACCTGGTGGCTCCCGTGCTGTAATGGCAGTTTGAGCCACTGGAGCTGGGGTTTGAGCCCCAGGACCCATCAGTCCTGCTGGACCATCTGTGAGACTGGTTCTGACTCCAGTGACCTCCGTCTCCGGGGGCAGTTTGATTTCCAGTGGTCTCCACCACAGGCTGGATAGGGTTGAGGTGGCTTCCTCTTGCTGTTTGGGCACTCCTTTTTAAAATGCCCTGGCTTGCCACACTGATAGCAACTAGCGGATGCACCTCAGAAATCTTGGACTTTGCAAGCTTGCAAAGCTGCTACTAGAGCCTCTGTCTTTCTCCTGAGCTTTCTCTCTTTCTGGGGGGCCTCCTCCTGGTCCCTATTATAAGTGGCCACCCTCAGGAGGTTCCCCAAGGTGCTATCTGGTCCTATAGCGTGCTTCTACAGTTTCCTTCTAATATCAAGAGCTGCCTGTGTAATAAACTTGTCTTTACAATGAGCCATCCCTTGACTGAATTAGGGGCTAAGGAAGTGTGCTCTATTAGTGCCTCTCTCAGCCTTTCCATAAAAGCTGCAGGATTCCCATCTGGCTTTTGGTCTATCATAGACAGTTGAGAGGAATTAAGAGGTCAGGCCTTAGTTCTTCATAGACCCTCTAATATGCATATTTTAAAAATGCTTCCATTTCTATTCATTTGCAGAGCTACTGGGGTCCCAGTTGGGGTTGTCGAGAGGAACTGCTTCCCTTCCTACTGGGAATGGTGTTTCTGTTATTTTTTTCACTTTCCCTATCTCTTTTCTTCCCTTTTGGTGTATTATAGGAGATATGTTGCTCATCTCCAAAATTATCTGCTGCCTGCAGAGCTGCCTGCTTTTCAACTGCGGTTAGAGTTTGGTTTAGGAGCAGCATAACATCCTTCCATGTGAGGTGAAACACCTGAGTTAAATTCTGGACAGCTTCTATATACCTATTGGGGTTATCAGAAAATTAGCATAAGTCTTCCTTTGTTTGCCTAAGGTCCTGTAATGAAAAGGGAGCTTGAGGTTGAAGGGGGCCAGCCCCTCCACACCTGTGGGTATTTCTCATCAGGTGGGACGAGAGACTGAGAAAAGAAATAAGACACAGAGACAAAGTATAGAGAAAGAACAGTGGGCCCAAGGGACCAGTGCTCAGCATACAGAGGACCTGTGCCGGCTCTGGTCTCTGAGTTCCCTCAGTATTTATTGATCACTATCTCTATCATCTCAGTGAGGGGGATGTGGCAGGACTATAGGGTAATGGTGGGGAGAGGGTCAGCAGGAAAACATGTGAGCAAAGGACTCTGTGTCATAAATAAGTTTAAGGAAAGGTGCTGTGCCTGGATGTGCACATAGGCCAGATTTATGTTTGACTTTACACAAACATCTCAGTGCAGTAAACAGCAGTATTACCACCAGCATGTCTCACCTCCAGCCATAAGGCGGCTTTCTCCTATCTCAGTAAATAGAATGTATGATCGGGTTTTACACCGAGACATTCCATTCCCAGGGATGAGCAGGAGACAGATGCCTTCCTCTTATCTCAACTGCAAAGAGGCCTTCCTCTTTCACTAATCCTCCTCAGCACAGACCCTTTATGGGAATCAGCCTTGGGGACGGTCAGGTCAGGTCCCTTCCCACAAGGCCATGTCTCAGGCTGTCTCTCTCAGTGGGGGGAACCCTTGGACAATACCCAGGCTTTCTTGGGCAGAGGTCCCTGCGGCCTTCCACAGTGCATTGTGTCCCTGGGTACTCGAGACTGGAGAATGGCAATGACTTTCACCAAGCATACTGCCTACAAACACATTTTTAACAAAGCACACCCTGCACAGCCCTAAATCCATTAAACCTTGAGTCAATACAGCACAGGTTTTCTGCGAGCACAGGGTTGGGGCTAGGGTTACAGATTAACAGCATGTCAAGGCAGAAGAATTTTCCTTAGTACAGATCAAAATGGAGTTTCTTATGTCTTCCTTTTTCTACATAGACACAGCAACAGTCTGATTTCTCTTTACTTCCCCCATATTGGCAACCCTAAATAAGGGGAATTCTCAGATGGTTCCCTTGGAAATTGCCTTTCTAATTCTGGGGGATTATTTTCTATAGGCCTACCTGATATGCCTATTTAAAAAGCTGGGCTGATCTTACAGTGCTTGCAAAGGTTTAGTAAAAAAGCCATGCCCTTGTGCAAAAGAAAATGAGTCACTTTTCTCTTCAAAGTCCTGAGGTTAAAGGAGTTCCAGTGTTTCAGAGTGCACTCCAGAGGGGTGCAAGCTGAAGCTGGTCTGTCACCCATCTAGAAAAAGAAGTGAGAATAAAAGTATCCTTTCGTCCCCATTCTTTCATTGTGACCCAGGGTGGAGGAGAAGACAGTGGAAGTGTCCTCCCTACTGTTTTCTCTCCTTGGTTCCTGGGTCCTGGCAACGTGTTAAATGTACCACCCATGGTTGTAGGCGTGGTCCTCCAAGCCGTGGAACTGGATAAACTAAGTGATGGGATTAACCATACTTTACCCACACAACCTTAGCTTATCCACCTTATGTGATCCCCTTTGACGTCCTAAATTTGTGTGATCTGCCTGGCTCCCAGAAAAATGGATCTCCAGAGAGACTATGTCATCTTTGGGTAGGCTCCTTTAACGGAGGCAGTGTGCTAGATTGCCTGCCATTACGGCCCATGCTAAGACATTTACCCTTAGCAAAATGGCTCTGGTTAACTTCCGAACCTAAAATCCCCTTGCTAATTAAGTACTATCCTAATTGGAGACGGAAATGAACGTAGGAACCTAATGGCTGTTTTTCCTGCTGATGAGACAGTATCAGAACTAAAATTTCACTACAGAGGACATTTTACTCCAAACTGTTGAAGACAGTGCTTTCTCGTTCACAGAAGAGGCTTTTCTAGCGGCACGAAAGAATTTGGAAGCGGCAGTGTTACGGTAAAAAACCGACAAGGTGCCTGATGAAGAGGATTTTTATTTCCACTAGGTGGTGCTGTTGGCTTAGCACTACCATGTGCTCGCCAGAGAGGATAGAGAGTAACAGTTACTGCCTGTGGCATTTGCCGATCTTCCCTAACAGGAGTGTTTCCCTGAACTGTAAAACTTCCCGCAAATTGCACACACAGAGAGAGAGGACAGGAGACATAGTGACCACGGATACAAAGGAAAGGAAAATTTTGCAACGGGTTAGCTGGAGATCCATTACCAACACCTGGACAGGCTGTCGGAGGCTGCGTTCAGTCCAGAAGCCTTTGAATAACACCAGGGTGTGCCCTGGCCAGAAATTTTCAGTTGCCCCAAGACTTTCCCAGCCTCATGCGATGGTGAAGTTCTCCATGAAAGGAAACTGGTATGAAGAGATTCTTGAGATTAAAGAACAGATTTGACGTTTGCTCTATACTCACCACTCCGATGTTTCTATCTTCCATTCTGATTTGGATCCCGGATGAGCTCCCAAAATGAAACAGCTCCACTGTCTAGGGTATATACCCTGGTTCTTTACCATAGCCGAAAAGAATTCACAGCACGGACACACACAAGGAGTGGGTTTAGGAGCGGAAAGTTTAATAGAAAAGAGGAGTGAGAGGAAAAGCTTCCTAATGCTGATAAGGCAGGTCACCCAAGAGAGGGTCTCCTGTTTCTGGTGGAAAGCAATTGGTTTTGTACAGAGGCTTGAGGAGGCAGTGATTGATTTACATAGGGCTCAGGGGATTGGTTTGACCAGGTGTGTCATTTACATAACCTGCAAAAAGACTGGCCTTCCCACCCTAGTATTTTATTATACAAATGCGGCCTCCACCTGGTGGCGGCCATGATACCTGTACACGTGCTTTAACCTGGAGGCTGCCTTGACACCTGTAAACGTAGAAGGGAAAGAGGGTGAGAATAGCCATATTGAATTACCTGACTTCCAGGAACAGCTGCCAGCATTTACATAAAAGCTTCTAGTTTGCATATCTATGCCTGAGTTTTCAGGCTGCTTTCTGTTAGAGAAAAAATGGCTTGGGGCTGCTTTTTATTAAAGGAAAATTCCACCCAGAACTTTTACCCTTTTTAGCTGCCTAAAAATAATCTCTTAATAACTCGTGTATTAATTTGGCCAAGAGAGAAATCCCGTGAAGGAGACCAAAAAGCACCAGTGAGCCTCTCACTAAACAAGGACCTTTGTCCTAGAGAAAGAGGAAAGAATGAAGGGGGAGGAGGAGGAGGCTCAGGAGGTCACACCATTGATCCCTCTGTTCCTGGGAAAGTGAAAGGAAGGTCATCTGATAAGAGGGAGAAGATGCACACATTGAGTAAGGATGAGGAGAGTGACATGGGTTTAGGAAAGTTGCTGGCGTAATTGGTTGAGAGAGGTGTCCAAATAAAAGTAATACAATTTGCAAAATCTGTCACTAAGACTTCATAGAGGCCCAAATCAGCGACATGGCAGCATTTTCTTTCATGGTAATCAGCTGCCAGATTGCAGAGACCCCCTGATGCCAGACTAAGGAGTGTGGATTTCTCCTCTAGGCCAGCAGGTCCCCAACCTCACTGCTCAGAAGACTCTCCTTGAGATCCTCTGTGAAGCAAAGATTCCCCCAGACTCACTGCCTAGAGATTCAGATTCCCTAGGTGGGGAGGTCTGGAGATCTGTGTTTTTAATCAGCTCCCAAGTGATTCCCATGTAACCAGATAAGTGTCAGAACACTGAAGATTTTTGAAAATCTTCAGAAATCTTAAAATGACAAGGCTGGAGGCCGGGCGCGGTGGCTCACGCCTGTAATCCCAGCACTTTGGGAGGCCGAGGCGGGTGGATCATGAGGTCAGGAGATCGAGACCATCCTGGCTAACAAGGTGAAACCCCGTCTCTACTAAAAATACAAAAAATTAGCCGGGCGCGGTGGCGGGCGCCTGTAGTCCCAGCTACTCGGGAGGCTGAGGCAGGAGAATGGCGTGAGCCCGGGAGGCGGAGCTTGCAGTGAGCCGAGATTGCGCCACTGCAGTCCGCAGTCCGGCCTGGGCGACAGAGCGAGACTCCGTCTCAAAAAAAAAAAAAAAAAAAAAAAAAAAAAATGACAAGGCTGGAAATCTGTTTTCAGAAGACTGTGAAGTCAGTTGGAGAGAGCAGGAACCAGAGGCAGGGAGATGAGATAAGAAACTGCTATTATTGTCCAGGGAAATCATAATAAGGGCATGAATTAGAATAAAGAAAAACACAGGGGTAGGGGAGACGGAGGAAAGAGGAGGATAGAAGTTCTGGCCATTCCAGTGTGGATGCCCACCCAAATCTAGAATTAACTGAGCAAAGGCAACTAGAACAAACAGGAATCCTTGCCTTGGTGAAATATATTTGAACTGGGTCAGAAATGAGGCCACTGGGTATCAAGCCTTAGCTGCAGCGCCCCCTGGAGGTCTCTGATGTGCTCCAGGCTGACCAGCTCCCGTCAAAGAAGATGGAGCAAAGTGCTTCTCATGGAATGTTCTGGGACCTTAAAACAGACAACCATATATCCCATGACTTTCATGCTTCCCAGGACACCTATGGGGAAGAAGTTCCACTTAATCTACAGTTGGGATTCAGACATGGGCTGACCAGTCTGATGGATGTTGAGTTTATGGAGGTGGTTGAAGTAGAACGAGAGCCAAGTGCCTCTGAAATAAAATCACATCGAGGGAAGAGGCTGTGAATGTGAATAATCCTGGACACAAGGCAAAAATGCCATAGGGAGTAAGGGTTGGGGGTTAGTTAAAGACTGTTCATTTACCTGGCCCAGGCCCATGTCAGTGTATTTGTGTTCTCAAGAACAGAGTAAATAAGGACCTAGAAGCTCTGATTTGGAACATTCCTGTAATTGAGCTGTTCTCTAGGGGCAGTTGGCCCTTTTCTGCCTTCTGTGGAGGAAAAGGGTACTAGTGGCTGAGGTCCAAAGGAAAAGCTGCAGGTGGTAGCGTGGAAATTGATCTGTAAGCGGCAGAAAAAGAGGGGGCAAAAATAGAGAGGTGCCAAGGCACAGCCAACACCTGGTTATCTGAGAACCTCAATGGATGTGACAACACAGTGCAGAGGAGGAACTTAGGGAAAAGGATGGGATTTCTACTATTTAAGCATGTAGGGGCTCAGGATATTATGTAAATAGGACGATTTTGAGTGTTTGTAGGCGAGGCCAAAAAATCCATAGGTTACTTGCAGAATAAGTCACGTCAAGCTCACTTTATTTTCTTGATATATTTATGAAATATAGTTATTGGATTAATAGACCATGAGAATGTTGTTTATATATATATTAATTTCAAGAAATCATTTGAGCAAATTTTTCATCTTTTGCATCAGGATAGAGCACTCAAAAGATAAGGTAGTGTCGCTGCTGATTAAATATTCTTTGTCCAAAGGCTGTTAATCAGTGGCTGATAGATAAGATTTCTTTTAAATGTGCTACAAACTGGTAAGTTTGTGTGCCTCCTATTCTTCTCAATACTATTTCTATAGTTTCAATACTCCCCTTATCTGCTGACCTAATCACATCATTCCTACTTTTTTTTTTTTTTTTTTTTTTTTTTTTGAGATGGAGTTTCACTCTTGTTGTCCAGGCTGGAGTGCAATGGTGGGATCTTAGCTCATGCAACCTCTGCCTCCGGGGTTCAAGCGATTCTCCTGCCTCAGCCTCCTGAGTAGCTGGGATTACAGGCATGCACCACCACACCCAGCTAATTTTGTATTTTTAGTAGAGACAGGGTTTCTCCATGTTAGTCAGGCTGGTCTCGAACCACCTGCCTCAGCCTCCCAAAGTGCTGGGATTACAGGTGTAAGCCACTGCGCCTGGCCATCATTCCTATTTTCAACATCTAGAAATCAATTCCATAATGAGCATGTCTAAGAAATAATAATCTCAAATGCTATTCCACTTTTCCACTTCGCCACTCCTAGTCCAGCCTAGGGTGAACATCTCCCCTCCAAGAAGGAGCCCCAGCAGCACCACGACCTGCTTGTCTACCACGTGACAGATTTCTACCCAGACAGCATTCAAGTCCGATGCTTCCTGAATGGACAGGAGGAAACAGCTGGGGTCGTGTCCACCAACCTGATCCGTAATGGAGACTGGACCTTCCAGATCCTGGAGATGCTGGAAATGACCCCCCAGCAGGGAAACATCTACACCTGCCAAGTGGAGCACCCCAGCCTGGACAGTCCTGTCACCGTGGAGTGGAGTGAGGGTCTGATGACCCTCTAGACTCCACCTCTGAAGAGCAGGGGACTCTCTGGCTCTGGGGTCCACTCATCTGGTTTTATGTGTCTATACCCTGGGACCATGTCCGACCCCATTTTTCTTCTATAGAAGACACTGAGTGTAGTTTTAACCTGGGGACAATGGAGACTTGCCTGCCCCCGGCCTAGGAGGTCCTAAGGATTCATAGTTCCTCTCCTTGTCCAAGAATCTAGGGATGCAGACACCTTCCTGAACTGACGTTACACATGGGAACTGTTGTCTTCCTTCAGCCTTTTAGCTTATTCTAAGTTATTTTGAGAGGCAACTAATTGAATCTGAATTTGTCTGTTGTTGAGGTCACACCCTCTGTTCTAGAATTGAGAGAGTGACTGTTTCTCAGTTTCCTGTCATGCAAGGTGTATTCCCCTCGCTCTCCTCGTGCCAATATTCTGCATCAGGCTGCAGGATCTCAGACAGGACATGAGCAGGGGTGCAGCTGCTGGAGGTGACTCTGAACCTGAGCCTGTTCTTCCTAGAGGCACAGTCTGATTCTGTGCAGAGCAAGATGCTGACAGGAGCCAGGGGCTTCATGCTGGGGCTCATCATCTGTGGAGTGGACATCTTCACGCACAGAAGGAGGAAGAAAGGTGAGAAATCCTGTGAGGTGACCGATACCCACCTTTCTCCTGACTTGCTCACCCTTCTTCCATGATGAGGGGCTGAGACAAAAAAGCAATGCCAGAGAGCTTGCTGAAATCACATAGTCAGGAAACAAAGACAGCTTCTAAGGAGAGAGGAATCCCAGCCTGGCATCTTAATGCAGCCAGATGCATGAGGTCCCAGTTACTCAGGCTCCTGCAGAGCGTCCATTGAGTGATGGACAATGGAAGTATGATGGAAACGTTTCTCTAATTGTCTGAGGTGGTTTCAGTAGCTGAATACATTCTCTTTCTTCCTTTCATTTCAGTTCAACAAGGATCTGCATAAACAGGCAATATTCCTGCTTTGATTTCCTTGTTGGGGGAGTTACAGGAGGACATAAGTCCTTTCTGTACATTGTGACACTGAGGCTCCTCTAGGAAGAGAGTCTCAGGCCTGAACCCCTGTTTCAACCTCAGCCCTGGGGTGAGTGGGGAAAGAGCATTGCATGGCTCCATTGCTAAAGGAAGCTCAGATCAACTCTATTCTTTATCAGCCTGAGATTCAGCCTCTCACCGTTATTTTTCTCTCCTGGGACTTAAAGGAAGGGGGCCAGCAACCTGGGATTACTGTTTTTTACCTCCACAGGGTTGCTGACCTTGCCTAAAAGACTAATGTACCTTGGAACAAGCATTTTCTGTTTCTTTAGTCCCAGTACCTGCTTCGAGGACAGACCCCCAGCCTCCCAAGAGGATGCTGCTGCTGAGTAGTTGCACTGAAGCCAGTTTCTATCATTCTGTTCCTGGATTCAATGCATGATTTCTCTCATGGGGCCTCCAACCAAGTTCCTTTCTCCTTAGTGCCATGAGTAATCAAAACCCAACATGATTGTTTTCTGTTAAGAATATACACCAAGTCATGTCTCATCACTTTTTTTTCTTGAGGGTTTTAGCAAACAGTAAGAGTTAATAAAGAAGTTCATTGTGGTTTAGACATAAGAAAGAAGAAAACCATGAAAATCCATCCAAACTATTGTATAAGGTGGCCTGTTGGACATAGACCTCTCCTGGATTTACTATATTTCAGTGAGCTGCCCCATCCTCATGTTTGGTGTCTTCATCCATTTAGGTCTGAAACCACTATTCTTAGCTATTCAGTGGTGAACAGACTGCAAATCTGTGTTATAGGGCCCATATTAACATAGCACTGATTCAACATATAACTTACTAAGAGCATGTTTTAGCATTACTGTTAAGAAATTAAATAAGCATCAGAATTTAAAACGATAAATATAATCTAACACACTTTCAACACTTTCTTTGCATGCCATCACAAATACTCCTTAACCAAATGTTGCTTGGCCTTTTGAATGCATCAAGTAGACGACATTTATCCTCTAAGTCTGCATTCATTCACCAGCCTAGACCTCCTGAGCTAATAATTCATACAGTGAGAAACGCCTCCCCATTGTTGAAAGTGCAAAGCAATAGGTGTGGCACTCTTTCAAACACTGATCTTTTTTTTACAATCCAAAATTTTTATGTGTTTTGCATTTCATATTAAGTTACTGTAAATCAAGGTAGAAGACATGTTTGGTCTAAGCTTTCCTTTTCGTGTAGAGGATGGATTCTTAACTCCTGATACACATAATGAGCACTCAGTGGCTCTCTGATACATCCAGTTGTTGGCTTCCTTCTCCCTGACTTCTCACAAGCAGCTTCTGGGCCTTGTGTGCCCCTGGGCGCCTATCCCTGGTCAGTTTACCAGAGCTACCCGTGTTCCTCTCACTATCCAATCAGAGTCATCTCCTTCCATTTTTGTCCCCTGGACGCATGCTGTAGGTGTCAGCCGTACCCAGAGTGGAGTGAACAATCTGCAGACTAACTCTTGCAGGATGCAAAACTGAGGTATCTGCACCCATAATGCACCTGTATCCTACAATTACAAGTCCAGGATATGCATTCCTAGGAAACTGAGAATATAAGGAGTCACAGAAAGGCATCAGATGTGTCTAGCTCTGACATACACAGGTATTTATTGAACTCTGGGATTTCTCAGGAAAAATGCAGTGCAGAGAAAGGTCCCTGATGAGACCACAGCATACAGACCATCCAGTGTGGGCACCACCTTGTCACTACACTTTAAATTCTTCATATTGATTGAGTGCTATCTAAATGTCAGACCCTTTGCTGAGTGCTAGGTGCAGGAGGATCATAGGCAGCCAGGAGGTAGAGGGGTCTTGGGGTACATAAGTCATTGTGGTTGAAGAGCAGAGATTCAAAAGAAAGTTAGGCCTGGAGATTTAAAGGAGACCGAAGCTGGTGACTTCCTTATGTCAACTTCTGACTGAGAAAGTTTGACAC
The DNA here is from genome assembly GCF_000001405.40 of Homo sapiens. NCBI lineage: Eukaryota > Metazoa > Chordata > Mammalia > Primates > Hominidae > Homo > Homo sapiens. Next base: position 33,131,100 of record NC_000006.12, read on the forward strand.
CTGGAGTAGAATAAACACACTGGGGTTAGGACTGCCAGCTTAGTGTTTTGTCCCCCATCCCTTTCCATCCCTGGTCCCTTCATTTTCTGCCCCTCACAGTGTGAATAAACTCTCACAGATGCCAGACCATCTCCTTCTTGTCCAGGTGCACAAATAACTGCTCATCTTCATCAGATTCAAACATATACTCCCCAGAGGGTCTGTGTGTCTGCACAAACTCTGCATACGTTGACACATGGTCTGCTGCTTGAAGGGGAAGAAGACTGCAGAATGAGGAACACATAGGAAAGTACACAGAATACAAGAAGCAAGCAGGTAATGGGAAAGTTTTTAAGAATGCAAGGGAATAACACAGAAAATGAGAAATGCAAAAATGAATGAAAAGAAAAGGAATGGGGATAAACAATGATAGAAATGACTCATAGAAGATTTCAGTTGTTTCCCTGGTCTCTGAAGACTTACACAACCCTCACATCATTCCAATAATGATAACACTGAACACAATCAGAAAATATTCACTGAACATGTACCATGTGCTCAACTTATTCATTGAATCCTCACACTTCCACGTAGAAGTGTTCAAAGAAGGCCAGGCGCGGTGGCTCACGCCTGTAATCAGCCGGGCATGGTGGCAGGTGCCTGTAGTCCCAGCTACTCAGGAGGCTGAGGCAGGAGAATGGCGTGAACCCGGGAGGTGGAACTTGCAGTGAGCTGAGATCGCGCCACTGCACTCCAGTCTGGGAGATAGAGCGAGACTCCTTCCCCAAAAAAAAAAAGTGTTCAAAGAAAAACTTCTGGCCAGGCACGGTGGCTCATGCCTGTAATCCCAGCACTTTGGGAGGCCGAGGCAGGTGGTTCACTTGAGGTCAGGAATTCAAGATCAGCCTGGCCAACATGGTGAAACCCCTTTGTCTCTACTAAACCTCTTTGTCTCTACTAAAGATACAAAAATTAGCCAGGCATGCTGTCTGTAGTCCCAGCTACTTGGGAGGCTGAGTCAGGAGACTCACTTGAACCGGGAGGAGGAGGTTACAGTGGGCTGAGATTGCGCCACTGCACTCCAGACTGGGTGACGGAGTGAGACTCTGTCTCGAAAAAAAAAAACAGAAAAAAGAAAAAAAGAAAAACTTCAGCTGAATTCAATATAAAAGAGTCAAATTGAGCAATGAACGATTCGTGAATCAGGCAGCCTCCCGAGGCAGAGTAGGCTCAGAGACTCCATTGCAGGCATGTGGTGGAAGATTTATGGACAGAAAAAGGAAAGTGACATACAGAAAACAGAAGTGAGGTACAGAAACACCCAATTGGTTACAGCTGGGTGTATCCTTATTTGAACACAGTTTGAACAGTTGGCTACATATGATTGGCCGAAACTTGGTGATTGACACAAGTGTAGGCTGTTTACACCTCCACTTGTTATAGTTCACGATGTACAGAGAAACCTTTAGGCCAAACTTAAAATATGTAAGGAGGCAGCTTTAGGCTAAACTTGATTTAACAATTTTCCTCTTTTGGTAATCTTCTCAATTTTTAGAGATTTACCAAAACTTTAGTCATCGATGCCACTATCACCATTGTAAATGTACTTATTTGGTCTTGAAACCCCCTGGGAAATAGCAGAACAATGAGTTTTGTAAGGGGGAACAAGGATTTCAGGTTATTTTATTTTATTTTAATTTTATTTTTGTAAGGGTTACCTCCTTTTGTTGGAACGTTCTGTTTATAGGAGAAAAAAACAAAACCTGGTCTGTTTTAGGATCTATGTGTTTCCTTAAAGTCTTAGTTTAATCATGTCACATTTAGCACAAGTGACTCCATTTTGGTTTGGTCTGGTCTGTTGGGGCTTAGTGCATTTAGCCTTTCATTAAAGTCCAAAACAATGGCCTCCCATGATTTTGTTTAAAAATGTCCCCTTTTTGGTCAGGTTCTCACTTAGGTGAGAATGTGACCAAAGCTTAGGGCCTTAGCGCCACTCTCAGTTACCATCATTTTGGGTTTCCAGTCTCAACACATCATTCATAGGTTAAAATGCCATCATGGTCACACATTTCTTTCAATCTTGTCATTCTAGTTGAAGAGAGACAATTTGACATTCTAGAGATGGCTGCATGCAAACATTTAAAACTTTCGAGAGAATACAGTGCACCAGGTAGACTACTATTATGACTATCAGGAGGATAATACCAAGAGTTTGGAGTATGCTCCTTACACAGGGTCCCCATAAACCAAACCACCCAAAATTAAATAGATCAAAGAATGAGCTAAATAAAGAGTTTACTCATTTAAGCAGTCTCTTCATTAATTACCTACAACTGAATCTCTGTACACCTGACGTGATGTATTTCTCCATAGGCCACAAGTGCCAGCAGCTGCACAGATACTTCTCTGTTTAGCCAGTAAGTAATCTACAGCAATCCTACTATTAAGCATAACTTTCACAAAAGAATGTAAAATCTGTTGTGTAACCATCGCCCTTACAGTAGACTCTGTTTAGAGCCTATCATGAGGGATACATTTCTAATCATTGCCTGTTTTACTCCAAATCATGGTAAAAAGGACCTAAGGAAAAATGCCCTTCTAGAAGACTGAAGGCCTCCTGGCAATGTTCTCTTTAACCCATGATGTGGAATAGGGGAGTGAATCAATGTTCTGTTTCTGACTGATTATGAGGCAACCTATGTACCATTAAAATTTCTCACCTACACTGGGCCTTCATCTTTCATCTATCAAGGTGTGAGGTTATCCATGTATAAGGCTGGCTGCAAAACCCTTCACCAATAAAAGTATACCTACCCCATAAGTGCACACAACAGACCCCCTTTTCACTTCTACTGTTCATAGAGGCATCAGCAAGGGAAAAAATACTCAGAGATAAGAGCCTCCATATAGCAGAGAAGTCTTGATCTGTGATCTTGGTGAAAGCTGTTCACATCAAGGATACCATCTTCTTCTGGGAAGAAACTTCCCTGGTTAGCTTTACCTTACGGGTTCCAATGGGTGTATATTTCCAAGAATGTGGAGGGATCCTTCTCAGTTGTGAGATCATGAAGCCAAAGTTCACGGTTCTGATGTTTACTGCAGTGTGGATGGCAAGGGCAGTCTTTCTCTGATGTTCTCAGAAGATCCAATCTTCAGGTTCTAGATTGTGAAGGGGTTGATTGTCCTCAGTCAGTGAACCATAAAAAGCTTTCTTTACCTGGTGAAAATACACTGTGAAATAATAATCTACTGTTATAACATCAGTTCACTTGTATAGGAAAGCTTTTACACAACCAGAAAACATGCATTGAAAATGACAATTGACTGAAATCTCTTCATAAATGTTTAAATGGCTCATGAGGTAGCAGAATGTACCTGAAGCTTTGATTGTCTTCCCAGGAATATGGGTTTGGCAAACCAAACATTGGTCATAAACTATTTTAGCAATTTAGAAGTCACCACACCAATATGCATTTAACTTGGATCATTTTATCTTTTCCATGATGAGTCATGGAATGCAGAACTTTAAATTATAAAAGCTTTAAAAGCTCAGGAAGGATAAGGCAGCCACCTTGGTTCTCCATGAGTCCATGCTTGACACGGTTGTTTCTCCAATTGAGGTGCATAGCACTGATAACTGATGGGTTATCATAGGTAATTTGAGTTAGACCACAGAGTTTCTTCAAATTGTGTATCTAAACAATTTCAGTATTGGGTGATTTAGCATGAAAGACTTGCAAAGTATTTTCTTGGTATTCAATTAATTTGTGTTCTACTTGGGATGGCAGTTTTATAAACCAGTCAGTCTTTTAAGCTCCAGGAAGCAGGAGAATGGCGTGAACCTGGGAGGCGGAGCTTGCAGTGAGCCAAGATCGTGCCACTGCACTCCAGCCTGGGTGACAGAGTGAGACTCCGTCTCAAAAAAAAAAAAAAAGCTCCAGGAATTCTTACCCAGTAAAAATGATATGATTCTAAAGTTATCAGAAACCTGTAATCAAGAATACTTTTTGGGGTCCTTTCCATCCTTTCAGGAACCTCCTAAAAGACACCATATTCTAGAATTGTGCCTACTTGTGAAGTTTTCAGAAATTGCACCAGCATTAAGCAATTAACTGTGGAAATGACCTTCCTTCCTTCCCTCCTTCCTTCCTTCCTTCCTTCCACTCTCTCTCTCTCTTTCTTTCTTTCCTTTATTTTGAGACAGAGTATCACTCTGTCACCCATGTTGGAGTGCAGTGGTGCAATCTCGGCTCACTGCAACTCCGCCTTCCAGGCTCAAGCAATTCTCATGCCTCAGACTCTCCAGTAGCTGGAACTGCAGGTGTGCAGCACTGCACCAGGCTAATTTTTGTATTTTTAGTAGAGACTGGGTTTCACCCTGTTGGCCATCCCCAAAAGGATATTTAGCCTTAGATTTTGAGAGGGATCTATCTGCTTTTGATTCCTGGTGTTTCAGGAGGAAAACCGAGTTATATCCCAAAGCAGGATCGTAGTGCCTCCTCTGTTTTTCCCAAGGAGTCCCAGGCTGTTAGAAGTTACCTTAGGTCCTCTCATGTGTGCAACAAAAGTGGCAAGAAGACAAAATGGAGAAAAACAATTCAGTTGGCTAAAAAGAAAAAAATAATTAAAAAAAAACAAAGATCCAAGAAGAGAAAAAACCAAAAGGCCCTTTAAACATACCTATAGCTTGGATATCCACTTTTAATTAAGCTGACTTTTAACTATAGCGCTCTTTCTAAAAAAAAAAAAAAATTATTTGATTGTTTTTAGAGACGGAGTCTTGCTCTCTTGCCCAGGCTGGAGTTCAGTGGTTCAATCTCAGCTCACTGCAACCTCCGCCTCCCAGGTTAAAGCGATTATCCTGCCTCAGCCTCCTGAATAGGTGGGACTACCAGTGCGAGCCACCACATCCAGCTAATTTTTGTATTTTTAGTAGAGACAGGGTTTCTCCATGTTGGTCAGGCTGGTCTCAAACTCCTGACTTCAGGTGATCCATCCTCCTTGGCCTCCCAAAGCGCTGGGATTGCAGGCATGGACCACTGCGCCCAGCCTAAAATAATCATTTTAAATCTCTTATTACTTGACTTTAGCCAGGCCAAACAGCCAATATGTCTGGCTTTTGAACTTTACCAAAGGTAATCTCCCAGGTGAAACCAATAAGCTTTAACAAGGTTATGACTTAACCACAAGTGTACGAAGTATTTTCAAAAAGGTAGCAAGCAATTTTTACAAACTCTAGAATTTCCAAACGTAGCTCAGAGAAAGGAAAATTCAAGACGAGAGTCAGAAGTTGTTCATGAGGGGAAGAGAATCAGCAAATAGCAAAGATCAGAAAGATATCAAACCAAACAGGTCTCATTCCCTGAGCTGGAATTGAACCCTGCCTGGCTGCCATCATAAGATGGCAAAGCTTAGCCACTAAGCTACACCGTTGGTGGTTTCCATTGTTCCTCCCAGAAGGAGGAGCCTAAGAGCAGCCAATTTTCAGCTTGCAAAGGCTTTTAACTGCTCAAGATAATTTTTAGAGCTAACTATGACATGAACTCCAAAATTCCTGTCCTCCAGAGGGTGGAGACCAAAAGAAAGTACCATCATGTGATTATAAGGTCAAGCTCCCAATGACATAAAACAAGATGACAGGGAAACCTTATCCAGTGTTTTTTTGTTTCAGGGACCCGCAGTTTGTAACTGACCAGTTTGCCAGGCTGGCTTGAACAGCAGACTTCTGGGAGTCCTAGGCCCACATTTTATCCTATTTAACCCCTTTTATGACCAAATGACACAGAAAGACCAATTCATAGCACAAAGTACACCAGGTTTGCTACAGCTTAAGATTGGCTCACAAATACCTTTTTTTTTTTTTTTTTTTTTTTGAGACGGAGTCTCGCTGTCGCCCAGGCTGGAGTACAGTGGCGCGATCTCGGCTCACTGCAAGTTCCACCTCCCGGGTTCACGCCATTCTCCTGCCTCAGCCTCCCGAGTAGCTGGGACTACAGGCGCCCGCCACCTCGCCCGGCTAATTTTTTGTATTTTTAGTAGAGACTGGGTTTCACTGTGTTAGCCAGGTTGGTCTTGATCTCCTGACCTCGTGATCCACCCGCCTCGGCCACCCAAAGTGCTGGGATTACAGGCGTGAGCCACCGCACCCAGCCTCACAAATCCTTTTTATCATTAATTAAAACTTTGCAGAGGAGACAGTGATTTTTACTACTCCTACAACCGTTTCCACACAGAGAGAGGCCAGAAGCCTGACTGCTAAGAAATTCTTACCCTTTTGCCAGCATGCCAGGCTTCTGGGTTCCCTCTTTCTGAGTGGCCCTAGCGACCCTGTTAGCTGCACATAGCCTGGGGGCCAAGCCACAACACAAAGGAAAATCATCTTTTCTGATTTCAGGGAACCATAGGCAAAAGCCTCTCAATTTTGTAAGATGCTGCCCAAGAGATTGCATGAGGGAACTGAATTAACATTTTCCCTTCCAGCCACAGCAAAATACATGTGACAAAACATAGACATTAGCCACTCTGCTTAGTGCCCAATATTGAACTGGTAAGGCTTAAACTTGCCCCTGGTGGGGCTCTGCTATCTTTAATCTATTCAAAGTGGGGTGGAATGGCCTCCAGCCAGAAGTTTCAACATGTGATCTCTAGACAAGATATAATAGAAAGCTGGAAAAAGGAGGCCGGGCGTGGTGGCTCACGCCTGTAATCCCAGCACTTTGGGAGGCCGAGGTGGGCAGATCACGAGGTCAGGAGATCGAGACCATTCTGGCTAAGACGGTGAAACTCCGTCTCTACTAAAAATACAAAAAAAAAAAAAATTAGCCAGGCGTGGTGGCGGGCGCCTGTGGTCCCAGCTACTCCGGAGGCTGAGGCAGGAGAATGGCATGACCCTCGGAGGCAGAGCTTGCAGTGAGCCGAGATCGCACCACTGCACTCCAGGCTGGGTGACATAGCAAGACTCCGTTTCAAAAAAAAAAAAAAAAGAAAGATAGAAAAAGGAAAGAAGAGAAAGAGAGAAAGAAAAGCATTGTCTGCAGCAGGGTGGGGAAGGCAAAGAGTTCAGGGAGGACAGAGAAGGACCCACCTATTGCAGTGACACTAAATTAAAAGTTCAGGGCCAGGTGCGGTGGCTCATGCCTTTAATCACAGCACTTTGGGAGGCCAAGGTGGGCGGATCACCTGAAGTCAGGAGTTCGAGACCAGCCTGACCAACATGGTGAAACCCTGTCTCTACTAAACACAAAAAATTAGCCAGGCATGGTGGTGGGCGCCCGTAATCCCAGCTACTCGGGAGGCTGAAGCAGAAGAATCACTTGAACCCAGGAGGCGGAGGTTGCAGTGAGCTGAGATTGTGCCACCGCACTCCAGCCTGGGAGACAGAGTGAGACTCCGTTTCAAAAAAAAAAAAAGTTCAGGCAGCTGCTTGTCAGTCATGAAGGATCTTTTCCAGCCATCTCATCAGCTCTCAAGTTTCCTGCTTTGGGGAGAAAAAAGTTCCCCATGTCCCATGATCCTGTACATGCCTAATCCTGTCACACACAGCCATCAGCAAAAAGCGCAAGGCAGATTTAATTTTTTAAATCAATTAGTTGTTTAAGCTTTTTAATTCTTTTTTGTAAAGTCTTTAAATGCAAATATTGAAATTTTTTAGAAGCTTCTGCATATCAATAGGCATCCCTACATGAGACTGTACATGAGACTAATTTGGGAGCCCTCATTTTCAAATGCACTTCAGTGCAGTGTTGTTCTTTTGGAATGTTCTACTGCAAGTTATCTTTAGTAAAAAAAAAAAAAAAAATTTTATTTGAGACACAGTCTCTGTCACCCAGGCTGGAGTGCAGTATTATGATCTCAGCTCATGGCAGCCTCCACCTCCTGGGTTCAAGTGATTCTTGTGCCTCAGCCTCCCGAGTAGCTGGAATTACAGGCACATGCCACCATGCCTGGCTAATTTTTTTTTTTAATTTTTAGTACAGACAGGGTTTCACAGTGTTGGCCAGCCTGGTCTCAAACTCCTAGCCTCAAGCAATCTACCCACCTTGGCCTCCCAAAGTGCTGGGATTACAGGTGTGAGCCACCACGCCTGGACAATTTCTGTAAGGCGTTGCTCCTTCCAGGGCCTAATACTTATGCATGTATAATCCAGAAGGAACTCAGTTCTTCAGAAATTCAGTATCACATTTTTTACCTCAAATACTGGCTTTGCTCTCAGGTCCCTTGTTCAACTTAGCCAATGATTTTTTTTCCTACCTAAGTGCACAAGAAAAATAAAGGAGTAGAACATAAAAATCTCTGTGAATTTCCAAAAGCCAAATTTTACACCTTTGCAATATTGCCATTTAATACTGGTTTCTTTCTGATCCAGTTAGATGTAAGAGGTCTCTAACCGGATCCAAGCCAGTTAATTACTGGAGCCAATCCGATCCTGGACTCAGTTCAATTTCTTTCGCGACTTTCAAACCCAATCAGGATCAGAAATTTACTCAAAGAAACTCAGAGAGCTCAACACACAAATCTGTGGAGCTTCGGAATCTGCAAGAGAACTTACCACGATCCCCAGCTGCTCCGAGAGAGAAAGAGACACAATGGGCCTGGAGGGTACCTCGCTAGGTCACTCAGCACTTCTGGGGGTCATTAGAAGCTCTACTTCCAACCCCACTTCTGACACCACCTGATAAAAGAAAAACTTCAGCCGAATAAATTTTAAATGAGGTTAATTGCGCAATAAACAATTCACAAATCGGGCAGCCTCCCAAGCCAGAGTATGCTCAAAGTCTCCAGCACAGCTGCGTGGTGGAAGAAAGTTTATGGACAGAAAAAGAAAAGTAACATACAGAAAACAGAAGTGAGGTACAGAAACAGCCAGATTGGTTACAGCTCAATGTTTGCCTAACTTGAACACAGTTCAAACAGTTAGCTACATATGATTGGCCAAAACTCAGTGATTGGCACAAGTGTAGGCTATGGTCTGTTTACACCTCCACTTGTTATAGTTCATGATGTACAGAGAAACCTTTAGGCCAAACTTAAAATATGTAAGGAGGCAACTTTAGGCTAAACTTGATTTAACAGAGGAAATTATTTTACATATTGGGGAACTGACCACAGAAGTAAAGTAACTCACCCAAGTCACACAACTCCTGGTAGAAACAAAATTGCGTAGTCCCCCTACCCCATTCCCATAGGATCTCAGAACCCCTACAGGACCAGACATAAAAAATACTGATATAGCCACAGAGAAAGGCAGGGAAGTAGGGAGATGAAATAAAAATCTTTCAGGGAAAAAAATAATGAAGGACATGAAAAGACCTCCAGAGTAAGTCTTAGTGCTATTTATAGACTTCAAGTTATGTTCTTACTTTTAGAATAAAAATGGTACCTTATATAATTTTATCAAAACACTTTCATTTTAAGTCATAGTAAATTTAAAAATGTTGTCATGCACATAACATTCACAAAATGTTCTTGTTGAATGTATATTTTCAAGTGTAGTTCTACCTGGAAATAAAAGTTGTTGCATTTGAAACACCTATGGGATAGTATCTTAGCTTTACCTGATGTATAAGACGCAGCAAAAGGTTGACAACAAAAAAGTCTATTACTATTACAGTAAAAGAATAAAGATGAGAGAGCATGGAGTCCAGCCTGGAAGAGGAAGTGAGGCGAAATGACACTGCATGGTTGTTGGTCCTAAGCAAGGATTTCCCCTCCAAGCCCAACACGGGGAAAACCAGTCCTCTCCTTGGATGCGTCAAGTGACGGCAAGTTCAGTGTCACACACGGATGTTGAGGGTCCTCCACTGAGTTTATGGGCTAGAGAATTACTCACCTACAGAAACGAAGCCCAAAGAAAAAACAGATGAAAAACATGATATACAAGCTGTGCTACAGAGATGTCGTTTGTTCACCTTAGGTTACTTTGTTTTTATTATATTCACAAAGCCTAAAACTAAAGGTCCGTGCATTTTAAAGCAAATTCCACCTTCAAATGTTAATTTTCATTCTGTTAAATAAACACTCATTGTGAATTTTCACTCTTTAGGCACTAAGGATGTAACTCAGAAGACCTGGGCCTTGTCCTCAAGCTGCTTGAAATCCAAAATCCAAAGAGACAAAGAAAAGAAGATTGCTACATGTGTATTTTATTTTGTGTTTTTTAATCTTTTATTTCCATAGGTTATTTTGATCACCACTGAGTACCATAAGATATACACTGGAGCCACTCAGGAGCATAAAGAGGGCATTTTTGAAAAATGAGATTTAGGAAAGGTTCCTAGGGATAGTGTTTACCTGAGGTTAGCAAAACAGAGAAAGGGGAAATGACATGTCCAGCAGGAGAAGCAGGCTCAGGAGCAGAGAGGCATGAAGTTGCAAGGAGAACTGCAGTTCTTCAGTGTGACTGAAGCCAGGGGAGATGTGCGCCGGGCGGCACTGTAACCTGCCTTGTGTGCTGATGGCAGGTGTTTGCATTTTATCCCACAGGACATAGGAAGTTGTGAAGCATCTTAAGCAGGACAGTAACATGATGAGATTTGTGTTTGGAGGGGGCAGCAGTAGGGAGGATGGGTTGGAGGAGGCTGGTTTGAAAGCAAGACCAATAGGACTCTTCAGCCATCAGATGGGAAGTCATGAGGGTGTAGGCAGGGGCAGGAACATGGGGTGAGGCGGACAGCGGATGGGTTTGAATGGCAATAATGAAACGAAAAGCCACAGGAATCACTAAATCATGTGCCAGAAGTAGGGATATGAAGGAGTCCAGAATACCCAACGTGGAGAACTGGGGCATCAGTGACTGCAAAGGTAATGAAAAATGAAATAATCGAGAGAAGGTAAGATGTTCTGTTTGGAACATGCTTAGTTTGAATTTCTGTGGGAACAAATGGAGTTAATCTGAGGATAGTGAGCTAAATGGTTGGGTCCCAGGGTACACTAGGTTAGTGACACAGACTGGAAGGAAGCTCATTATAAGTGAAGTTCTAAATTTGGATCAGGTCACTCAAGAAAAGTACATAAAGTCAGAATAGCAAGGGTCTGAGTGTGTGCTCCTGCATCCAGACAAACACAGACATGAAAAAAGAGGCTGAAAAGGAGAAGACTAGAAAGTAGGAGGAAAACAAAGAGGAAGTGGGTTCATAAAAGACAACAGACAGGAGAAAACATCCAGGAAAGAGGAGCGGACGCATCACAAACACACTCATGACACACAAGAGATAGAGACAGAGAAGTGATCACTGGTTTGGGTTGTATAAAGGTCACCCTGAGAGCAGCATCAGAGACATGGGGAAGAAAAAGGGAGAATGCAGTGGGTTGAAGACTGAATGAAATGAGAGAGAGTCACTAACGGGCTGGGTGTGGTGCCCCACACCTGTAATCTTAGTGCTGTGAGAGGCTGAACAGGAGGATCACTTGAGGCCAGGAGTTTGAGACCAGCCTAGGAAATACAGTGAGACTCCATCTCTAAGGGGAAAAATATATATATATATATATATATATATATATAATTATCCAGGTGTAGTGACAGACACCTGTAGTCCCAGTTACCCAGGAGGCTGAGGTGTGAGGATCCCTTGAGCCTGGGAGTTCAAGGTTGCAGTGAACTGTGATCACGTGATTGCACTCCAGCCTGGGCAACAGAGCAGGACCCTGTCGAGAGAGAGAGAGGAGAGAGAGAGAGAAAAGAAGAAGAAGAAAAAGAAGAAGAAGAGGAGGAGGGGGAGGGAGAAAAGGAAGGAAGGAAGGAAGGAAAAAAACCCACATTGCAGACTCCTATTTGAGGAAGCTGACCTCTACAATCTACGAGAGAATCTCCAGAGGAGGTTGCCAAGCCCTGGCTCTTCTCTCTTCAGCGAGAGGACGTGGGGGAAAGGAGACATTTATGAATCTCTTTGAGTCTCAGTCTTTTCATTTCTAAAATTGTGTTAATAAAAGCCTTTCTGAAAATGGTGTTGTGAGGAAGGACATGAGGTTTGGCACTTAGGGGGTGTTCAGTAAATGGTGGTTATTATTGTTAGAATGAGAGAAAGCAAAAGAGAGCCTCAGGCAAAACAGTAAAGAACAGAGAAAACAGAACAGGAAAGAAAACAGCATCTGTGGGCTCCAGAAGCGCCCAGAGCCCCCACCCTCCCTCGCCCACCTGCGCACTCACCCCTGATGGCCCAGGTTCCGAGAGGCTAAGCAGGGCAGCCAGGGCCATGGCTCACAGGAGGATCCTGGCTCTGCGCTGGCTCCTTCAGTCTTTAGGGTGTATTGCAATGGCCACTGTGCGCCAGACCCCAAGGAGAAAATGAGGCGGCGCAGGGACGGAGGAGCTCCGAATCCAGCACTCCTTTCCCTACCCCTGTCCAGGGAGAAAGGCTGGAGATGAAACAGCCTGATGGGGCTCAACCAACCAGAATACATCAGAAGGGACGCCTCTGTGGCTGGGGAAGGAAGATGCTAGAGCTGCTGGGAGGAAGTGGGAGAATTGTCAGGCACCAGCATGGCCCAGGAAGCCCCTGACTACTGCAGAGTGTAGGGGTAAGTGAAGAAAACGAAAATTAGGACATCATAATCGCCTTCTTCTTAATGAGGAAATACATTACGCAAGTTGGGATTTTTTATTTGTAGTTACTTCTGTGAATGGATGATATTTCTTCACAATTTTACATTGATTCTTTGCATCATAAAGGAATTAATTTGTTACCATTTGATATTATATTGACTCTTTTATAGCTATGATAATTTTGGAGAAAATCTTTGATGTTTTCAAACATATAAGGAGAAGGAAATAATATTTAATTATTTAATTAGTAATTATTATTTTATTTCTTCTTCATATAAAAATGTGGTGAGGCTGGGCGCACAGCTGAATGAAATTTAAAAGAGTCAGCTGGGCATGGTGGCTCATGCCTGTAATCCCAGCACTTTGGGAGGCTGAGGCGGGTGGATCATCTGAGGTCAGTAGTTAGAGACCAGCCTGGCCAACATGGTGAAACCCCATCTCTACTAAAAATACAAAAATTAGCTGGGCATGGTGGCACGTGCCTGTAATCCCAGATACTCGAGGGGCTGAGGCAGGAGAATTACTTGAACCCAGGAGGTGGAGGTTGCAGTGAGCCGAGATCACACCATTGCAGTCCAGCCTGGGCAACAAGAGCAAAACTCCGTCTCAAAAAAAAAAAAAAAAAAAGAATGTGGTGATACAAAGAACCCCACTTTAAATTTTATGTTTAAGAACAATTTCTTTTTCTCCTTTATTTTCTGTGTGTGTGTGTGTGTGTGTGTGTGTGTGTGTGTGTGAGAGAGAGAGAGAGAGAGAGAAAGACAGACAGGGTCTCATTCTGTTAACCAGGCTGGAGTGCAGTAGTACGATCTCAGTTCACCATAGCCTGCACCTCCTGGGCTCAAACAATGCTGCCACTCAGCCTGCCCAGTAGCTGGCACCACAGGCACATGCCACCATGTGCCTGCATGTTAATTCATGTACTTCCTCTTTCCCAAGTTCTCTAGTTTATAGCATGTCCTTTCCTGAGGAACATAAATCACATGTTATTGTCTGCCTTTCATCCTGAGAGGAAGGAGATAATCACATGGCCATTTTATGCTTGAAGGATTTGGTGATCACTGGGTCCAATGAAGAGCCTCAGGATGAGTCAGTGTGGTTTTACCCAGGCATGGAGAAATTAACTTCTTGATGATGATCAAGTCTTCTTATTAAATAGGAGTGCAACTGATAGAGGATCTTCTTACATTTGCTTTATTTCATGGTGCTGCCCAAATTCATGCTGTACCCTCAGCAGCAAGGAGTGGGACCATTACTCCTGGCGTTCCCAGATGGAACAGACACCAAGCCTGGCTTTGCCACTGAACACAATACAGGACTGATAAAGGTCAGTTCTTAGGAATATGCTTCCCAAATGTAGAAATCAACATAAGATCCCAATTTTAAATAATAGGTATAATAGCATAATATATTATTTTATTTTATTTATTTAGAGATGGAGTCTCACTCTATCACCCAGGCTGAAATGCAATGGCATGATCTCAGCTTACTACAACCTCTGCCTCCAGGGTTCAGGCGATCCTCCCATCTCAGTCTCTAGAGTACCTGAGAGCTAATTTTTTGTTTTTGGTAGAGATGAGGTTTTACCATGTTGGCCAGGCTGGTCTTGGACTCCTGAGCTCAAGTAATCCACCCACCTCAGCCTCCCAAAATGCTGGGATTGCAGAAGTGAGCCACCATGCCCAGCCGCATAATACATTATCGTTCTCTTTATATATAATTTGTACTAAGTTATAGATACACACTTATTCCATAACTCTATGTTCACCAGATCACCTCTTGCAGGTTGTACAGTGAAAACACATCCTTAGTTTCAAAAGATGTGTGTATACCAGATTTTTCAGACATAGGCTTGGTTTTAGAATACAGTTTACTATGATTTTTGTAATTCATCTTAATTGATGTTTAATACCGAGAGAGAAGTCATATTGTCTCCAGTCATTTCATGTTATGATGTGCCACTAAGTCCAAATTTTATATAATAGTAATCAGGAGGCTGGGCACAGTGGCTCACGCCTGTAATCCCAGCACTTTGGGAGGCCAAGGCAGGCAGATCACCTGAGGTCGGGAGTTCAAGACCAGCCTGACCAATATGGTGAAATCCTGTCTCTACTAAAAATACAAAAATTAGCTGGGTGTGGTGGTGGGCGCCTGTAATCCCAACTACTTGGGAGGCTGAGGCAGGAGAATCGCTTGAACCCAGGAGGCGGAGGTTGCAGTGAGCTGAGACCACACCATTGCACTCCAGCCTGGGCAACAAGAGCAAAACTCCATCCCCCACTCCCAAAAAAAAAAAAAAAGTTATCAGGAAAACTTATAGTTGCTACAATATTATTAGATTAATACGAATTTTCAAAAATGGCAGAGCCTTAACCAAGCTTAAAGAGTTTTTCTTTCTTAACTGAACTTCTTGGATGTGACTACATGAAATTTTGATGAAATATGGTCATAAATTATGATGACAAGTTAGTTTTGGGGGATTTTATATATTACCAGATACCAATGCCAGAGGAAGAGCTATGTTAGGGGTCCTCAGAGCCACCCCAGGTGAGATGATGCCCTAGGAGGACTCACAGGGCTCATCATATGGTCCTACTCAGGGCTCTGATTCATTACAGTAAAAGGATGCAAAGCAAACTCAGCAGAGGGAAAGGCACACTGGGCAAAGCCTAAGAGAAACCAGGCTCAGGCTTCCAAGGATCCTGTCCCCCTGGAGCCACACAGGACACACTTAATTCCTCCCACAAGGAGCTGGGATGCCATGTGTAAAATATTGTCTACCAGGAAGTTCGTAACAGACCAGCACTAGGGCCTTTGGGGGCTTTGGGGGCCTTTGGGGGCCTTTGGGGGCTGAAGAAGTCAGACTTCTTCAGAGAAACAGAATTTATTGGATATATATAGGTAGATAGATGAGTGGGGATTTATGCTGGGGATTCACTCCCTCAACTATGGAGGCTGAGGAGTTCCACGTTAGGCCTTCTGCAAGCTGCTGAGACAGGGGAGCCTGTAGCATGGCTCAGTCCAAGTCTGAAGGGCTGAGAACCGGGGGAGCTGGTGGAGTAACTCTGAGTCCAAGACCAAAAACCTGGGGGGCTGCTGGTGCAAGTCCCTGAGTGTGAAGGCCAGAGAACCTGGAGATCTGATGTCCAAGGGGAGGAGAATATAGGACTCCCTACTCCAAAACAGAGAGAGAGTGAATTCACCTTTTTTCTGCCTTTTTGTTCTAGCCAGGCCTTCGGCCGACTGAATGATGCAGTGAGCTGAAATCACACCACTGCACTTCAGCCTGGGCAACAGAGTGAGACTCTGTCTCCAAAAAAAAGAAAAAGAAAGTCATATATTGGTACAGAAGATACTCTTAAATCCTACTTTTCTGGAAATATTGGTTATTATAGAAGATATAGGACTAAATTCATTTTAAAATTTTTATTTTGAAATTATTATTACAAATGTTTTATGAATCATATTAGCATATAGGCAAGTTTTGGAAAGCCAAAGTTACAAACCAGGGATTCAGATGAGTGTTCTGTGAAATTTTTAATTTTTGCAGAACACCATGAGAAATTACACATTTTCTATTCTATATTTCTTGTAGGAAATAGAGGCTGCCCATCTCTCAGTGCCACATATGAGAAAGGGAAGTTGTCATTTTATATATCCACTGTCAAGCATCTTGGTAAAACAGAAGAAAGCAGGCTGGGCCTGGTGGCTCATGCCTATAATCCCAGCACTTTGGGAGGCCAAGGAGGGCAGATAGCTTGACCAGCATGGGCAACATGGCAAAATCCTGTCTCTACAAAAAAATAAAAAAAAACAAAAAATAAATGTAGTCCCAGGTACTGAGGAAGCTGAGGCAGGAGGAACACTTGAGCCTGGGAGGTAAAGGCTTCAGTGAGCCGTGATAATGCCACTGCACTCCAGCCTAGACAACAGAGTGAGACCCTGTCTCAAGAAAAAGAAAAACAAGAGGGAGGCAATCTACTTTATACCCAGAGAATTTTACATGCAAGGAATTTGACTATGAATAAGCCTCCATTGCTTAAGAGAGACTTCACTATTTGGGATTTTAAGAAAGAAATACACAAACAAGCAAATCTCATCAGCAGAGGACTGAGAAACCAGTGTTTATAATACCCAGTGATTAATGTAATATTGTCTTCAGTCATCATTAAAAGGGACTTAGTTTAAAAGTCATTTCGATTGATCGCCAACTCAGAGTCCTCAACATTTCACCTTTTGCTTTATGAAAAGAACTAGTAGATTAATTTAGAGTTTGACAAGGAGAAGCAGGTCTCCCTTGATTTTCTGTTTGGCCAAGAATTTATCCTAACATGGTACCATCAGAATACTGTCAGAAAGCTGTGAGTCAACTCAGATTTCTCACCATTGAGTCAAGCCGTGAAGCCAGCTGTCTTGGGGGTAAGGATTTCCATACAGAAACACTGTAAGTAAATAATTTAGCACTTGTTTCCTATTCCTTTTTATTGGATAACTACAGAGAATTAAAACTGTGGGTTGTTTTGAATTCACAAAAGAAATGTTTTAAAGCTTTCGAGGAAAAAGCCAGATTATCCATTGCAAAGCATCGAAATTCAAAATCATGTTAAGGCTATAGAGAAATAGGATCCTATCCCCACCTAGTGGCCAACACTGAAATCTGGGCTTAGAACAGGAAACAAGGGAATTTGTCAACAATTTGGGAATACTCCAGCATTCTTTACAAAAAAAAGTTAGAGAAAAAGTTAAGCACACAAAAAACACAAGTCAAAATAAATACGACCAAATACATAGGTTTTGGCAGCACATAGATTTCTGTGGTTTTGCTATGCTTTTAGCAGCGGCTGTAAAAAGCATTGCACACTAAGCATTGCTAGATTGCCAAACAAACCTAATTACATTTTTTGTTTGGTTTTTTGTTTTTTTCAAAACCTCCTAACCTCTGTGACCTAATTATGTTTTTAATGAGTTGATTGTAAAAACTAACATCAGCGAATACAAAATTTCAGTTAGACAGGAGGAATAAATTCAAGATATGTACTGTACAACATGGTGACTCTAGTTAATAACAATGTACTGTGTACTTGAATATTGCTAAGTGAATAATTTTAAGTGTTCTCACCCAACACAAAAAATATGTAAGGTAATGCACATATTAATTAGCTTGATTTAGCCATTAAACAATGTGTGTGTGTGTGTATATATATATATATATATATATATATAAACATCATATTGTATACCATAAACAGATTCAATTTTTGTCAATTAAAGAATTAAATGAATACATATATTTTTGTTGCACAGATGTATGAGAGATTGATCAATAAAGATTCTAAAATATTTGTTAAAAGTTACAAACTGAGGGAAAGCCTTCGACATCGTATTTGCAAGAAAGAAAGTGTACATAGTTAGACAGTCCTAGTATCTGTAAAGTGGGTGTGATCATCGGAGAGCAATCCCTTGAGCAGTGCTGTCCTATACAATGTTCTGCTGTTAGGGAAATGTTCTGTATCTATCCAACCGAGCCGCCACTAGCCACAGGTGGCTCTTGAGCACTTAAAATGCTAGCAGCTGGTGAGACGAAGGGGCTGAAGTTCTCATTTAATTTCAAATTAAGGCAGAACCGCCTATAAGAGAAAGTGCTAAAGAATTGGAAAAATGAAAAAGAATTTGAGAACCCAGTGGGAATGGAGCTAACGTGTATGGTCATGGCTCATTAGATTTGGGGATATCGGAATCCCAACAGCACAATGGGCTCATTAGAAAATTAACAAGGTTACAAAACAGGTTAAAGGAAGTATCAAAAATAGTCCAATTTTAGCAGATACAGAAGCTGCAAATTTAGCAGTAGTTTTGGCAAACCCTCAATTCATGTAATTTAACAGTGCTAGGGACCAAACCGAAGGGGAATGCCAAGACAAAAAGCTTATAAACGTTAAGAGCTCATTTCTCTTAGAACATACAGAAACAGGGCACTTCCACACCTTCGATTCATTCTCCAAGCTTAAAGAGCTTTGCCCTAAAACCAGATCCTCTCATACGATGGGACAAACAGCCCCAATGTTCTTCCCTCCAGATCTGTTCCAACCTGTGTCTGGAGACACTCTGCACTCACGTTAAAACAGTTTAGACAAAGGACAATGTTTAGGAATTCCAGAAACTTTGGGATATAACATCAATGGCAACTTTTAATTAGGAAAACCCAATCTAATAAGAAGGGCTATTTTGAATACCAGGGTATGTGGAGGGGAAAGTATGAAGGTGGAAGGTTATGAAACATTAATGGGAGATACAGAGAACCAAGAAAGCTTCTATGGTGATTTCTCCTGCCCCTGGGCATGTTATCTGAACTTACGATTGCAACTGTGGGAGCTGGAAAAGCTCTTAAGAACCTCTAGAATTCCACTTCCCCACAAAACAACGTAATATGAAATAGTGACAAATCCCTAGGAGAATATGTAAAATAACAATTATGATAACATTGTTGGAGAAATCTGAGATAAAGAGTAGGACTCTTTAACAACTCATTTTGGCCAGTCAAAAGGGAGGTGGAGCTTGGAAGTGAATTGTGAATTACACCGATATTAAGAAAAGCAGCTAATTCTGAAGTAGTATTAAGTGGCAGTGACTATTCTAATCACTTTAAATATTTAACTCAATTATGAAAAAAATGTGATTAGCACTGTACATGATATTATTTCCTTAGTAGAAGATCTTGCTAAATCAACCCTTGATTAGCATTCATGCATCAATCTGGCTGATGTATCCTTTTCAATCCCAATAAATTATATTCACCAACAGTCTGCCTTCACTTGGCAGCCCCAACCTTTACTAAGTTGCCAGAGTAAATTCTCCCACCTCCGAGGTACAATCCATTGAGCAAAATTTAAACAGCCTAAATCCAATTCAAGAATTAACATTGTTTTATTATCCTAATGACACATTAACCAGGAGTGACTTGAAAAAAGCTGTGTCCATGAGGAAACTTTTTGGGGTAATAGAAATATTATCTTCATTGTAGTAGTAGTTACACAATGAATATGTTTGTCAAACTCATAAACAACTGTACAGCTATGGTTTCACTGTATTTAAATTATATCTCAGTAAACCTGATTTTATTTATTTATTTATTTGTTTATTTATTTATTTATTTATTTATTTTTGAGATGGAGTCTCACTCTGTTACCCAGGCTGGAGTGCAGTGGCGCAATCTTAGCTCACTGCAACCTCCCCCTCCCAGGTTCAAGCAATTCTCCTGCCTTAGCCCCAAGTAGCTGGGATTATAGATGCGCACCACCATATCCAGCTAATTTTTGTATTTTTAGTAGAGACGGGGTTTCACCATGCTGGCCAGGCTGGTCTCAAACTCCTGACCTCAGAAGATCCGCCCACCTCAGCCTCCCAAAGTGCTGGGATTACAAGTGTGAGCCACTGTGCCTGGCCTGAACCTGGTTTTTTTTAAAGCAACTGCATCAAAAACCTCTGTCTTCCATTATTAATTTTATGAGTTAAAAGAAACAGACTATAAAAGAGCACAAATTTTGGTAAAATTTTGGGGAGAAAAATTCTGCCCAAGACCAGGTAAAAGCCTTTGTGCTTGAAAGCCCCCAACTTGAAAAAGAGGAACAGAAATTAATTGGCGTGTTTGAATTATGAAGACTGCATATCCCACATCTGTATTAAACTTGGGTCTCTTCATTGAATTATGTGGGTCCTTAAAAGAGCCTCAGAGCTGTGCTGTCTAATATGGTAGCACTAGCTAGCTACCTGTGGCCATTTAAATTAAATAAAATTAAAATTGAATTTCAAATTGAGTTTCTTAGTGCACTAGCCATGTTTCAAGTGCTCAATAGCCACATGTGAATAGTGGCCACCACATTAAATTGCATAAATGTAGAACATTTCCATCATCACAGAAAGTGCTCACAGACTTAGAGGCCAAACTGTCTTAGAGGCCAAACAGGTATATAGACCACTGGAGTTTAATGACTTAAGTATTGAATACAAAATTAGGTGGCATATGTCTCTGAAAATTCAATTGGCTGATATTTCTAACCATTAAAACCATCTTGAGATGGCCAGGTGCAGTGGCTAATGCCTGTAATCCCAGCATTTTGGGATGCTGAGGCGGGTGGATCACCTGAGGTCAGGAATTCGAGACCAGCCTGGCCAACGTGGCAAAACCCTGTCTCTACTAAAAACACAAAAAAATTAGCTGGGCATGTATCTGGGGAACCCACCCCTAATATTTCAATGCAGGTTCTTTCTATTTTCCCTAAGTGTCGGCCAGTCTGAGAAATAAAGAGAAAGAGTACAAAGAGAGGAATTTTACAGCTGGGCCGCCAGGAGTGACATCACATATCAGTAGGTCCATGATGTCCACCTGAGCCACAAAACCAGCAGCTTTTTATTAAGGACTTCAAAAGGGGAGGGGGTGTACAAACAGGGAGTAGGTCACAAAGATCACATGCTTCAAAGGGCAATAAAGATCACAAGGCAAAAGGCAAAGCAAAGATCACAAGGCAAAGGGCAAAATTAGAATTACTGATGAGGGTCTATGTTCAGCTGTGCACATATTGTCTTGATAAACATCTTAAACAATAGAAAACAGGGTTCGAGAGCAGAGAACCGGTCTGACCTCAAATTCACCAGGGTGGGGTTTTTCCCCACCCTAGTGAGCCTGAGGGTACTGCAGGAGACCAGGGCGTATTTCAGTCCTTATCTCAACCGCATAAGACAGACACTCCCAGAGCGGCTGTTTATAGACCTCCCCCCCAGGAATGCAATTATTCTCCCAGAGTATTAATTATCAATATTCCTTGCTAGGAAAAGAATTTAGCGATATCTCTCCTACTTGCACGTCTGTTTATAGGCTCTCTGCAAGAAGAAAAATATGGCTCTTTTAGCCCAACCCCACAGGCAGTCAGACCTTATGGTTGTCTTTCCTTGTTCCCTAAAATCGCTGTTATTCTGTTCATTTTCAAGGTGCACTGATTTCATATTGTTCAAACACACATGTTTTACAGTCAATTTGTACAATAGTGGCCCTGAGGTGACGTACATCCTCAGCTTGTGAAGATAACAGGATTAAGAGATTAAAGTAAGACAGGCATAAGAAATTATAAGAGTATTACTTGGGAACTGATAAATGTCCATGAAATCTTCACAATTTATGTTCAGAGATTGAAGTAAAGACAGGCGTAAGAAATTATAAGAGCATTATTAGGGAAGTGATAAATGTCCATATTAAAATGAAATCTTCATAATTTATGTTCCTCTGCCTCGGCTCCAGCTGGTCCCTCCATTTGGGGTCCCTGACTTCCCGCAACAGGCATGGTGGCAGGCACCTGTAATCCTAGCTACTTGGGAGGCTGAGGCAGAAGAATGGCTTGAACCTGGGAGGCAGAGGTTGCAGTGAGCTGAGATTGTGCCACTGCACTCCAACCTGGGCGACAGAGAAAGACTCCATCTCAAAAAAATAAAATAAAATTAAATTAAATTAAAAAGTCTTGATCCACGTTGCAAATATCCTAGTGGTGTACTAACAAAGCCAGAGGCCTCCTCAGACAGCCAGACACCTCAGAGGCAGACATATATGCAGAGGTAACTAATGGTGGCCTCACGAGGAAAGGGGGCAGCTACTCCATGAGCACAAGCTCTAGATACTTAGCCTTCAAATACTTCAAAAAACAAAACAATCCCTCGGGGAGAGATTTCCGAGCAAAACAAAACAGCCCATTTGTTTTTAGACTCCTGCTATAATGCTTTGCCTAAAGGTATTGGCCAAGGCGGGTGGATCACTTGAGGTCAGGAGTTTGAGACCAGCCTGACCAACGTGGTGAAACTCCATCTCTACTAAAAATACAAAAATTAGCCAGGCATGGTGGCACATGCCTGTAATCCCAGCTACTCAGGAGGCTGAGGCAGGAGAATCGCTAGAACCTGGGGAGCGGAGGTTGCAGTGAGCTGAGATCCACTACTGCACTCCAGCCTGGGTGACAGAGCAAGACTCCCTCTCAAAAAAAAAAAAAAAAGAAAAAACGAAAAAAAAGAGGGGTTGTCCTTATTTCCCCTTTCTCCTTCAGCTGACTGGAACACAAACATGAAAGCTGGAATTCAAGCAGTCATATTGGACCTGAGAGAGAAGAGCTATGTTGAGGCTGGTGGAAGAAAAAGATAGATAGAAGGAACCTGAGTCTCTGACACTTAAACACTACACCAGCCCTAGGGTTGCATGTGAGAGAGAAATGAACTTCTATCTTGGTGGAGACACTGTTGTTTCCAGGGTTTTCTGTTTCTCACAGCTGAAGCTAATCCTAACCAAGCAGAACAAGCACAAAGTCATCAAAACATAAACTGGAGTTTGCAAAGCACATGTCACTTCCAAGCATCAGATACAGTAAAATGATGAGATGTTTTTCCCAAGCCCTGGCTCAGGACCCTCCCTAACAGCTCCCCGACAAGCCCTTTGTCTTCTTAGTAATCATGCCTTGCATGGTGCCTTTTCCAACATCATGCCCCTCCGTGGAGCTCATTAGTAAGGAGCAAGTGAGATTCTTTTTATTTATCTAATCAGTGAATTCCAAAAACTGACAAACAGGATAAAGAAGGAATACCAGCCACTGTTATGAATGTCAATAAGACATTTGTTCAGTTCAGGACCATCTCAATTTCAGAAGGGACCTGCATAGATTTATTTGCAGTAATAAATCAATAACAATTCAGTGGCAATTATACTTCCCAGTTTCCCACACTGCATCTATAGCTTCCAGGTACAAGTCTTAGTATCTTCAAAGCATTTGCAATAGCCATAAAATGGCTCTTTCATGACAGCAAAGTGGTGGCAGGCATTTCTACAGCTAAGGGGTGCCGAACACGTCTCATGCGTCTTTTCTTTATTGGTGAATGTCATGTTTGACAGTGATGTAAATGGAACAGCTATTATGAAAAACGTGCTTATAGTTTAGCCAAAGAAAATATGTAAGGGTAACATTGTAGGAGGGTGGAGTGTAAACATATGAAGAGTCTGGAACCCTGATGGCATCATTAAATGCTCAAACCAATGCTGGAAGCTGTCATCCTCAGATTTCTTATGAGAAAAATGAATTCCTGTTTATTTTAGCCCCTGTTTTTTGGGTTGTCTGGGCCTGCACTTGCAAGCATTTCTGCTGGATGCAGCAGGTCCCAGGAGGCCCTTTCAGACCTAGGGCATTTGGTTGCCTTTCCCACTCTGTGCCTTTGCTTATTTCTTTTTTTTTTTTTTTTTTTTTTTTTTTTTTGACAGAGTTTCACTCTTGTTGCCCAGGCTGGAGTGCAATGCCGTGATCTTGGCTCACCGCAACCTCTGCCTCCCAAGTTCAAGCGATTCTCCTGCCTCAGCCTCCTAAGTAGCTGGGATTACAGGCATGTGCCACCATGCCCGACTAATTTTGTATTTTTAGTAGAGATGGGGCTTCTCCATGTTGGTCAGGCTGGTCTCGAACTCCTAACCTCAGGTGATCCGCCCGCCTCAGCCTCTCAAAGTGCTGGTATTACAGGTGTGAGGCACCACACCCGGCCATCTTTGCTTATTTCCTTTTTTTTCTTTTCTTTTCTTTTCTTTTTTTTTTGAGACAGGGTCTCATTCTGTCTACCAGACTGGAGTGCAGTGGCATGATCTCGGTTCACTGCAACCTCTGCTTCCCTGGTTCAAGTGATTCTCCTGCCTCAGCCTCCCCAGTAGCTGGGATTACAGACACGTGCCACCACACCTGGCGAATTTTTTGTATTTTTAGTAGAGACAAGGTTACACCATGTTGAACAGGCTGATCTCGAACTCCTGACCTCAAGTGATCCACCTGCCTTGGTCCCCCAAAGTGCTGGGATTACAGGCATGAGCCACTGCACCTGGCTGCTTATTTCTTACGGGATCTCTCCAGTTTAGAGCAGAGGTTCTCAACACAGCCTGCACTTTGGAATTGCCTGGGGAAATTTTACACAAGTCCCTTTGCTCACGCCCCAAATGGGTTGAATCCAGATCTCTAAGGGTGAGCACAGGTGGGCATGACTATTTTTAACAGTTCTTCTAGATTAGTGATTCCCAATTTTTTTAAATCTCAATTTGAAAAAAATCTCTCAATGTTTTAAGAGTATAAACCCCTTAAATTACTGAAAACACTGAAAAGCTTTACTTACAATATTGTTATTGATATTTACTGTATTCAAAATTAGAACTGAAAAAGATTTTTAACATGTATTAATTCTTTTTAAGATAGCAATAACAGGCAAGGCTCAGTGGGTCACACCTGTAATTCCAACACTTTGGGAGGCCAAGATGAGCAGATTGCTTGAGCTCAGGAGTTGGAGACCAGCCTGGACAAGATGGCAAAACCCTGTCTCTACAAAAAATACAAAAATTAGCCGGGCATGGTGGCTGGCGCCTGTAGTCCCAGCTACTTGGGAGGCTGAGGCTGGAGCATCGCTTGAGCCTGGGAAGCGGATGTTGCTGCAGTGAGTTGAGATCGTGCCACTGTGCTCCAGCCTGGGCGACAGAGCAAGACCATCTCAAAAAAAAAAAAAGCAATAATAAACCACTTTTGTATATGCTTAAATTTGTCCATAATAAAAGTAAACAAAAAGGACTTTAAATAAATTACGGAAAATGTAGATCTTTAAAGAATTAGAAGACCATCAGCTTTATTTGGATCATGAGTCAAACACACACACACACACACACACACACAAAACCTACAAAACAATCTTGGAAATCTGAACACTGACTGGATATTTGATGACAACAGGAATGATTATTAAAATTGTGGTAACAGAATTGTGATTACATTTTAAGAGTAAACCAGTAAAATCTTTAACAAAGACACAAGGAGGGCCCATGGATCCATTATGTACAGTAGCCACAGTGCCTAGGGCCCACAATACTCCCATGGCAATGTTTACATTTCTTTTAAAATAGAAAAAAAATTAAGGTTGAAGAAAATATTTTAATATATAATATTAATATAGTTGCCTGTGTATCAACACAATCATAAGTATGATTTCAAATTTATTGTTTAGAAAAGTGCATAGGGCCCGCAGAAGTCACAATGCAGCCCTGGATATAACGGCCATGAAAGTTTATGTGCTGAATCACAAAGTGGCAAAATATGAACTGGCAGAGATGTCGGCCTCTGAGGTTAGAGAGGTCATGGCCACAGCTGCTGAATGTGACTTTGGGTTGCCCATCCAGGAGATTGGGTGGCAGGGAGAGCAAATGTGATCATGAAGGGGCTGGTTGTATCACGCTGGTCAAATGCATACAAAGGAGTCTGTTTAGACAGAAGCGAAGAAGGGAAAGCAAGCGGACACCTCCTGGGGGCCTCAGGATCCCACATTATCTGGAAACAGTGCCCCCAACACCCCTCCACCTCCACCAAAAGGCATCCTACATACCTCTTGGTTGGTACACTGGGCCCTCAGCCACAGAAAATTGGTTCTCAGGGACAGAGATAACCCAAGCTAAGCCAATCAGATTGTCTCTCCATGACTTTGAACCATGGGGCCCAGAGACACAGAGGTCAAGAGCAGCTCTGCTGAGCGGTGAGTATCCACACTCCAGGGACAAAGTCCATGAGCCCCTGAGGTTCCCAGAACTGCTCTCAGTCTTCCCTATTGAGTCAACTCTGTCTTCAAATCCTGAGAAACCCAATATTTTTACAATCAATTCCTTTTGGAGCTTAAGCTATTCTGAATCAGATTTTGCGATTTGTAACAAGAAAATAATAATAGTAAGTATAGAGTTTTAACAGCACTAAAATCAAAAGTGGAAAAGGGACAGCAGCATGCCCCAGACACCCGTGTGTCAGCAATAACCAAGACATGGAGATGGAACCAAGACAGCTTGTCAGGTCCCTCCCCTCACTTTCCATTGCAAAGGCTGTCAGTAAAGGGGGAATTATTCCTTTACAGAGCAAGTATTATCCCACTTTGCAGGTGAAGAAACTGATGCTGAGGTTAAGTGTGCAACTCAGAAGCAAAGCATCCCTGACAAGCTAAGGGAAGGAGAACTCTCAGTTGGAAATACAGAGAGGCCCGCTGCCAGCTAGAATCAGTGCCACCTTTGGCCCTAAGTCTGCTCAACCCACCCAAAACTAGACCACCTGCCACTCAAACTCTTTTGTCTGAGTCCCTCTCTCCCCAGGGCCCCAATCAAACAGGGTGCTATTTCTCATCTTCTCCCTAACCCTAATGTCTCTGAAACATGTTTGTTGGGTTTGGGGTTTGTTTGTTTCTATAGATTTGCAGTTCTAAAAGTAAGGAAAACCTGCAGGTATTAATACAAATAACCACAACTGGGAAGGGATGGAATTATAAGAAATCTCTCCCAGCATTAGTAATACCAGTATGCCTTATTTCATGAGGAGAGCAGGCCGATTACCTGACCCAACAATATAGCCCAGGCCCGGGGGAGATGTGAACACAATGAGGAAGATATCTCTATGACCCACATTCTTTGGCCTGAGGCTCTGCCGGAGTCCAAGCCTGTTATAGGTGAAGTGGCCAAGACCTGGAACATGACCTTTACATGAGCTGCTGTACAGCCAGTGTGGCTTTTATCTGTTGTACTTTGGGAAATCATCCATGCCTCAGGAACCAAAAGTCCTTCAACCTAGAGTAAGGCGTTTTTAATAGAAAGAGAGGCCAGATAGGCCAGGCGCGGTGGCTTACGCCTGTAATCCCAGCACTTTGGGAGGCCGAGGCGGGTGGATCACGAGGTCAGGAGATCGAAACCATCCTGGCTAACACGGTGAAACCCCGTCTCTACTAAAAATAAAAAAAAATAGCCGGGCGTGGTGGCGGGCACCTGTAGTCCCAGCTTCTCAGGAATCTGAGGCAGGAGAATCGCTTGAACCCGGGAGGCGGAGGTTGCAGTGAGCCGAGATTGTGCCACTGCACTCCAGCCTGGGCGACACAGCGAGACTCCATCTCAAAAAAAAAAAAGAGAGGCCAGATAATCCCAGCACTTTAGGAGGCTGAGGCAGGGGGATCTCTTGAGCCCAGGAGTTTGAGACCAGCCTCGGCAACATGGAGAAACCACGTCTCTACTAAAAATACAAAAAATTAGCTGGGCATGGTGGCACTCGCCTGTAGTCCCAGCTACTCAGGAGGCTGAGGGGGAAGAATCACCTGAGCATAAGAAGTCAAGCCTATAGTGAGCCATGATTGCACCACTGCATGCTAGCCTAGGCAAGGGGAGTGAGACCCTATCTCAAAAACAAAAAACAAACAAAAAAAGAGAGGCCAGAGCGAAGTACACAAAATGGATTGACCTGCTCCTGCCAACTGAGGGAAAGCCAGACAGGGTGATATGCTGGCTCTCGCTGAAGCTGAGAGCTGTGTTCATTCTACCATCCTGGCCGTGTGGGGAGAGCCCTAAAGGAGAAGCCCATGTAGATATCCTTGGTCTTTATTCAAGGACTAGCAGGACAGGTCTTCCCTACTGAGATGGCAGTCTGCTGTCAGTGCCAGTTCCCATGAAACTACTCTGAAGATGAAAGAAAAGATAACAGAAGGCCAGTTATAAGCACTTAAGGTGACTTCTGCTTACTCTAGGTTTGAGTTGAGAAACATAGCTATGGCCTACACATGTACAGTCTGTGAACTGCACAGCTCGACAGAAAGAAGCTCCAGTGTGGCCCTGATGCTCCCTGCTGACCACACCACACTTGCAGGAAAATGGGCTAAACAACCACAAAACAAGGTGGCCACCAGCTACTACACAGAAACTTATTTCTGAGGCAGCTGGAGCCCTTTGTTTGTTTGTTTGTCTGTTTGTGATGGGGTATCTCTCTGTCACCCAGGCTGGAGTGCAGTGGCAAGAGCATAGCTCACTGCAACCTCAAACTCCTGGGCTCAAGTGAACCTCCTGCCTGAGTCTCCTGAGTAGCTGCAACTACAGGCACATGCCACCATGCCCAGCTAATTTTTAAATTATTTTTTTGTAGAGAAAAAGGGCCGTGCGTGATGGCTCATACCTGTAATCTCAGCACTTTGGGAGGCCGAGATGGGCAGATCTCTTGAGCCCAGGAGTTCTAGACCAGCCTGGGAAACAGGGCAAAATCCCATCTCTACAAAAAATACAAAAACTAGTGGTACATGCCTGGAGACCCAGCTACTCGGGAGGCTGAGGTGGGAGGATGGCTGGAACCCACGGAGGTCGAGGCTGCAGTGAACCTTGATCTTGCCACTCCACTCCAGCCTGAGTGACAGAGACCCTGTCTCAAAGAAAGAGAGAAAGAGAGAGAGAGAAGGAGTTTTGCTTTGTTGCCCAGGCTGAGAGCCTTGTTTTGACTCACTCCCTCCTCTGTCTCATCTCCACCCCCACCTGCCCTGGTCCATTCAAAACTACAAACCTCAGCATGCAAGACAGCCAAGGGAGGGCAAGAACAGCTCTGTGTAGCCCATGGCCTTCTAGGATATGTGGTGCTCCCAGGTACAGTGATATAAGTGGTCTGTAAGTTATTTTTATTTTATTTCACAAGTTATTTTTTAACCATAAGTTACAGATGCTAAAAATATAAGCCCAAAGCTGAAAAGCAGCTCCAAGGGTGTGACAGGCCAGAGGACCCACCCCACAGCCCTCCCTCTATACATGATCTCCCACGCGGTGGCTCACGCCTGTAACCCCAGCAGTTGGGAGACCGAGGCGGGAGGATCATGAGGTCAAGAGATCAAGACCATACTGGCCAACGTGAGGAAACCCCGTCTCTATTAAAAATACAAAAATTAGCCAGGCGTGGCAGTGCACACCTGTAGTCCCAGCTATCCGGGAGGCTGAGGCAGGAGAATTGCTTGAACCTGGGAGGCAGGGGCTGCAGTGAGCCGAGATGGCGCCACTGTACTCCAGCCTGGGCGACAGAGCGAGACTCTGTCTCAAAAAACAAAAAAAAACATGATCTCCCTGTGCGCCCCATCCCAAACCCTCCTCTCCTTCGCCACCATGCCAGCGCACAATTCCATCATATCACTTGCCTTTTCAAACACCATCTATGACTCTTAGTTTTTGGGTTCAAGTTCAACTCCTTCCATAAGCAGTCAATACTTTTCAGAATTTGGCCCCTCCAACAAGAGTTTATGTTCTGCCCCAATCAAACCCAAAGTAGTTCCCTAAAGCCTCTGCCTTTCTCTTCCCTATCTCCTCCCACCCCACCCAGAAGCCTCCATTGCCCACCAGCCAATGGAGACACTGCCACTACCCACAGGCCCAGAGGCCTGGGCACTTGCCCTGTTCACACCCAGCCCCACCCCAAAACCCCGCCTCTACAGCCCTGCCCTTAAACCCCTCCCACCCTTCCTTAGAGCCTGGCTCTAGCTTTCTGGAGGGGAGGAAGAAGTTAGCTGCCAAGAGAAGGCTGTGGGCCTGGCCTCCTCAACAGCAACTTGGCACAGACTCCCTCGTGAAACTGTTAGATGGGGTTGGTTGGCAGCACTGTGTAATTAAATAGGCTTTTGTGGATTGGCCTGGGGACTTAGCCGCCGTATATAAATGTTATTCGAGTGACTGTACAGCATTGTTTCCATGCAGAAAAGCCCTCGGAACTCAGAGCATCTGACCAAACGTGACCTTTGGGAAAGTCCTCTTGCTGTTCGGGGGGCGACCTCTGCGGGTTTGGCTCCAGCTGCAGAAAGAGCGCCAAAGAAATCTCAACTCCAGCCCGGCTAGGCTGGGAGTGGGTGCGGGAGAAACAGATGGGGGGCACCTATTTAGATCTGATCTTCTCTTAATGTGACCCTGAGAGGGAGGGAAGGGGGTGTCTGAAGCCCCTGGGCCTTGGATATTGAGATGGAGAGCATGGGTGATCCCAGAAAACCTATCCACCACCGGACCCCTGACAGATGAGATCAGGGGCTTCTTCCTCCATTCGGCCTTCGGGGTCAGGGGGTTCAGCGGGTGACAAGGGAGAGGCGTCTGAGGGACCGGGATTATTCAGCTGACCCGGTGCGGGGCCGCGTTCTCAGCGCGGGCACTAGGGGGCGGCAGAGGCGGAGGCGCCAGCGCCGAGGAGAGGCTTCCACCCTCGAGAAGTTTTTCCGCGCACCCGCCCGGGCCAGAGTGGCCGTCTAGACGCCCACGTGGGGCTTCCTGCGATCGAGAATGGGTTGGGACCGGGACGGCCAAGCCGATGCTGTCGGGGACACGCTGGGAGGAAGAAGTACGGGGAGGAGGGGCGGGGGCGCAGCCTACCCGGGCTCGGGCTCGGGGTGAAGGGCAGCCCTGCCAGGCCCGCCCCGAGGCCGCGGATGCGAAACCGGGACACAAAGGCACGCACTCTTGATTCTGGCGCCCGCGAGGAAGAGGGTTGAGGAAGAGGAAATTGGGATGAGGCCCTGGAACACGTTTTAATGCAGCGCCCTGACAGGCAGGAGCCAGGCAATACTGCTTGGGAATGTGAAGCCCCATGGGCACCAGCTAGGGGGTCCCGGCTGCGCGGCCAGCCTTGGAAGAGAGGACTTCTTGGACACCTAACCCGGAGGGAGCAGAGCTTCTGAGTGCCCAGGAGAGGGAGGCTAGGGAAGTGGGGGACAGTCAAGAGTGGGGGGACACAGGCAGGGACTGTGCGACTCCACCCAACACAAAGACTCAACGAGTATGCACGTGACTACACGTGAGTGTGGAGGGCTTGGCCACAGCCCTGTCTTCATGACAGCACAGCACAAGGCTGATGGGGAGGGATAAGGTGACCAGAGGTACAGATGCAGTAAATGTCTTGGAAGTGGGCCTCAGCCTCCCCATTTACAGAGATTAGACTGGGCTATGTAGCACCGTCCCACCCACACCCAGAAGCAATCGCACACCCGTGTCAGAAACTGGAGCCATAGGGACCCCAAACCCCTACCTGGTGTCCCTGGGGCATTGTTTGTAATTTTATGCTAGTCACCCAGGCTTTGTAAACTCTGGGCCCTGACACCCCAGCTGGACAGGGCTTGCAGGGTATCTGGATTAAGCCATACAATTCTGGTAACCACTTAGCTGGGAAGAGGAAGCATCAGATGGGTGTCGGGGGAGACTGAAATAACAACACAAGCAGTGACACAGACACCTGGGAGGAGACAATCACATTATTTAACCATCAGTCAGCATGGAAGCTGGGCACAGGGTCCTGGGAGTCCCTTCCATATGCCACACATTAACCCTTTAATTGCAGGATCAGGGAAAGTGAGGGGTGCCCAGGGGAGGGACAGGGGTGGCAATGAACATACTCAGTGGCTCAGGGCCATGGCAATTTACCAGCCAATATAGAAGAATTTTAATATTCCAGCCATCTGCGGGATGCAGCCCTGCACACACCCCACACTATTCCGTTTCTTCCCTGGGGGAGCATCCTGGCCCTCAAGTAGCAGGCAGTGCCTGCCAAACCCAGACCAAGTGGAAGAGACAGTGGGCACATGGGCCAGGCAGCCAACACCTGTGGGTTAGAGAGCCCCACCCTGGCAGAGTCAGAGCCCTGAGGCCAGGGAGACCACATATTCCAACTTTCACAGTGGGTGCGACAGGTGAGGTGGGAGGAAGGTGGGAGGGAGGTGGGGTTCAGCCCTGAAACCCCCCTACACACAGTCACTGAGGAAAGTCCTGACTCCAGGATGTGGGTGCCGGAGCCCACCCCCGAGACCCCTGTCTTCAACATCTGCTGATTTTTGTTGGCGTTTCTCTTTTTTGTTATTTTGCTTTCCACACTTTAAATAATTAATACAATTACTTTTAAATACAAAATACGCCATGTCCTTTCTCTTCTCTTCCATTTGTTTGGGGTGATTGGGAGGTGAGTTTTAAATAAGGGTCTCAGCTCTCTAACGGGTAACAGGCTCCAGGTGGGAGGGCCAAGAGCCCCAGATGCCACTCCTCCCGTGGGGTGTCCAGGCAACCACTTCACCCCTCCCCTGGCCTGCCCCGACTGAGGGCTCTCCACGCCCTGGCCCAGGGCTCCCTAGATAGTGAGGAGCCCTCTTGGGAGGTGGCACAGAGCTGATGTTGTGGGATTCCAGGTGGGCCTGGTTCCGAATGGACAGGATCAGACAGAGACGGTCCTATCCCATGAAGCAGACAGGCCCCAGCAGCACCCCTCCCCGCCTCGGTGGGGCTCCCAGGTCTGAGAAGGAGGCATCCAGCACTGGCAGCTGCTCCAGCACAGGCGTTCGCACCTCCAGCACCGTCCGGCCTTGCTGTGTCTTCAGGGGGAGACAAGGAAGAAAGTGTGAGCAGGATGGAGGCACCCCCCACCCTCTAACCTCAGGCCCAGGCTCACCTCTCCTCTGAGCACCTTGGCCCCATCAGGGTGACTCAGGATGTACAGACTGGCAGTGTCTATGTGCCCATGCGTGTGTGTTTGCTTCTCCCCCACCGTGTGCCTCTGCTGGGCAGCCATGTGCCAGTCTGTGTACACGTCTGCATTAACCTGTGTGACGCTGGTGTTTGTACCCAAGTGAACCTCACCCGATGGCTTCCATCCTTTCCACCTTCCTCACCGGCTTTTGAGCTCCCTCAGGCATCCCTGACAATCCAGCAGGACGGACTCCTCCCTGCTCCCCCTGGGTGCCCTGCCCAAGGGGTCTTCCCACCTCCTTCCTCCAGCCTGAGTCTGAGATCAGCCCCCAACCCAGCTCTTCCTGTTCCCACCTGGCAGCCATCTCTGAATTCTTTGACATAGGGGCTAGTCTCCGGGCTCAGCTCATCCTCATTGGCCCCACGGAGTCTCAGGGGACCGTCACGGGCTGCTCCAGAGCAGGGGTAGGAGACGTCCTGGTGGGCTGAGACGCTGAGCAGCCGCAGGAAGGTGAGCTGGACCACACCCACTGGGGAGCCCTCTGAGTCCACGTAAGAGAACTGGAAGGAGAGAGAGGGCTGGCCTCAGAGGGGGAGAGAGAGGGCTGGCCTCAGAGGGAGACAGAGACGGGCCTCAGGAGCATCTACGGCACCAGGACAGCTGAGCCAGAGTCATGAGCAGGGAATGGCTGGAAGGCAAGGGCTGGGAAAGAAGTGAGGGGCTGAGTGGGAGCCAGGAGACTGGGGGTACACGAAAGGCAAAGTGAGCATCAGAGGACCGGTGAAAAGGAAAAGAAGAAAGAGCTAAGAAGTGGAGAAGGGGTGGCAGGCTCCGGGGGGGGCAACAGCCAGGGGACTGTCACCAAAACCCAGAAACCACTAAGCCCTGAGGGGGTGCACTATGGGGCAGGGGAGGGGCAGCGAGGGGCCAGCTCTCACCTGCGTGACGTCATCCCTAGGCGTCACACAGGTCTCACCCCCTGCTGTGAAGTTGCAGAAAACTCGGAAGGCATCCCGAGCACAGCCCTGGTTGGGGTCGACCCAGTACTCTCCTGTTGGGTGAGGGAGAGGGGAGGTCAGGGCCACCTAGGTCCAGGCTCCAAGATGCTCTTTGCCCCCACATTCCCTCTTCCCTCCCAGCCCTCCCCATCATGCTCTTAGTCTCCTGGTCCTCCTCCCTCCCAGAGCCCTAGAATCTAGCCCTACTGCTGGATTCTACTGCAGCATCCTACTGCTGCAGCCCACTTTCATCACGTGACACCTCTGCCCCCAACAGTAACCCCAGGCCCTCTGACTGGAGGAGGTCCGAGTATGGACAGCCTCATACTGGGACAACATGTGGTTGCAGGCGCTCACACAGATTCATCTGTTCAGGTGCAAACAGGTGTGTGCACGTATGTATGTTTATCTGCTCCTGCAGACACTGGGCTGATAACCAACTGGTACACACTGACCCAGATCAGTTGCTAAAGTATTGGGATACTTCTGACCTGGTTAGTAAATAGCTGCAGTTCCCAGCCCCTCAGCCCTCACCCTTAACCCAACACCTTCACCAAGACTCCCCCAGCATCCATTCTGCTTGTTCAGTACCCATGCTGTTGGGGAGATGTTTGTGCACCCTGAGGCTAGCACTGACCATCGGGAAGCTCTGGGTGGCACAGCTTCAGGTCCTGGCAGGTGCGAGCAGGGCTGTCCTGGGTCCCTGTTGGCCGCCTCATCTGCTCGATCTCCTCCCGCAGGGAGTCGAGTGAGCCAAAGATCTCCTCCAGCCCCCCAGGACTGCCGGGGGCTCCCCCGGTCGGTATGGCCTCATCTTCCTGCATCAGACGGCTTCCATCCACCGAGCGCCGAGTCTTCTTGGGCATCTGAATGGGCAGTGGCTGGATCACCTCGCCTGGGGGACCCTGGGTGCAGGGACAGATGGAGAGGGCAAGAGACAAGGTTGGTGTGAGGGTGAAGTGTGGCAGCAGTGGAGCAGAGGGGTACGGCCCTGGGAGCAGCCCTGACTCCTCACTCACCGGGTGTCCTGGAGGGCCCTGCACACCCTTCTCTCCCTTGGGTCCGCCTGGGCCCTGACAAGGAATAAATCAGGTCATGGAGGGGTCAAGAGGTCAAGCATGGATCAAGGTCACAGAAAGATCAAATCAGCCTCCTGGCTGGAATAAGGGGCTCCTTGGGGGGAGTCTATTTGTCCTGGAGAGACATCATCAAGTCCAGAGGGGGTGGAGCAAAGGTCAGAGCTGAAGGGGGTCACTCACTGTGGCTCCTTTGGCTCCTTTGGGGCCAGCAGGTCCCTGTGAAATGAGGAACAAGAAAGAGACGGTCACTGCAGGGGAAGGACAGGACTCAGAGGAGCGGGGAGGCAAGGTCCCAAGTCCACAGGAGCCTCGGGTTACTACAGGAGGGGCAGTCTTGTGGGAATACTAGGACATTCAGAGCCCTGGAAGTATGGGGAGGAGGTACTGGTGGTGACAGGACAAATGGGGGACCCTGAGGACTATGCTTGTTAGGCTGGTAGTTCCATGGAAGTCGTTGGGAGGCTGTGGGTGGGCAGCAGAGGGGTTTAGGGGATTTTGTGGAGGAACAGAGGCAGTACTCACGGGGAGGCCGGGGGGACCTCCAGGACCAATGGGGCCGGATGCTCCTGGGATACCCTAGGAAGGGTAGTGGCTGGTTCAACTGGGTCCTCCTCCCACACCCTCCTGAGCACCTGCTCGCTTACCCACAGCTGAGTCCCAACTCCAACTCCACCCCTCTCCACCCCACTCTCAACCCCCACAACTTCCGGGACCATGCCCTCTACTCACCATCTCACCCTTCTGCCCAGGGGAGCCCTGAGGCCCAGGAAGTCCCCGATCTCCCTTCTCTCCCTGCTCACCCGGGGGCCCAATCAGTCCAATGAGACCTGGGTGGCCCTAGAGAAGGGTGCAGGCAGTCAAGAGAATGCAAAGAGGAGTCATGTGGATGGGGGAGAAGGGCCAAGAGGACATGGAGAGGGAGCCGGGCACAGGGTCCGTGAGTGGCCCTCACTGAGCAGGGACTCCCTGGGACTGGCTGCCGGAGGCCTGAAGCAGAGCAGTGGGCACTTGGGTCCCACAGGTTTCAGGGGCGAGGGTGATGGGAGAGACACCTGGCCACGTGTCTGTCTGTCACTCACCTTCTCTCCCTTGGCTCCAGCATCGCCCCGGAGACCAGGCAGCCCTGGGGGTCCCTGTGGAGAGATGGGAAGTCATTCTCTTAAGGGAGAGGTGGGACCAAGTTCTCCCCAACAGCCTCCACTTCCTCCAGGGCTTCAGCTCTGTCCCAGGGCACTGCCCTCACCCCTCACTCAGCCCAATCCCAGTCACTCACCACAGGACCTGGGGGCCCAGCCTGGCCTGTAGCTCCAGGTCGGCCTTGCTGACCCTGAAGATTTGAGGGGGCCACAGGGGTCAGGAGGAGCATCCCCACACTGCACCCCTCCCATGGCCCCTCACTCCCACCCCAGCCCAGCCCTTCCCTGCAGTGACTCACCACTGAGCCTGGGAGCCCCCTCAGACCATCAGGGCCAGGTTTCCCTGCTGGGCCTGCAGGACCCACCGGGCCTGTCTTCCCCGGGGCACCTATAGCGCCAGGATCTCCCTGAAACACACACAAGGAATGTGTCCTGAATGGCAGAGGAGTGGGGTGTGGGCAGGGGGCAGAGGGTCCAAGGTGGGAGGCAGGAGGCAGGGAGGAAGGGCCAAACTCTAGGAGCCCCTAGCGCAGGAACAAGTACAGGGAACGCCTGTCCCCATAAGGGCCCAACATGGGAGAGGTGGAGATGGGGTGGGCATCTGGAGACGGAGGCATCTGAGGGGTGGGAGGCGGAGGGGATGCTCCAGCACTAGGGCAGCCTGTCCCTCACCTTGGCTCCCTTCCCTCCTTGTCGCCCCTCGGAACCAGGCGAGCCAGCAGGACCCTGCAGGTGGAGTGGGAAGGAAGAGCACATGAGGCCGTGGGCAGCCAGGCTCAACTCTTCCCCCTTCCTGTCCTAGACACACACATACACATGCACACACACACGTGCATACACAGGGACACGCGCCGAGGGCCGATTCACAGATGTGCAGAACAGATACAGCTGTGACAGTTGTGAAAATACTGGGTAGTCTGTACATTTGGTGAAGGGCCACTTGCCCACACCCTACCTGGTGGCCCGTCTCCTGCCCCAGAAACTAAAAAGGTTCACCCCTGGCCCACAGAAAAGCTGGCCAGCCCC
Organism: Homo sapiens; assembly: GCF_000001405.40. NCBI lineage: Eukaryota > Metazoa > Chordata > Mammalia > Primates > Hominidae > Homo > Homo sapiens. The sequence continues at coordinate 33,168,153 of NC_000006.12, forward strand.
TCCTCCAGTTTCCATTCTGCTTTGTCAGTAACCACCACTACCCCTGGTGAAAACATACACACCAGAACCCAGGAACAAACATGCCCGAGATACCGCACACCCATCAACCCACCAGCTCCTGCACACACACTCGCCCAGTGCAATGAGATACCGCATACCCTTAAACCCACCAGCTCCTGCACACACACCCTGCCCCGGGCAATGAGATACCACACGCCCTTAAACCCACCAGCTCCTGCACACACACACACCCAGGGCAATGCAGACACCAGGCACCTCCCCACCCATCCCACCTGCCATTGCCCAGCCTCCACCCACACAGCCCAGGGACTGCCTCCCAAGGTCTCAGGGGTCCACCTCACTTACTCGCTTTCCAAGTGGCCCTGGGGGTCCATTCTCCCCGGTGGGACCAGGGGATCCCTAGGGAGAGAGGAATTGGGGTGGCTGAGTGTTTATCCTCCAGCCAAGGGACCCCTCAGGAGTGGGGCACAGAAGAGGGGTAAAGAGGATGAGGCTTGGGCTCAGGGGGGTGGTGGGGTCACCAGGCACTCACAGGCTGTCCTGGCTCACCATCCTCGCCTCGGTCACCCTTAGCACCATCCTGGCCCTGCAGAAGTGAAGCAAGGTCAGAGGTGGGCCCCCAACCTGGCTGGCATCACCTCCAAAACTGTCAATACCCCATCCCCTTGCCCACCCTGCCATACCCCCGGCTTCCCAATACCCAAGCCCAGCGGCCACACAGAGGACCCCCCCATAGAAGCCCCACCCTTTTTGCCCCTTCCCTTCTCTGAGTAAGACTCACCCGAGGGCCACCTTCTCCAGGGGGGCCAGGGTCACCAGGAAAACCAACAGGACCCTGATCCAGATGGAGAATAAGAGTCAGGGTCACAGCTCCCTAAGCCCACCCAGCACAGACGCCCACAGGCACACGCCACTGCCTCTCTAGAGGCAGTGCCCACCAGTACCCCCCAGGAAGAGGTCTCCTGCACCCCTTTCCCTACCACGTGCACTGCGTGTTGTCTAATTCCTCAAGGTATTAACTGCAGGGCATCTCTCACTTTCTCTCCGGATCCTAGACCCCAGGCATCCCTCTGGATGCCCCATTCCCAGAGCATCCCCCAAACTCCCGGGCTCCCCACACTCCAAGATCCTCCCTCACACACACCCATATTCCCAGGTCTGTCATTCACAGGGCCTGAGAGGACTCAGCCCCCACTGCCCCAAACTCACAGGGTTCCCTTTGGGGCCATCATCGCCTGTGGGGCCTTTAGGCCCTGGTGGCCCTGGCTCTCCTGGCTGCCCCGACTCTCCTTTCTCTCCACGTTCCCCGCGTGGACCCTGCAGAACAAGCGGAGGACACAGATGGCCCAGGGAATCTTGAAGATCAGGGATGCAGCCTCTGCTTCCGAGACACCTTCAGCCATCCCCTACTCCCCTCAGTGACAATGGGACATACACAGAAAGTCAAGCCTACAAGGGGAGTTCCCTAGTCCCCTTCCCTTCAAGAAAGGGGAAGAAGGGCTCACTCAGACCAGGGATCAGGCCTCATAGAGGATGGCAGGGAGCAGAGACTCTTGCTGCAGAGGAGTTCCAGCTCAAGGAGGTCACAGGAAAAGTGGAGGCAGGGTTGAGGCGGGTGACGGGGACTGGGGAGTAAGGCCTTGGAGCTGTCACTCACCTTGACACCTGGCTCGCCCTGGATCCCTGGAGATCCTGACTCTCCTGGTTCCCCCTGCAAAGAGATTAGAGTCAAAAACCTCCTCTCCTTCCCCAGCCAAAAAATTCTGATATTCCCCACATCTCATTCTCTTTTGTCTCCCCACCCAAAATTGGCAGAAATCCAACTCCCATCCCCCACTTCCATGACTGGTCCACTCACCCCCTTCCCAGTTACCTTCTCTCCAGGGGGACCCAGGTTCCCAACACCTCCTGGGGGACCTTGTGGGCCCTGGAAGAGGAACAGAAATAGGTGTCATTGCTTAGGATGGAGGTGCCATTTCAGGGGCAAAGTCCCAGATGAGCAGCCCAAGGTTACAGCAGTGAGGCAGTGGAGGCCTCCCGGGAGTAAGGGCTTCTCTTGGCCCCTGAGACGATACTAGAGTTTATGGTCTGGGAAAGGGAGGCAGAAGACCAGACACATTGGTCTCAAGGGACAGGGGCTGAGATGACTCACATCAGCGCCATTGGGTCCAGCTGGACCTCGAGGTCCTGGGGGGCCAGGTGGTCCCTGGGGGAAACAGATACACCACAGATGAGGAAGGGAAGTGAGATGGCTGAGCATGAATGGTGGAGAGAGGAGGAGGAGCAGCCAGGCCAGGGAGTTGGCAGTGGGGTGTGGGGTGGGGGCTGGCCAGGGAGGGGGGTGACTAGTATGGTGGCTAGGGTCAGTAGGGGTCACACTCACCATAGGACCCACATCTCCTGTTTCTCCCTTCTCCCCAGAGGGGCCTGGCAAACCCTGTGCAAGTATACAAAACATGGGCCCAGGTGACGACCCCACCCAAAGCACAGCCCTAGGCAGATAGGCCCCACAGTCCCCTCCCCTCAGACTCCGCAGGCCCTCCAGTCTGCATCGGCAGGCTGCTGGCAGAGTCTGGGGCAAAACATCACCCCATCCTGACCCCACCTCTCAGCCCCTGTCCTATCCCCCAACACACCTGTAGGCCAATGGGTCCTGGGGGCCCATTGAATCCTCTTGTTCCTTCATCACCTTTGGCTCCAAAGTGTCCCTGGGGTCCCCGAGCTCCGGGCTCCCCATCTGCTCCCTGCAGGGTTGAGGGAAAGCAGAGACAAGGACACAGGGATGGGTCATGGGTCAGGTGTTCTCTATCCACAAATACCACACACAGCTGGGTGCCAGGCCCAGAGCCCCTGCTCCCACTCCCAGCCACAAGGGCAGAGGGGAGCTGAGGGAGGACCAGAGGCTGCTGGGCCTTCGGTGGGGGTGGAGGGGTCACTCACCGCTGCTCCAGGCTGCCCCACAGGACCAATGGGTCCAGGGGGTCCAGGAGGGCCCTGGGTAAGAGAAGAGAGTCAGAGACACCAAAACAGGGAGAGAGATCAGGTGGGACTGAGGTTAAAGGCCAGGAGGTCAGAAGTCAAGGTCATGGACACTTACATGTTCACCCTTGTTCCCTTTGGTGCCCTTCTGTCCGGGGTCCCCCACCTCACCCTGGGAGGAGAAGGCAGACAAGATATTAGAGAAAGGTGATGGGTAGAGTGGGAAGGATGACATGACAGGGGCCAGGGGTCATGCCCAGGTCAGCCATCTCATCTGGAAAGAAGATTGGTCGGGGTCTGTGGGGTCCCCTCACCTTGTCTCCATCCTCTCCAGCCACACCTGGAGGCCCAGCAGGACCAGGAAGCCCCACAGGACCCTGCACTCCATCTCGGCCAGTCGGGCCAATGGGGCCCTTCTCACCCTGTGGGACAGGAGGAAGGAGTCATGGCCTGGAGGTGACCCTCACCCTCAAACACCCCACAGGAAACTTGTCATAGCCCATCAACCCTAGGCTCACAGACCCCTCCCCAGTACCCCTCCCCAATACCCCCACACTCACTGGGACACCTTTCTCTCCTGCTGCTCCAGGGGGACCCTGCGGGCCTGGGCGCCCTGGCGGACCAATGGGTCCCCCTGATCCTGCTGCACCTCGTTCCCCAGGGGAGCCCTGAGAAAGCAGATGGTCAGACCCCCAGGAAGGAGACACCAGCCCGCCCATACCAGAGAACCTCAGACCACAATTCCCAAAAGCTCCCAAAATCAGATGCATTCTGGCTGTCCCTGGACAGCCTCTGCCCAGCCCCACAGCCCCTGGTGGTATCAGAATGCCACTCCCACCCTTCCTCACCCACCCCTTTCCCGGGTCCTTCCTACCACTTCCGGAACCCCAGACTCACTGCAGGGCCAGGGGGGCCAGACGGACCTTCATTCCCCTTCAAACCAGGTCCACCCTATGAACCAGACATTTGGGGAAGATGAGACTTCACGAAAAGAGAAGGGTGAGAGCTGGAGAGGGAAGACAGGCTCCAAAAGATGGAAGTGGGGAGTGACATGGAGGGGGTCAGGGACAGGGTCGGGGTGGGGACTCAGGATGCTTGGTGCTTGTGACAGGCAGGGGTCTGGGAGTCACACTCACAGCAGTGCCTGGGAGGCCTCTCTCTCCTGGGAATCCCCTCAGACCAGCAGGACCATCCTTCCCTGGGGCCCCAGGGGGACCAGGGTCACCCTAAAAGGAAAGGAGAGGTGATGAGCCACAGCCATGCTCCCAAATTAAACAGAGAGCTCTCCAGCCCCCCCTCAAATCTCCAACTACCTGTTCCTTTCAGCACCCCAATCCCCAGCTCCCCCACTTCCCCTCTGCCTGGCCCCTCACTGACCTTTGTTCCTTCTTTTCCAGCTGTCCCAGGTAGTCCCTGCTCTCCAGGGGGCCCCGGGGGGCCTGGGTGACCTCTCTCCCCCATAGGGCCGGTTTCTCCTGCTGCTCCCTAGACAAAAGCAGAGAGAGTTCCTGCTCTCAGGCCCTTCATCTCGCTGTCTGCCAGAAGAGCCCACCCTGGCCACCCTAAAACACTCCTTCAGAACCCCTTTATCCCTGCCCCAAAGCTCCTGGGAAATTCCCCGGCATTCCTGGGCCACTGCTGGGTTTTCTCCTGCCCCATGTGGAGTAACTACACCACCTTGTGTCTCTGTTGGGGAACTGCCTCTCCTGGGGGACAAGACGATGAGAATGCGCCCCAAAACAGACTGAAGTTCAGGACCCCTGCCTGAAATCCCAGCCCCCACCATTGACCCCAGCCCCAGGAGTCTGGGTCAGGTGGACCGGGGCAGGGGCGTGTGACCGAGAGAAGAGGGGCAGACAGACTAATGCTAGGGTCAGGGGTCCATTCTCTCCTAGGGACAAACCTACCTGAGGTCCCACCACTCCTGGAGGACCAGGGGGGCCGGTCTTCCCTTGGAAACCCTAGGCGAGGAAGAGAGGAGAATGCAGTGAAAGCAGGTGTGGGCGCTGTGGGGCAGATTCCCAGGAGGAAGGATCCCAGGCAGGATCACACCAAGCCCTGGGCCCTGGGTCTGAGCAGCACCAGGGCAGGCTCCACTCTGCCAGGAGAACGTCCCTGTGGGCTTTCCAGACAGCTCTGGGGTTAAAGGGTCTGATGGAGCCCCCTGAGAATGGGTAGCCAGGAGCATCACTCACCACTTCTCCTCTTTGGCCTGGGTGTCCCGGCAGCCCATCCTTCCCAGGGGGGCCCTGGAAGGGGTTCAGTTGTCAGGTGAACTCTCAGCTGGAAAGCAGGTAGGGAAGAAGGACTCAGAGAAGCGAGGTGGGTCAGAGCTCGGGGTCAACTTACCGGGGGTCCTTTCGGTCCAGGAAACCCGTTGGGACCCTGAGGTCCAGGGAGGCCCTAGAGACAGAGGTGGGGGGAGTCAGGAGAATGGGGGCAGGGGCTGAGTGGGGGAACTCAGCTTCCTTCCTGGGGTGAGGAGGGAGCTGGCTCACCCAGGCTCCCTGGGGACCTCAGGGGAAGGGGACTTTCGATCCACACTCACCCTCTCTCCAGGGGGCCCATGGGGGCCATCACCACCAGATGTTCCCTGTGGGGGGAAACAGAGTCAAGGAGTGGGAAGAGCTGCTTTCCAGCTGTCCCCGAGGTCAGGATGTTGAGGGAGAGCTGGGGCTGAGTGGGCAGGGGGCAGTTGGAGCCTTGTAGAGACCATTCACCTTAGCTCCAGACTTCCCAGTGGCACCTCGGGGTCCCCGCTGACCCCGTGGACCCTACAGAGGGAAGAGGAGTTGTCAGAGAAACCCAAATGCCCCCCTCTGGACCTTGAGCCACCTGTTTCTCTCCCCTGCACTCACCGTGGGGCCCCGTTCTCCCCGAGGCCCTGACTTCCCCGACAGGCCCTGGTGGGAATGAAGCAGAGAGAACATTACCCAGGGTGAGACTCCCCACAGACCCCCTCTACACCTCTCCAGCCCTTCCCTTCTCACGCCCTCCCACCCCCCAGCTTACCCGGGCTCCCTTCTCTCCACTGGCACCAGGAAAGCCAGGAAATCCTAGGGACCCCTGGTGAGAACGGAGAAGGGGGGAAATTGAGAAGTTATGAAAGGTAGGGTTCAGGAAGGGGCAAAGGGGGTCAGGAGAGGCCACAAAGGCAGTGGCCAGGGAGACCCGAGCTCTGCCAAGAACTAAGTGGCCTTGGACAAACCCCTGCTGCTCTCTGGGCCTCTTTCGGTCATCTGTAAAATGGGGGTCAGCTAAATTCCCTCTGGGGTCCCCCACTGCCCTGCATCTGTGCTTTCTGGAATCAGGGATCAGGGAAGCGAAGAGGAGGAGGGAAGAGGAGGAGGGGCACGTATGGGGCATGGCATCACCTTGGGTCCCTGACGTCCAGGATAGCCAGGCAGACCAGGAACACCCAGCTTGCCCTGTGGAGGGACAGGAAGCAGTTAGGAGTGAGAGGAGGCCCAGATGCCACTCCACCCCTGGAGACCTCAACCCTCACATATAACAGCCAGCCCCCACCCAGCAACACACCCCACACACCCCAGCCTCTAGCCCCTCATTGCTTGCCCCACAGCTGCCTGACTTTTGTTGTCTCTCCTTCCCGTGAGTGGATTTTCCCCAATTCTAGTGCTGGGATCCCACCTCCCCTGCGCCTACAGAGGTATCAGGTCCTTCAGGGTCACTGTGATCTAGCTGCTTCCCACATGTCAACCTCAGCTCCATCTACCCCATGAGGGAGGTGGGATCTACCCCAGCACCCACTCCTGCTTCACCAAGACCAATCCCCCTGCAGGCCCTTTGCCCACCACACCCCGACTCCCGTGCATGCCCCCTTCCCCAGAGGCTCCAGGGCTCATCCTGCCCAGGCAGCTGCAGAGCAGGGCTTAGAAGCAGAGATTCTGAAGCCAGACTGCCTGGGCATAACCCCTGGCTCTGCCCTTCACTGGCCATGTAATCAACAAGCATCCCTGTGCCTCTGTAAAACCTCAGCAAAACAGTACGTCACATGCCTACCTCATAGGATAGATAGGACGCATCAGCACAGCACCTGGCACAGGGCAAGTGCTGGGGAGAGTCAGCTCTGGAGACCACAGACCTCACTGCTATTAGACTCTCTCATCTCAGAACTCCTGCTGCTTGGAGTCCGAACGCATGTTCACTCTGCCTTGAAGCAACAGCTACTCTCTAAGCTTCGTCTCCGTCCAACTCTTCGTGTCAGGGACTTTTCCCTGACTTCTTATATATCCCCTCTGCCCATCAGCAGCTGAGAGATGCCATTTACACAGACAGAAGTATGACTAATGCATGGCCATCTTCAACTGACTGGCTGACTTCAGCGGCGGGCACCCATGCCCATCCTGACCCCAGTGCCCACACCCCCAGAGGACCCAGGCACAGAACCCTCATCCCATCACCTTCTCGCCCATGAGCCCTGGGGGCCCAGGGTCTCCAGTCGGTCCAGTGCGTCCCTTTGGCCCCTCAGGACCATCCTCTCCCCTGGAACCAGGGACTCCAACTTCGCCCTGTGTGAGAGGGAAGGACAGGTGAGTGCTGGGGACTGGAGGTGGGCTCTGGGCCCAGAGGAGAAATGGGCAACAGTGAGGCTGAGGAGGGCTAGAGGGGTCCCAGGAGCCACTGCAGGACAGGAAGCCCACAGGGTAGGGATAGTGTAGTGATGGGAGGGCAGGCATGACACAGACCATGGGGCTATCATCCTGTAGGGGTCAGGCTCCCAAGGGAACACAGCACTGGAACTGTGGAGTCTGGAGACTCAGGAGAATAAACCGGTGCTTGGCGTCTCCAGAGTGGAGGCTCAGTAGAACACGGAATTGGGGCCAGTGTGGGGTCTCTACTCACCCTGTCACCTTTCACGCCTATGTCACCTTTGAACCCAGGAAAGCCATCCTCACCCTGAGAAAGATAGAGGTGAGAGGGCACCACAGATGACAGAGGGCTGGGGTTCTAATGGGAATTCTGAGAACATAGGTGGAAGCAGGGGCTCGGGAGCTGGACGGCAGTGCGGGGCAGGCTGGAGGGAAGGCAGTGAAGAGAGGAGATGGCAGGACTGAGGTGCTGGGAAGCTGGGGGCATGGTGCTCACCTTCTCACCCTTATGACCCTTCAGACCCCGAATTCCGTCCACACCCTAGAATTAGAGAGGGGATAGAAGTAGACTGATCAGGGGATGGAGGTGGGTTGGAAGGACCAAGCTCCTAAGACCCCATATAGCTCCCCTGACCACAGCCCTTTGTCTCCCAGCCTGGTGGTCAGTTACCTTGACCCCTCGAGGTCCTGGGTATCCTAGAGGTCCCTGAGGTCCAGAGGGACCCTGGAAGATAAAAGAGAGGCATTTATAAAGGGGCCTCAGAGTGTCACTGTGGGGGCCTCCAGGGGTGGAAGAAATGGAAGTAACAACATTGCTGTCTGGGTAGGGTTACGGGGCACAGGAATTGAGAATGTGGCAGAGCCATATGAATAATGAGACAAGGGAATCCCAAGGACTTTGAGGCTCTAGAGTCTGAGTGGAGACTCCCTCAGGGGATAAAGACATGGAAGATCTCACCTGGTTTCCTTTGGTTCCAGGGGGACCTTCCTTCCCTGGGTGACCCTGGGAGTAAGGGATAGAAAATGTGACCAGTGGCCCCTGTCACCCTCTCTGCACCCCTCCCTACACTTCTTCCAACCCAAATTTCCTGTGACCTAGTGAAGCCAACTGTCCATGGACAAGCACCACCAGTGACCTTTCAGTGCAAGGGTCACTAAAGGAGCTCTGAGGTCATGCACTGGGGTGGAAGGCCAAGGGGAACTGGATTCGGAAGTGGGGTCCCACTCACCGGGGGTCCGTCTGAGCCAGGCATGCCGGGGAGCCCTGGCTTCCCTTGAGGACCCTGCAGGAAGACAAAGAGGCTCAGGGTCACTAGAGGGGTCATGTCTGGACACAGACAAAATCCCAGCAGACATTTAGGGTTCTCCCTACATCCCCACTCTAAACCCCCTGTCCTCCAAATCACTTAGTCACTTACCTTCTCTCCATGAGGGCCGATGGCACCCTGGGGCCCGGGAAGACCCTACATACAGGGAAAGAGAAGTCACAGGGGCCTCCCAGGGTCTCTTCTATCCAGCCTCCCGGATTCAAAGCATGAGCAACAAGGGCCTGAAACCCTTAATTTCCTGTATCCTTCCAGGGTCTCACCCATTGTGGAAGCCCAAGGGAAGTCATGAAAATTGGGGAACGGAGTAGGGGCACCGCTCACCTGGGTCCCAGGGGTGCCCTGTTGTCCAGGAGGTCCTGGCTCTCCCTGGGGTCCCTAGAAACAGGTGACCAGGCACAGGTCAGAAGGAGATGGAGATAGAACACATTTAGAGCATGGAGCTGAGTCCCAGCAGCGATAGCCAAGAAGGCAAGAGCAGGAAGCAGGCAGGGGTCAAAATGGCGGCCAACAGGATGCTGGCAGGGACCTCGGGGGATAAGAATGGGGGTGGGATCTCCTATCCATCACTCACCAAGCTCCCTTTGGGGCCCTGGGGACCATCCATGCCTCGGACGCCCTGAAACACAAGATGGGTGTGAGCAGCCTGAAGGTGGCCCGGAGGGACCTGTGGTTTTCAGAGGCCCGGCCATTCCCGAGGGTGTGACGGTCAGACCTCCAATCCATCCCAAACCCAAGCAAACACAGCTGGCCCAGGCCTGCAGTGTGTGGGACTGTGGATCTGTGGGCTTGTGGGCTTTGGTTTTGTTTTTCTTGAAGATTTATTTCCTATGCCCAGAGCCCTCAGGGCACCACGCCACATGGCCCTCCCTGTGCACGGGGAGCGAATGCTGAGGCAGGGCAGTGTGGGGCCAGAGCAGGGGGAGCTCACAGGGAATGGGAAGCATGCCGAGAGAGGAGAGGGAGCAGGAAGGCAGCTAGAAAGGTGGAGAGTTGGAGAGGTCAAGGGGTCACCTCAGGGTCAGAAGTCAGGGAGTCACTTACAGGGGGTCCAGGAATACCAGGTGGGCCTTTGGGGCCAAGGAGACCTCGAGGTCCCTGCATTCACGGTGAGGGGAGGAGACGGCATGAATGGATAAAACTGTGTCCCTTTAGTGCTCATGTCCCCCTCCTGGCTTCCCCAGAGCCCCCTCCCCCAGCACCAGCCCTTGGACACTCACCGACTCTCCAGGCAGCCCTCGAGGCCCAATCTCCCCGTCATCTCCCTGGAGGAGGAGGACACGGTAAAGCTGCTGTGCCTTCTAGACCTCCCCTGCACCCAGCCCCTACATTTGCCACTACACTTACCCTCTCTCCATCCTCACCAGGGGGACCAGGAAGGCCCTGGGCACCAGTATCACCCTGCAAAATGGGGGAACTCATAAGAGGGGCTTCAGAGCCCCCAACACAGGCAGACACCGAACCTCTGCACTTAGCCCATCCATTACTTTCACTGAGCTCCTGCCAAGCCTCCAGCCTCCCTTCCCTACCTATCCTCACTCCCATAGAAGATCTATCCCCAATTACAACACACACCCACTAATGTACTCACCCTATGGCCCTTCTCTCCAGGGAGCCCTGGGAGTCCATCAAAACCTCGGTCACCCTAGGAGGAGGAAGGATAGCCAGAGTGAGGACACGACCCTGTCCAAGCCCACCCCTCCCTACTGCACCCTGAGCTGGGGGGGTGCTGATCCTGGGGAAGCCTGGAGAACTAGGTCATCCCCAAGAAACAACTGAGCCCAGCGTGGGCTGAAGGCTACAGGCTTCAGGGAGGGGCCCAAGCCTGTTACCTTCACTCCAGGATCTCCAGGCATCCCTCGGGCTCCATCAGCACCTGCCCGGCCCTGGGAGAACAAGGGAAGTGTCAGAACAAGCAGGGCCGCAGTCCCCTACCCTGCAGGCCCTGTCTCCCCACAACACCCATCCACCCCTGGGGCACTCACCCTTCGCCCAGCCTTGCCAGGAGGGCCTGTGAGGCCCTGAGGTCCTCTGGGGCCCTGGTGAGAGGAGAGATGGGGTGGGGTTAGGAGGCATAGGGAGGGGAGTGAGGGAGACTGAGCTGGTGAACAGATATGGGGGTGCAGTGGAGGAAAGTGGTCACCTGAGGTCCTAAGTCTCCAGACTCTCCTTTCAGGCCAGGGCTCCCAGGTTGGCCCTGGGAGAGAGAAGAGAGGATGGCCGTAAGGAAGGACACAGCCAACAGTGGCCTCGGAGTGTTCCCCAAAAGAAGCCCCTTTCCAGAACTATCCACACCCCACACACAATTAAAGCATCCTCCACCCGAGCACCCTGCTCACTCACCAAGGGTCCAGGGCGCCCTGTGTATCCCATGGGGCCAGGGGGTCCACGGAGCGCCAGCTAGGGGAGCAGGGGGACAGCAGAGCTGAGGGACAGGCAGTGGGAACCCCCAGCCCCAGCACTCTCCAAATTCACCCTTCCTCTCCTGATCCTCATCCACTGCCCAGGATTCTCCCCAACCTCCCTGTTAACCCCAAACCAACCCAGGCCTCCCCTGCCGCACACTCACTCCAGCCAACCCTTCCAGTGCCCCCCAGAGCCTTCCCTTTCCAGGGAAGCAGCCCCACTCACCCTCGCCTGCTGCAGGATCGCCTGGGCCTGAGCCTCCTGGGCCGCCACCACAGGGCCCTTGTCACCCCCACCACTGCCAAACCGGAACTGAGGTCAAGGAGAGAAGGTCCAGGTTCTCTTCCAAGAAAGCCATGGGACCCTCCCAGCCAGAGGCTTTCTCCAGCGTTTCTGCCCCTTGCCCCAGGTTCTGCCCATCCAGCATTTCCCATGGCTTCCAGATAATCACTTAGAGGATTCCAGAAACTCAACTCCTGCCCTCCTCCACTGTCCAGCCTCTGCCTCCAGAAAGACTCTCTTTTGGTTCTAGAGCTCCTGAAATATAGGCTGTTCTGCCCAGTCCTAGAAGACTGGTGTTTTGTTCTAGGTCACCTAATGAGGCCCCATCTCCCCAACCCCAAAGACGAATCCCTTTGGAGTGATGATCTTTGATGATCTTTAGAGACTCCTCCATATCTTTCCTGCCCATCTGGTTCTTGGTAACATGACACAATTCCTTGTCTTCCCCATCAGCATGTTCCAAAACCCAAGAGACAACTCACTGGGAGCATGAGAGATGTGCCAGGAGGACCAGGAGCCCCATCTGATCCAGGGAGCCCTGCTCGGCCAGGGGGGCCCTGGAGTGGGAAGAGAATGCAAAAGATGGGGTGAAAGATAAGGGGACATCAAGATCTTAGCATGATTTTGAAATATCCTCTTCAACAGAATAAGTGTAGATTGCTCTAGCTCTTTCCTGAGTCTCCCACCCCCATGGGGAAAATTGAGGGTGAGAAACCAGATCAGCACCCTCCCCAACCAGAGTCTGCCCTCCTTTCTGGTTGCTGGGAAGCACAACCATCCCCTCATTCATTAACAAGCCACCTAACAGGAAATTACTGGGCATGGTAGCCCCCCGCTTGGATACCACTAGCTCCCCCGAAGCTCCCCCGTCACATGGAGGACACCCCCTTACCCTCTCTCCAGGGTCTCCAACTGGGCCTGGGTTCCCCTGGATGCCAGGGGGACCAATCAATCCCTGAGGAACAAAAGAGTAGGGGTCAGGTGTGGGCATTCAGACAGGTGTGGACACTCAGCCTGTGGCTGAGGAGTGGTCTGTGCAGAACAGATCTGGGAATCTGGGAAGCGTTGATTGGAGGGATGCTCCCGAGTTCTGAGGAGGAGGCCTGGGCATATGTGGGGAAGGCTCAGATGAGCACATAGAAGGGGTTTCTAAGAAAAGAATGGCCACCAGGTCACTGCTAGACTTACCGCAGGGCCTTCTGGGCCAGGGGGCCCCTCCACGAGCATACCCTGTGGAGTCAAAGGTTAAAAATCAGAGGCGACAGGACCAGCACACTCAACCCCACTTGCTTCTCCTATTTCCACTGCCTCAGCCCTGTGACCAGCATAACTTACAGGTTCCAACACTGCAGGCTCTCCTTTCTCTCCCTTCAGCCCTCGGGGTCCATGGGCAGCCTGAAGGAGACACACATGTAGCCCCCAGTGGGGCCCGTGAGCAGCCAGGACACTAGGCCTTTCTCCATCTCAACTCCAACCTTGATTCTTAGATCCTCTCGAGACCACTTCAGCCCTACCCGAAAGCCCCACAGCCCTCCCCTAAAACTCCCTCTTCACAAACCTTTCAAGCCTGCCAAGGAGACCTCAGGGTTCCCTGCCCCCCCAGTTCCCAGCCCCACCTCAGCAAACACAACCTCTCCATCTCCCTGAGAGCCTCTTTCAGGAAGGTCCCCAGAAACTTCCAGTGTTTTTGTTTGTTTGTTTGTTTTTCTTTTTTTTTGAGACGAAGTCTTGCTCTGTCACCCAGGCTGAAGTATAGTGGCGCGATCTCGGCTCACTACAACCTCTGCCTTCCAGGTTCAAGTGATTCTCCTGCCTCAGCCTCCCAAGTAGCTGGGATTACACTGGGATTACAGATGTGCACCACCATGCCCGGCTAATTTTTGTATTTTTATTAGAGATGGGGTTTCACCGTGTTGGCCAGGCTGGTCTCAAAGTCCTGACCTCAGGTGATCCGCCTGCCTTGGCCTCCTAAAGTGCTGGAATTACAGGCGTGAGCCACCACACCTGGCCCCTTTCAGGGATTTTAAACCACCCACCTTCCCAAACCCTCTTCTAGAGGACCCTATCCCATCTCCCAAACTCCCTCCCTAGAACCTTAAGAAACCTTCCACACATTTACCCCAATACATCATAAAAGAATCTCTCTAAGATTGTGGGTAGATTTTTATTTGGGGTAAGAGGAGGGCATGGACCCACATGAGAACCTGATAAAAGCTAGGCCGGGCGAGGTGGCTTACGCCCATAATCCCAGCACTTTGGGAGGCGGAGGCAGGCAGATCACCTGAGGTCAGGAGTTTGAGACCAGCCTGACCAACATGGTGCAACCCCGTCTCTAATAAAAATACAAAATTAGCTGGGTGTGGTGGCACATGCCTGTAATCCCAGCTACTTGGGAGGCTGAAGCAGGAGAATAGCTTGAACCCAGGAGGTGGAGGTTGAAGTGAACCAAGATTATGCCATCGTACTCCAGCCTAGGCAACAAGAGCAAAACTCCATCTCAAAGAAAAAAAAGAATCTGATGAAAGCTGTGAGTCTTTCTCCAGAAATGAAAAAGTATATGCTATTATGCACAGAATTTTATTTAGGATTTCAAAGGGTTCACAAGTTTAAATATGCCCCAAAGGTTAAGCATCCATACTCTAAGTAAATTTGGAGGCCAGGCACGGTGGCGCACGCCTGTAATCCCAGCACTTTGTGGGGCCGAAACAGGCAGCTTATTTGAGGTCAGTAGTTTGAGACCAGCCTGGCCAACATGTGAAACCCCGTCTCTACTAAAAATACAAAAAATAGCCGGGCGCAGTGGCACATGCCTGTAACCCCAGCTACTCGGGAGGCTGAGGCAGGAGGATCGCTTGAACCCAGGAGGCAGAGGTTGCAGTAAGCCAAGATCCTGCCACTGCACTCCAACCTGGGTGACAGAGTGAGACCCTGCCTCAAAAAAAAAAAAAATTGGAGAGCAGTCCCCACTGAATGCATTGCCCTTCCTCTGGCCCTCAAGTACATTCCAAGCCCACCAGTTCCCTCCCTTGCACACCTCCACTCAGATACCTGTTCCCAACTCTAGGGCCAGAAACAAAATAAGAACATGGAGAATGGGAGACATTCACCACCACCCCAACTCCCCCCAACAAAGATCTTCAGAATGCCCCTCTCCACCTTCATTCTGACCAAACAGCAATGATCCGTTTCAAAATTCTCTGAAATCCCATATCAACCCCAAATACCCAGAGAGCAGCATAAAGGAAAGGCAGTAGAAGCTCAAGGGAGGCAAGAGAGGGGAGGTATGGGATGCGGCAGCAGGGTAGAGGAGGCAGCCAGAACTGCAAGGCAGGCAGAAGACGGAGCGGAGTAGACAGGAAGCAGTCCCACTGACAGGGAATACTGGAAGATATGAGAACAACTAAGGGACACAGAACAAAATGACAAACACTTGGAAGCAAGAATGATGCCAGGGCCGAAGAAAATTAAACATGGCCAACATGGCTAGAAAACAAACTGGACAAACAGGAAGTGGCTGAACAGACAGGAAGCAGTGAAGGAAAGAGGATCCAGGAAGTGAACCTTCAACAACAACATGGCTACCGTGACCCAGAGAGAAAAGAAAGGCACAAAACAGGTAGAATGTGACTCCTGCAAAGGGAATCATGACAGTGAAGGGTAATTCTTCCAGAAAACACAAACATCAAGGCTAGGACACACAGGAAGTAGCCATGAGAAATATCGAGGCCCACAATGGAAACTTTATGATTTAAATGACCTGAGACATACAGGAAGTGGCTTATTGTCAAAGGAAATTGTCACAAGATAGCATGAAAAACTAGAGCCAGAACAGAAATAATAAATCCTTTGCAGTCCAACCTGACACAGTTACCAAGATGGATGCCACAGCTGGAGAAGGCAGGAAGGGACAGATAATAAGTGGCCTGTAGGTTAAAAAAAGGTGACATAGGAAGTTAGATCGTTTGGTAGAAACATGAACAAAAAATTATTTCACCAAGAAGAAATGATAGAGAAACACTGAAAATGGACACAAGGTAGTAGTTTATTGACCAAAAGCTTTATGAAATCCAGCTTCAGTTAGACAGGAAGTGATCAAGAAAGACAGGAAGTGGCTACATATTTTTTTTTTTTAATTCCCAATTGCCCTGAGCTTCAGAAGTATCCACAAGAGTCACAAGGTAAGACATTTGGCAAAGGAAGGCAGGTAGTAATCTTTTCAAGCAACATATACATCATATGTGAACAGAAAATGACAAGTCACAGATGGGAAATAGCTCACAGCCAACAGCCAAGGATCGAAACCAACAAGAAGCAATTCTTGTAGCTCCCACTGGTAGTCAAGAATGAAAGAGAAGCTCCTTTCACTTACGGCTCCTGAGTGGGCTGTCTCCGCAGAGAGGGCAGGGCCAAGCTCTGTCTCCTCACGATAATCATCCCCATAGCCATAGGTGTAATCGTAGGGCCCTTCAGGGGGGTCTGTGCCACCCTCCCCATATTCCTCTGCCTGGAACCTGTCGGCTGTGGGGGGGACCTGGAGATCTGTCTGCTCCTTCCCAGGGATGGGGAGGGAGAGGGGTAGATGGGGATGTTAGGGCTGAGAGGAGGCTTACCCTGGACCCCAGGGTGTGACAACTTCTAGCCCAAAGGATTCCAAGGTTAATCAGAACTGGATTTTTTCTCCCAAGAATAGCCATGGGAGTGGTTGTATATAAATGGAAGGGCCATCAAAGGCCAAAAATGGGGAGAGATGTCCAGAAAGTGGGTCCAGTGGGAAGAAGTGGTGGATAAAATGAAGGGTGGCCAGAGGACTGGATGCAGAGTGGACAGTCCATGGACACAATGACAGACAAAGGAGTCCAGGAATGACCAAAGAGATAGGGAAGACAAAAGGTGACAACACTGGACAGAAAGTGGCTCCCGGGAACAGAAATAGGACATAGAAAGTAAGACCATTAGACACCAACATGGAGACGAAGTCACTCAGGAATCAAAGAATCATGGAAGGAGGCCTGGATACTGAAGGGAACGGGCTGGACTTAGAGAGTCAAGCAGGCCCATAGTTCTAGAGTGACCCAAAGACAGAGGCCATCGATGGAAATGAGGAAGAACCCTCCGGCCAGAGGAGGGGCTGGTCCATCAAGACGTCATGGGCTGAGGGGAGTGAGTCACAGGTGCCCACTGCCCCCAGATGGGGTGAGGGTGGGGCATAGAGTTACCTCCTCAAGGGGTGGCAAGAGGCTCGACTCCAGGATTTCTTCCTCTTCACCTGGGGTGGGGTCCTGACCCCAAGGAGAGAAGGAGAAGAGTAGCACGGGGTGGGAAGGAAGGAGAAAGGTTAGCAGAAGGGAGGCAAAGCAGCACCTGTCCCCCGAGGGCAGGGTCTGTCTGTGCTGGGGGATGGGGGAAATCTCAGATCTTGCAGCCCCTTTGGAGGGGGATAGTTTGGGGAGAGTGAACCTCCAAGGTCATAGAGGTTTGGGGGCAGAGATCTGGATGCCCCGGCTCTACCTGCCGGTAACTGCTGCCTCTGGTCCTGGGGCGGGGCCAGGCAGTGGGGGAAGCTGCCCTCCGAGCTGGGCATCGGGAAAGGGGAGGCTGCTCCCATGCTGGGTCAAAGCCTGCAGTTGGAGAGGGCCTCCGGCCTGGTGAGGGGGACGCCTGCCAGGTCATTGACCTCTTGGCAGGTGGGGTAGGCTTTCAGGGAGGGGTCCGATGCCCCCTAGGGGAAGGGGGAGGCCTGTGGTGGGGGCTCCCAGGGCGCTGCAGCAGAGAGACAGGGAGGGGGCAGGAACTAAGTAAATCCCCATAATCTAAACACACTGTGCCTCTCCCCACGGCATGGGGGAGGGGAGGAAGGTGTCCTAGGAGATGATTGCTGGGGGTGCTGGGAGAAAGGGAAGAAATGAAGGGGTCCCTTGAGTTTACCTGATAATCAGGGGTTGTCCCCGTAGTCATCACATCATAATAGGGGGGCTCGTAGTCATAGTAGAGAGACTCAGTGGGCTGGGATTGGGGGGTGGGCATAGACAGGAAGGGGATGGGGTAATTGGAAGGTGTGGGGTGAAGGGCGGGAGAGGGAGATATAAAGATGGTGTGGGAGTTGGGAAACGGGGGAGGTGTGGAGTTGGGAAACAGAGAGTTGAAGATGAAAGGAGAGGTTGAGGGTCAGGAGGGAGGTGGGGAGAGGTGGAACAGAGGGAAGGGGTTCCACATGTGGGGCAGAAGCAGACATGATTAAGAGATTGACCCTCTGATCTTTAGACCACTGACCCCAGAGCCTATCTGTATTCTAACTCTCCAGACCCCATCCAACCCAGGCTCCCTTCCCTTCCCTTCCCTTCCCTTCCCCCTACTACCTCCCCTTTTCCTGCCCCTCCAGGTAGGTGGGGGCCAGAGACTGGGTTCCCCACTCCCACACTTCTGCAGACCCACCCCTCCTTTGATATTCCCTCCATCCCTACTCCTTCCCATTCCTCCTCCTTGGTCTCACCATCCCGACTGCTTTCTCCTGGCTTCAGTCCCCTCTCCTACCTGCCTCCCCAGCTCTCACCCCTCTCCCACTGTCTCCCAATCTCTTAATTCAAAGAAGGAAGGGAAAACCCAGGGACACAGTTCCAGGAAGACTGGAAGAGGAGACGCAGAGCAGGGAACACAGCTCCCAGCCACAAATTCTTCATAACAACTCTTTTTATTTTTAGATGAAAATAAAAAGGCTGATGAATGAGGACTAGGAGGAGGGGGTGATGGGAATAGGGAGATGAGGGTGGGGAGGACAACTAAGGAGGAGAGATGCCTGGGTGTCTTCCCTCTCTGGGGTGTGCTGCACTTGGGGGTTCTCCCAGCTCCCTCACCTGGCTCTGGGGTTCCTGATTTTGTGGCCTGTGAAGTCTTGATGGTTGCTGCTGTGGAGATCTCTGGGCTCTGTGAGGCTGTTGGTTTTGGGGTCTTTCCCTCTGGCCCCCCTCGCATTCCAGCTCCTTCTGTTCACATGATTCATAGGCTGCCTGGACCCCTGGGACAATGGCCAGCTCCTGGACATCACCCTGCAAAGACATGAGAGAGATGGAGCGGAGAGATTCAGAGAGAGGCAGAGGGTATCATCCGGGAGAAAGAGTATAGGAGGCCAATCCTAGGTAAAACCCTAAGATGGGAGAAGGTCACTGTCAGTCCTCCATATGCATAGCCCTTTTCAGTTTTCAAGGGATCTCATAGGACCTTCATAACAACCAGGAAAGTTGGCAGAACAAGGATCTTTCTTTCTACCCATTTTTCAGATACGTTCCATTCAGAAAAGCCCAAAAAGGCAATGACTGCCCCAAGGTCACCCAGAGTGGCAGAATCAGGACCAGATCCCAGGCCTTCCAGAATTCTTTGCCTCCCCTCTGCGCTTTGTGGCAATGCATGAGCCCTTCCACAGTGGCTTCCAGAGACAGGGCTCAGCTTTAGATGCCTTGGCCTTCCAATGGCAGTGATGATGAGAATTCTCTGGACCTCTAGAAATGGAGTGGGGAGAACCCATTCCTGAGTTCCAATGGCATTTACTTTTGCCCACACATGGTGCTTAGCATACTCTCCATTGCACCGTAATTTAGGGATGTTGTCTCATTTCCAGAGCCCACCTGGGAGCTCTTGGGGGTGATAGAGACTTTATATTCTCTTCTTTGTTCTCCTTGTCCAGCAGGTATTCAGAAAATGTTGACTGGCTTGGAGGGTGAATGGAGGGATGGGTGAATGGAGGGATGGATGAATGGATAGATGAGTGGATGGGTGGCTGGGGGCTTACATGCATTAATGAATGGGAGCATTGATAAATAGTGAATGAATAAATGTACGTATGGGAGGGTGGACTGGTGGGCAGATGAACAGGGGTTACAGAGTAGATGGAAGCAAATGGGTGAATAGGTAGATGGGTGAACTTATGTGGGTGAATGACTGGTCGGATGGGAAGTAAGTGGGTCAGGAGATGGGTGAGTGAGTATATTGAAGGAGGGAGTGGTTGAGTTGGTGGAAGGATAATGGATAGATGGTGGCTGAATGGATGCATGCATCCTTGTGTGCATGGGTAGATGGGGAGGGTGGGTGGGTGAGTGAATAGCTGGATGGAGGAGTTGAAGAGGATAGATGGGTGGAAGCATAGATGGGTGGTTTGAAGGGGAGAGTGGTTAAGCAGGGGGAGGATTGACAGGTGGGTGGATATAAGCCTTCATGCATGACTAGGTGGGCGTGTGATGCATAGATGAGTAAATAGATGGGGGAGTGGGTGGTGGATGTGTGCATAGGTTGGCTGAGGAGTGAGTGAATTGATGGGTGGGTGAGGAGAGAGAGGGGTTGAAAGGATGGATGGATGAGGGAACTGATGAAGACTGAAGGACAGAGTAAGTGGCTGTGGACAGTCCTGCCATATAGGTAGGCATCTAGTTCTCCTGCAGAGAACAGTAGCCCTGAAGATAGAAAATAGAAATGAAAATTCATAAGAAAAAAAAATGAAGGCCTAGGGAATAGGAAGATGACATGCTGGGGCCAGAAGGGTAGTGGGCACAAGATAGGGGACCAGAAGTCAATCCTGCCTCTGATTGCTCTGGTTACCTCAAAGACTTCTTCATCCAGAATACGGGCACCAAAGATGATCACTCCATGGGTGTCCAATACTGGACGAGCACTTCGGGGGAGAGGCCGGGTGACTCGCTTCTTGCAGTCAACAATGAGGGTGACAGACTGGCCCTTCACAGCCACAGCCACACGGTGCCACCTGGAAATGGTGGAAGAGGTTCAAGTGAACTCTTGGCTGACTGAAGTAGGGGAGTCAACATGGTTGGAGAGCAGTGATAAGAGTTGAAGCCAATGGTGATAAGAGCAGTAATAACAATGGCTACCATTTATTGAGTGTTTACAGTGCACCAGACACCATGCCGTCACTTTCTTATTTGTGCCAATTCTATTTAATGTCTATTTTACAGATGTAGAAACTGAGGCTCAAAAATTTTAAGTAACTTGCCCAAGGTACAGGCTAGTTCAACATGCAGAGAAGGCTGTACACTCTAAAGCCCAAACTCTGGACTAGAAGTGACTGAAGTTTGGGCAGTGGGTAGGTGTGGTGTGGCCCAAAGGGTCTCAAGGGTTTCACAGTTTAGAGTGTAGGGGTTTGGGGGCACTTCCTCCTGAAAGTGTGGGCCAGGCAGACCAGAGGAGCAAACAAACTTACTTGCCATCTGCTAGGCTGAGGCCTCGGAAGACTGGCTGAGAGGGAGGTTGAGGCCGCCCAGTCTGGTCTTCATACAGGAAGCGGACAGGTCGGCCCAGCTCCAGGCCCAGCTGTCGGACACCCTGGGCACTGTAGAGAGTCAGGAGGGGAGCTTGGAGACCAGGGCGGGTCCGGACAACAGTCAGCAGAGAGAAATCTTTGGGAAATCCTCCTAGTAACCGAGAGAGATACACACAGAGTGAGAGGCAAAGGGAGCCGCCACAACCCCTTTCCTCCTGGTGTCTGATCCTAGGCCCCATCCCATTACCTCCCCCCAGGCCTACCCCACCATGTCACCCATACCTGGGAAAAGCTGGCGAGTGGGTGCACTGAGCTGGGCAGGTCGTGCCACTCGGTAGGCCACATCAGCTGGACAGATGCCTTTCGCTCTCCGGACACCATCAGGGAGGGAGGGGAACCTCAGGGCCCGGAGCACATCCACAGGGGGTGCACCTGGGAGAGTCCATGATTATCAGGAGAAGGGACATGCCCTCAGGAGGGCATAAATAGGGGACATTTGGGATCTAGAACTCAGCTTTCCAGGGCTCAAACTCCCTGCAAGGGAAAGGTCACCTCACCCTCACTTGCTTCTGAACAGTACCTGAATGGATGGGAAATGCAAAGGTACCTGGAGGCAGGGCAGCATCAGCTGGCATTCAACCCCATGACACTCCTGCCCCTGTCTCTCCTAGCATCTGCCTCTCTTACGCTCTCTCTTTGTCTTTTAGCTTATGAATCTGTCTCTCTCTGTACTCTCTGAATACTTCTCTCAACTCTTCATCTGTCTCCTGTCTCTCTCACTCTCTTACTCTCTCTGTCTCTTTATGTTGGTCTTTCTGTCTCTGTCTCTTCTGTCTTCCTCCATTTCTCTCACATTCTGTCCATCTTTTTCTCTCCCTCGCTCTCACTCTCTTTCCATATCTCTCACTCTCTGGGTCTCTGGCATCTGTCCCGTCTCCAGCACAAACAACATCTGGGCAATCGATCATCCTGGACACAGGAGGTGCAGGGGGGCCACGAGGAAGAGATCAGAGAAGCAGCTCTATGAGAGGGGCTTCAAGCAGCTACAGATCCCAGGTTTGGGGGATGGGGTGGGAACAACCCTGAGCATGCTGAGGAAAAAGATACAAGAAAGCTCTCCCAGGAGTCTGTGCCTCCTGGTTTAGGAGATGAGTTGGGGAGGGGTGGAGGAATGGGGGGCAGGGGCTGAAGCTGCCACGAGGAGCCGGAACAGGTCCAGGGCCCTGAGCCACACATCTGTGGATCCCATCAGAGTGCTTGCCCAGAACCCAGGCAAGCTCCCCACACCTGGAACCTCAATCCTGTCTCACCACCCCCACCAACCCCACCACCTGGGACCCAAAGATTCAAGATCCAGCCCACCAGCCCTGTCTAACTAGAACTCAGCTTCCTAGGGCTCAAACTCCCTGGAAAACAAAAGATCACCTTGCCCTCACTTGCTCCCCTATACACATACTCTTCACACCATCAGCTCCAGATTGGAAAAATCCCAAAGAGAGTTCCAGCAAAACTTTCATAGAAGTGTGGGGCAGGGCAGAGGCCAGAGCAATCAGGAGAGTGGAGCTGGGTGGGGTGGGTGAGGTGGGGCGGGCAGGCAGAGAAAAGGCCCTTTGAGTCCAGGAGCCGGGAAACCACGGCCTTCCCCCCCAACCCCCACCTAAGCCTGGCCCCTGCGCGTGTGGCAGCTCCGCAAACACCAACACACAAGGGCCGCTTTGAGAGACGAAGGGTGAGTGAGACAGAGACACAGAGACTCACAGAGACCCCAGGCCAAGGAGACCTCGGAGGTCCCCACCCTCCACCAAATCCCAAGGGAGTACAATTCGATCATATGGACAACCTACCCACAGGTCCGCCCACCATCTTCCCACACCAGGCCACATACTTGCCCCCCTGTATCCAGCCTCATCTGCCCCACAGGCTCTCCACTGGTAGCCCCATTACCCTCCACCACTCTACCTCTGGCCCCCCAAATGCCTTATTCTCTAACCTTAGGAATTCTACAGTAACTCATTTCCCTAAAGTCCCATCTCTACCCACTCAGCCCCTGAAATAAGAAACAGTCATCTTAGCCATCCCCCTGCCTCCATGCCAGAGGATCCCTCTTCCCCCTAAGAAAGACTCCTAGAGTCTACAGGCACCATACGCCTCAATTTCCTGGCCCTGGGCTTCACTGTCCTCACATCTTGGAAGTTCTTCCTTCTGTAATCTAATCTAAATCTTTTGTGCTGCCATTCTGACCATTTTCTCTCTAAAGCAGAGAAGAATTGAATAGTCAAGTTAAATATAAATCAGCCCTCAGTGTCTCCAGAAATGGGCTTTTTCCAGCCTGCTGAGGACCTGGTGCTCACAGCCCCCTCCTTGACATCAAATCCCCTTTCCTAGAAGCCAGGAATTCTGGGTCCTGGGAAAAAGAAGGAAAAGATCAGGGTTGTGGGCACCAGGGTCCCAGGGGAGCCTGGCTGGCCAGAGGGAGGAGGGGCTAGGCAGGAATGCAAAGAGTTGGCTCTGGCCTCAGACACCTGATCCTGGCCTGTCCGGAGGGCCGTCCTGTTGGCAGCCAGCCCCAGTGCTCCCCAGAGCCAGCTGCGTGGCAGCATCGAGGGCACAGGGAGGGGGAGGGGGACCCTGTCCAGGAGGCCAATGAGACAGGTAGTCAAGGCTTCCTTTCTTTCTGGGCTTACTGGGCTCTGCTCTGAATCACAGGTGCTCACCCCTTATCCCAGAGATATCGACAGAAAGGCCATAAGACACACACGCCTCACCCATCAACATTGGCGTCTACCATCCCCACACCAGCAATGACTGGACCGGGCTGGCCCTGGCCATCTTCAGCTCTTCCCAAGGACTCAAGACAAGCATCCATCCCCATTCAGGGTCTCTAAAGTGGTCCTCCACCTTTCAGCCCTATCTGCCCTCCCCCAGTCACTTCAAGGACAAAGAGATTCCTACCCTGATGCCAAGGAACACAGGTGTCCTGCCCTCCAGCCTGTAGCCTTGAAGCCCCAAATCTCCTTGTTAGACTCAGAAGCTGCTGCCCCAGGCATCAGCTGGCCCCTTCCCAGAGACACTCAGAGCTCCAGCCTGACTCCGAGGACCCAGGCATCAGGACTCCTCTTACCTGCCCAGCCTGGGGCCGCGCTCAGCCCCAGCACCAGAGGTAGGAGGAGGAGGAGGCGATGGCAGCGGCTGCACCGCTCCATGGCTGAGAAGCCGAAACGCCGGGTCCCAGGGACCCAGGTCGGCCTGAGACGCTGGATGCCCTGAGGCTGACAGAAGACAGGGAGCAGACTATGAGCCTCAGACGCCGGGGTCCCAGGGAGGTCAGAGGCTGCGGGCAGCGACAGCTGTCAGCGGCCCAGCTCCATGCAGCAAGGCGCCGTCGGGGCTCCCGGCACTGCTCCCTCCTCGGTGGCTGCCGCTTCTGTGTGTCCCCGGCCACCCTGGCGCCCAGAGCCCCCACCTCGCCCCCGCCCCCGGCCCGGCCCCCGCCTCCAGCCGCCCGCCCACAGCCACCGAAGGGAAACCCCACCCTCAGTCTCCACCTGGGGAGGGAGGCGGGAACCCTCCCTCTATCGCTCGCTCTCTCCTGCCCCTTGTAGGTCTCAACGGCCTGTACCCTAAGATTCTCTTTTCGGGAACCCCAATATCTTCCCTAGCCCCTTCCTTTTCTAGGACCCAAACGTCCAGTCACACACACTCCCTCCCATTCCCTCCCTCTTGGGGGCCCAGAGCCCCCTTTCAGCAGAGGCCTGGGCGGGATTTAGGGCACAGTGGGAGGGGGAGAGGCGGGCCTGGGGGTCGCAGTCCCCACCCCACCCATAATCAGGTCTCCATAATTACTTCCCTCACCCCGCCCCGTGTAATTACAGAGCCGGGCCGGGGCGGGGGTATTTATAGACAAGGCTATAGATAGCGACGAACTGGGGCGGGGGATGTGGGGGAAGGTGTTCTACGGAGAGCAAGAGGCCAGAGACTGGGACCCACCGACAAACACAGGATAGTCAGGTCCAAGGAGATGCAAATGGGGGACGCGGTTAGGGAGTCCCAGAGCCGAGGTAGAGGGGGAGCAGTGGTAAGATGAGCGAGCAGTCGACTCTGGTTGGAAGGGTCCAGGGAAATGGGGTCACTCGGGGACGTGGGCCGCCTCCGGGCGGGCAACGCCTGAGAAGCACGCAGCGCTCGGCGCCCAGTGCGCCCCCACGAGCGGGCACGGCGCCGGGTCTGCCCGGAGCCCGCAGCGCGCCCGGAGGGAAGGCCGCAGCGAGCCGAGGCGCCGCCGCCCGCTGGCGCGGAGAGGGCACGAGCGAACAAGGCGCCTTTGAGAATCCACCGCCCCCCCTTCCTCCTCCGGCCGGCCCCGCCCCCAGCCTGGCACACCCTCTCCCCCCCTCCCCGACAAAGCTTGCCTTGTGTCCCCCACCCTGCGTGCACCTCTTGGGCCCCACGGAACCTCGGCGGCGGCGTCCAGGGATCGCGTCCGGAGCTCCCAACCGGATACCCCCCCCAAGCCCGAAACGGCGCTGCCCATCCTCATACAGTCACCTCAGTCCAGAAAACAGCGATTTTAATTTGAAAGCGATTTTATGTATGAGAGGGGAAAGGAGCCCCAAAGAGAAGGGACGCAGGGCAAAAATCATGCAGCCCCAGCACCCCACCTCTGCGGGCTGGCCACCTCCCCTCAATTCTCAGGCCAGGATCCTGTGTCCCCAGCCTATGCTATGTGCCCAGGGCTGGAGGAGAGCTGTAAAGGGAAGGCCTCCGGGACTACACTCGTGAAACCATCCCCTGTGGGGGCCCTGTCCTCACAGCCCAGGCCCCTTCCCCAAGTTAGACAGGAAGAGATAGGGGGGGCGGCGGGAAGCTGGGAAGGCTAGTGCTTGGAGAGCCCTAGGGACAGGCCATTTCAGGGCCCTGCCTTTCCCAAACACCCACCTCCACCACTGGCATTTCTTAGTCAACCTGGGAAAGTACAGTACTTCTTTGAGTCTAACTGCAAGTCTCTATCCTCACAGGAAATTAAAAATAGCAGATCGGTTCCTACATCTCCACCAGCCCCTTCACCACCACCACCACCTTTTTTATATTTCAGTCTGACTGCAGAAGGAGGTGAAGTGTAAAAAGAGACTCTGGACAGTGACAGGGCCCCTCCCTCTTCCAGAGAGGCCCCCATCTGCCAGGTTTGAGAGGAGGAAGGCCTGTCAGGGCCCTACTCTCATGTCCATCAGCTTGGGAGGCCTGCCCCCCAGTATCCACCTCTGGGGGAGTTCCCCATTTCCACTCTTCAGATGGGAAGCAAAATGAGGCAAGATGAGAAGGAAGCAAGGTCCTGGAGGCAAGGCCAGTGCTTTGTGCTGGGGGAAGGACAGAGGGTGAGAAATCACCCCAAATCATGGGAGAACCCGACAAATTCAGAGACTCAAGGCCACCGAAGAGAGACAACCAGTCCTCACAGGTATCTGGGGTCCCTTCCAACTTGGGATATCAAGCAGATCCCTTGGAGGGTTTATGTTCTTGGTTCTGCCCTGTACTTCTCACCCCATCAAGGTTCTGGGAACATGGCCCCCCACCCTGCCCCAGGGCTTGGAGTCCCTCTTGGATGTGTGCTCCTCCAGTGTGAGAAGCACCACGTCTGGGTCTGAGCTCAGGCCAGTTGATGGGGAGCCTCAAGCATCTCCATGAGGAAGGTGTCGATGGGGGTGTCACCAATGAGCTTGAAGAAAAACAGATGCTCTAGACACTTAAGGCCAATGGACCGGAGGGCAGGAAGACGTAGCAGCAGCTTGGCAAACCTGGGGTGGAGGTGGGAGAAGGGGATTGAGAGCTGGAAGCACACGGGCCCTGAACACATCCTCATAGCACTCCCCACCCCCAAGGGAGCCTCAGTGCCCCCCAGCCCCATCTCACCGTCCCTGCTGCTCAGGGTACTTCTGTTTGCAGTAGGTCTCCAGTGATGCATACACTTTCTCCCGCAGGACCTCCACCTCACTAGGGTTGGAGAGGCCCTTGGCATCTGGGATGGCAGGGAAGAGAGGAGGAAGAGAAATGAAGACAAACCAAATCAGGATGGCCATGCAGATGTGAGCCACAGGATGCCCCTTTTGGGCTGCACTTGCTTGCCCTTTACCAGAGGCCTGGCAAGGGAAGCAGGGCCCACTGGGTTTGTGGGATGGATCCGTGGATGTGGGTTTTTCCTCGGCCAGTTGGGAGATTTCCAGGTTGAGGGTCTTACTGAGGGGGATAGCTGGGTAACTTAGGAGTCTCGGAGAAGAGGAGGCTCCAAGGTTGCCTTGGCCTTGAGAGACAAAGGTAATCCTCCTCTTACCTGGATTAAACAGAATGATTGCCCTCAGGCAGCCAAGCTCTGTCTTGTCCATCCTCATGTCACGCATTTTGGACACTAGCTCTGTCAGCACCCTGGAGAGGGACCTGCAGGTCACTCAAAGGTCACAGCTCAGCCAGCCTTGGACACGGACCAGCCTATAGCCCCACCCCCTCTATCTACATGCCAGCCTAGCCGAGGGCCACTGACCGATCAAAGATGGCTCCTACTCCTGCTGAATGGGCTGAGTTGCGGTGCACGTGAAGACCTGTGGCAAGGAGGATGCCATCTCGAACATCAATGGATCGGTGTGAGAAGGAGGCAATGAGGAGTTCATTCCAGCCTGGGTGGGGCAGCAAGGGTCAGGAGCCAGAAATCAGGCCAAGGGATTCAAAGCACATCAGTGGAAGAGAAGGAGAAAAGAGGTGGCGAGGTCAGCAAGTTTGGCTCCCTGGGTACGCAAGGTAAGGCCACTGGGGTCACTAAAGATCGGGAAGTCAAAGAGGGGTCAAATGTCAAGAAGTCAAAGGGATCCAAGGTCACTGACCTGCCCGCAGCAATATGACCTGATCATCCAGAGGCAAGGAGGAAAAGTGTGGGATCCTCTTCGCCCACTCAACAAGCGTGAATAGCTGTTTGTCAGCTGCCTGACAGATGTTAGTCACAGGGTCATTTGGCTGCAGGGGACGGGGGTAAGAGTTATGGAAGATTTTGAGATATGCTGGGAGCCCCCTTGTAAGAGGCTTTTGACACCCCCTCCTTACATATAGTCTTCCTGTGAGCCCCATCCAAACCAATCCCTGTAAGTGAGTCTTCTCTTCTGGCATTAGTGCAAACAATTATTTATTTGGGACATGCCTATGGTTCTGCCAGTGGGTTGTTTGGGGAGTGGAGACAGAAGGAGCTATCACATCCACCTCAGATGTTTGAAAGACCTTGTTTGGCAGCACCTCCAGTCCCAAGTAGTGTTAGGAAGGTTATGAGGGGAAAGGAGGGGGAGGGGATGTAGAACAGACCTAGACTGCCTCCCCCAACCCCCATCACGAAGGAGAGTGGATTGACCCCAACACTCACGCTGCTGCCGCTACCCCCGGTTCCCCCAGGACCCTCAACGCCCTGGTCACTCTTCTGTTCCACAGCAAGCTCTGCCTCCAGGATCCTGTCCACAGGCATCTCCTCGGGGGCTCCCCCAGCCCCCTCCCCATCCCCATCCTTGTCCTTTCCCCGCTGACGCTCCTCCTGTACCGCTGCAGGGGGAAGGGGGAGAGAAAAAATGGAAAGTCAGCAGCCAGCCATGAAGGGGTTCCACAAATATCCTTACGGCCTCATCAGGATCTCATGGCCCTTGGGAGATATTTATAGGAATTGGGGAAGTCACTAGAAAGGGTGGACTGGGGGCAGCCCTGAAGGAAGGGTTATAAAAGGGCAGGTAAGTCAGTCGGGAAGGGTGAGGTAGGTAAAAGAATTAGGGAGGAATTTAAATGGAGAGCCTACTACATGGTTAAAAAAAACATGCCAAGATTCAACCTGAGAAAGCTGATTGAAAAAAAAAATTTTTTTAAATAAAATATGCCAAGAAACATGCTAAGCACATTTTACCATTCACTCAATTATCATAATGATGCTGGAAGCATTTATTCTCATTTTTAAGATGAAGAACTCGGGGTTCAAAGAGATTAGTTTGCTTAAATTCATATAATACATGGCAGGTCATACAACTGACTCTAAGTGTGTCTGAGTGCAAATCTTGTGCTCTTCTGACTCAACAAATAGGCAGTGAAAGGAGCACTGGCCTAGGTCTTTGAAGATGTGGGTTCTGATCCCAAACCTGCCTGCCACTCCTTTGTTGCATGACCTTGGGAAAGCCAAGCCTCAGGCTCATCTTCTCTAAAGTGGGTGTTTTGACCAAGATATGCTCTAAAGTGTCTCTCAGAATCCTAGGAATCTGACTTAAGAAGATAAGATGGAGACACAGAAGAAGGAAGGGAAGCCCTGAGGTCTTCAGTAAAGTCTGTAAGCTTAAGAGTGCCCAGTCCCAGGAGTTAGAGGAAAGATCACAGATAACAGGAGACAGAGACCAGAGAAGGTCCATGGAATCAGAGGAGGAACCACTCAGGTTAGAAATGGGGAGACAGCCCATCATGGCTAAGGAAAAGTTATCCTATCCTAGGATCAGTCTAGGGAGGGGTCATATGTGCAGGCCACAGAGGCCTAACCATTAAGAAGGAAACTC
The DNA here is from genome assembly GCF_000001405.40 of Homo sapiens. Classification (NCBI taxonomy): domain Eukaryota; kingdom Metazoa; phylum Chordata; class Mammalia; order Primates; family Hominidae; genus Homo; species Homo sapiens. The sequence goes on from NC_000006.12 coordinate 33,197,593, forward strand.
AAGGGCCAGAACAGGGTAACAGGGAGGAGAGCTGCGAAGGGAGAGAGAAATCAAATATCGCCCTCTAGAGGAGAGAGAGCAGTCCACCCTTCCAGAGAGGTACACAGTCTGAGTGGGATAAGGGAGAAGGGCATGTGGTCTAAGACGCCTGGGCAGGGCGGGTCCTTACCCTCCCTCTTCATGCCAGTGGCCAGGCACTTCTGATAGCGGCAGTACTGACAGCGGTTCCGCTGGCGCTTGTCCACTGTGCAGTCTTTGTTGTCCCGGCAAGAGTATGTAAGGTCTTTGCGGATGGTGCGTTTGAAGAAGCCCTTGCAACCCTCACAGCTGTAAACCCCGTAGTGTTTGCCTACAGGGAAAGGGGAGGAGCAATAAGAAGGTTGCATGGAGACACCTTCACCATTTAGTCTGTTTCCAATCTCCCCCTAGCAAAACTTAAAGTCCTCCCTGTTTGCCAAATACAGAGATAGGGAACCAGGAGCTGAGTGATGATCCAGTCCCAGTCTCCTCACTGTTCAGAAACCCTACACGCTGCTTCCTTTTCCCTCTGACCTTCCCCCCAATCGCGTCCTACATCTCAGCTTCAGCTTCTTTACTCCCATCAGGCCTCCCCCAGGTCACTTGCTCTGACCAAACTCCATAAGCCCTGGGAATCCCACAGGTGATGATACATGGCCCAGACTCTCCCTCTCTGTTCATCCTCTGAGCCACATACCTGAGCTTCTGTCCCCGCAGATTGCACATAGCCGTTTGCCAGCCCCAGGGCCACCTGGAGGGGGTGGACAGTGCAGGCCCCGGACCCCTAAGACTGGTGGCTTCACATCTTCAGGGGGGCCAGACCCACCCCCAGGGAGTGACACTGTTGAGTTAATCTGGGATGGGGGAAATAGGGAAGTCACAGGAAGACTTATTGGGAAGCAGAATGTCACAGAAGTGATGGAAATCATTCCCTACCACTAAGCAAGGCCCTGCAATGCACATTCCAGAGGCTGTCATTTACACTGCAGTCTATGTGAAAGGCCATCCCTGGAGCACAACCCCAAAGTGAATAAACAGGCCCCCCCTGAAATTGTGCAACACAGTGACCCTGAAGGGCAGGTGTCTTGGGAAAGCAGATGGGATCAAAAGGGCAGAAAATCAGATAGATGAAAAGGACATCAAGAATATCAGAATTAGCCGGGCGTGGTGGTAGGCACCTGTAATCCCAGCTACTCAGGAGGCTGAGGCAGGAGAATTGCTTGAACCCAGGAGGCAGAGGTTGCAGTGAGCTGAGATTGTGCCACTGCACTCCAGCCTGGGCAACAGAGCAAGACTCCATCTCAAAAAAAAAAAAAAAAAAAAACACACACACACACACAAAAACAAAGAATATTAGAGTTCTTTTAGGGGAGGAAGCATGCACTGAAAGATCAGTCACCTCAGGAAAGGCAAGGGGTCTCATAAAGACCACAGGCCTGACAAGGTTAGAGGATTGGAAGGTCAATGGGCCATGGGGAAGTTCACACAAGGATCTGGGGTTACAAGGAAAACAAGAAAATGAAAGTGGCCAGGCAGTAAGTTGGTCACAACCTCTCACCTGGGGGCTGCTGACAGGCCCGGAGAATCCTGGGGGAGCTGGAGGGGGCAGACCAGGGGACCCCATGGAAGAACTGATGACTGGAAAGGGAGAGCCCAGTGGGGGTGGTGGCATCGGGGGTGGGGGTGGGGCCCCAGAGCCTCCAAGGGATGGAGCTGTTGAAGGGGGTAGGGGTGGCCCAGGAGGAGAAGGGGGAGGGACTCCCTGGGGAAGGGGATTTGGGGAGGAGCTGTCTGGGCTTCGGGAGTCTGAGGGAGGGGTATGTACAGGCACACAGACACACAAGAGACAGAAGAGACAAAAAAAGAAAATGAGTCTTCAAACATCCAACTAGAGACTTTAATTCTCTAATACCCCACCGTGCCGGACCCAGCCCACTCCACCCATCCCCAAGTTCAGAGACACCCTGCTGTCAAACAACAGTGTAACTCCGGCTGGTCCGATGGTAGTGGGTTATCAGAACTTATTAACATTTGTGTCACTAAAATTGGTATACAACCTCCCACTGCTATATTTGACTGGCTAAAAAAACCCAAAAACAGCGTAACTCCTCATTGTGGTGAGAGGAGGGAGTTGACAAGGAGAGGAGGATAGTTCAGGTGAGGAAAATTTTCCAACCAATCCATTTGAATGAATACCAGGTCATCCCAAAGCCACACCTGTCTCGTGGGTGGGGCAGCACGTGGGGTAGACCATCGAGCCCCTCTATTCCCAGCGTAAAGCCAGGTAGCCAGAGCGTGCAAGGGAAAGAGACAGGCAGGAGAGACCCCTCCTAAGACGCAGGATCTGCCTGTAAACGCCCAAAGTCCTGAGGTTTAAGAGGAATCGTGCCCTTCCCAGGCCCGCGACCTCCGGTGCCCAAGGCCTCAAGCGGTCACAGCTAGGAGGGCGGAAGCTCCCCTTCCCCGCCCCGCCCCGGGGGGGAGGGTGCTAAGGCCCTCGGGAGGGAGGGGACGCGTGTTTACAAACAAGGGGGCGGGAGCGCAAGGAAAAGAGCACCGGGGGAGGGTGTGGGGGAGGGGTCGCAGATAAAGCGGTCACTGGCTCGCCTGCCCTTCTGCTGGGGCACTCACCCCGCCCGCTGTCGCCCATCCCGTCCCGTCCAGCCTCCCCTGGCTCCGGCTCCGGGGTTTGTTGTTCTCCGCCTGCCACCGCCGCCGCCGCCGCCGCTGCGGGATCCAGCCAGGGCCGTCGCCGCCGCCACCGGGACGCGACCCCACAATGCATTTCTTTTCGCACCCCCACCGGCCCACACTGCCCTGCGGCATGCCGCTGAGGGAGGAAGGGCGGGCGAGCGGCCCAAGACATGATCCCTGGCTGAGAGTAGGGATACCGAAGAGGTCCCAGGGATTCCCAAGGATTGATCGGAGGATTAGCTGAGCACGAGGAAGCCCCTGAGAGAAAGACTCTGGCCTGGATTGGGTCGAATTAAGCCCGTCGCTCTGCTCAGTACCAAAATGACAGCGCCAATGTGGCAGCCATCTTTGTACAGACGGGAAGTCTCGGCGCGAGTTCCCGCCCCCTCGTCTAGTTGGAAACCGAGGAGGCGGTCTCCTCCGGCCTGTTAGCCCGCCTCGCCCACCCTCCCCTCAAATCACCTCCACACTCGCGCATGCGTGTCAGTGCAGGATGGATTCGTCGCTACCGGAGTGCCGCCATATTGGTAAAGGCATTAGGGCGAAGGTGGAACGGAACTTCCTGTTCTCGCGGGATCTAAAGGCGGGACTGCCACGTCCAAGCAAACCGGGAAAGGAGAGGATCCCGGAGCCGGTGAGAATTCTCTGTTTTTTCTCTACCATCCTTTCCAGGCCTTTTCCTCACCTAATGAGTCGTAGAGACGAGGGCCCAGAGAGTCTGTAAAGTGGCTGGTGAAAGATTAGTGTCCCAGGGCCCTACATCCGGGAGGTGGTTCGGGATAAAGAGAACTAGTCTTGGGAACAATGTAGGTGGGAACTTAAGGGAATGGGAGAGCGGCCCATAGAGGTGGACGGAGGGCGCGATTGGAGTAAAGCGGACCCTGTGTAGGTATAGAGTTGAGTCAAGTGGAGTCACTGCCTCTGTCCCTCTGGTCAGCGTGATGGCCAGAGGCCTGGGGGCCCCCCACTGGGTGGCCGTGGGACTGCTGACCTGGGCGACCTTGGGGCTTCTGGTGGCTGGACTCGGGGGTCATGACGACCTGCACGACGATCTGCAAGAGGACTTCCATGGCCACAGCCACAGGCACTCACATGAAGATTTCCACCATGGCCACAGCCATGCCCATGGCCATGGCCACACTCACGAGAGCATCTGGCATGGACATACCCACGATCACGACCATGGACATTCACATGAGGATTTACACCATGGCCATAGCCATGGCTACTCCCATGAGAGCCTCTACCACAGAGGACATGGACATGACCATGAGCATAGCCATGGAGGCTATGGGGAGTCTGGGGCTCCAGGCATCAAGCAGGACCTGGATGCTGTCACTCTCTGGGCTTATGTGAGTCTCCAGGGGATGGGAGAGAGAAGGGCTGGTTCTGGATTGTTGGGAAACTCCACAGTACTTGACCTTGACTCTCCCTCACCAGGCACTGGGGGCCACAGTGCTGATCTCAGCAGCTCCATTTTTTGTCCTCTTCCTTATCCCCGTGGAGTCGAACTCTCCCCGGCATCGCTCTCTACTTCAGATCTTGCTCAGTTTTGCTTCCGGTGGGCTCCTGGGAGATGCTTTCCTGCACCTCATTCCTCATGCTCTTGGTAAGTAACCTCTGACTTCTACCTCAAATCTAACCTATTTCGTTCTTTGGAGGAAAAGGGTTCTTTCTCCTTTATGATCCCTGACCTTTCGATATTCCCCCAAATACACACTCATTGTGTCAGATATTCCCTCATCTGGTTTTCCCCCCTTCTTCCAGAACCTCATTCTCACCACACTCTGGAGCAACCCGGACATGGACACTCCCACAGTGGTGAGGAAGAGACAGATGGGGATGGGAGTTGGGGTGCTGGGGAAGGTCCGTCTCTCCCTATTCCTCACCTCCCGCACTTGAGGAGGAGGAGTCTGGAATGCACATCTCCCTTAATGTCTCAATGCCTCCATTCCCAGGCCAGGGCCCCATTCTGTCTGTGGGACTGTGGGTTCTCAGTGGAATTGTTGCCTTTCTTGTCGTGGAGAAATTTGTGAGACATGTGAAAGGAGGACATGGTCACAGTCATGGACATGGACACGCTCACAGTCATACACGTGGAAGTCATGGACATGGAAGACAAGGTGAGCCCAGGAACAACTTTCCTGAAAGCTGACTTGCCTGCCTCAGAATCTCCTCATCTTATGGCCCTCAGGAGGGAGAGGACATGTTGGAAGATCTGTTCTCCACTCTGACCAACTCTTTTCTTCCCTCAGAGCGTTCTACCAAGGAGAAGCAGAGCTCAGAGGAAGAAGAAAAGGAAACAAGAGGGGTTCAGAAGAGGCGAGGAGGGAGCACAGTACCCAAAGATGGGCCAGTGAGACCTCAGAACGCTGAAGAAGAAAAAAGAGGCTTAGGTAAGGGCCAGAGTTGGTGATAAATTTGGGCAAGGGACATCATCACAAATCACATGGAATATGTGCTGTGGGTAATGGCAGGTATCTGAGAAACACTAAAGGACTGGGTGTAAAGTGGTCTCTGAGGGGAGGTGTGAGAATAGCTGACCAAGACTGGAACAAGTGGTGATGGAAGCCTCTGATCATTTTCTCTTCTTGTCCTGTACAAGACCTGCGTGTGTCGGGGTACCTGAATCTGGCTGCTGACTTGGCACACAACTTCACTGATGGTCTGGCCATTGGGGCTTCCTTTCGAGGGGGCCGGGGACTAGGGATCCTGACCACAATGACTGTCCTGCTACATGAAGTGCCCCACGAGGTCGGAGACTTTGCCATCTTGGTCCAGTCTGGCTGCAGCAAAAAGCAGGTTGGTGATGTCTGCCAAACACAGCTGCCTCAAACCCTTTATCTCTCCTCACTCACCCTAAACCCAAACAGCCTCTTATTAGTTCCAAACAATTCATACTGTCATTGACAAGTCCTCTAGAAATGAGGGGGAAGAAGTTCTGGTTACTTTGTCCTTTAGCTCAGTATTTCTTAAACTGGTCTATAAACCATCTGAATGGTTTAGTGGAGTCTTACACACACACGCCTACTCAATCAGAAAGTCTGTGGAAAGGACCTCTGATCTCTTAAGATTTTTCAGAAATTGTCTATTCTAGACTGCTCCCTCTTCTCTTTTTATTTTGATGTTTAGTTTCCAAATCCATGTCCCCTATACCTATACCCCACCAGCCACTTCTAAACCACTGATAATCTTTAGCTATTGGTGAGTGCCTTTTTCTCTTTTCTGCCCATCAGGCGATGCGTCTGCAACTACTGACAGCAGTAGGGGCACTGGCAGGCACAGCCTGTGCCCTTCTCACTGAAGGAGGAGCAGTGGGCAGTGAAATTGCAGGTGGTGCAGGTCCTGGCTGGGTCCTGCCATTTACTGCAGGTGGCTTTATCTACGTAGCAACAGTGTCTGTGTTGCCCGAGCTGCTGAGGGAGGCATCACCATTGCAATCACTTCTGGAGGTGCTGGGGCTGCTGGGGGGAGTTATCATGATGGTGCTGATTGCCCACCTTGAGTGAGGGGTGGATAAACTACCCCTGCCCCAAACCTCTACCCCTAACTCCAGGTCAGGGGTGCGTAGAGGTTGGGGGCCCTGGCCAGGGACATCTGCCAAAGGAAGGAACTGTAGCCTGGGAGAATGGTTACTTTGGCATTAGGGCCTTCAAGGGCTGGCAGTCTTACAGAGGCTGGAGCGGTGAGAATGAGAGGCCAGAGGGACCATAGTGTTGGGCACTGTCTGACCATGTTGCATTTGGAAGGCTAAATGGGGCCATGAAGAAGGCTGGAAGGGACAGGGGGTGATGGCAGCCTACCTGGTGTCCCCTACCCCACCTGTTCTCGGAGAACCAAGTTGCTACACAGGAAGTTCTCCAAGGTCCAGTTTCCTTTCTCCCACCAGTTGGTGGAGGCTTCAGGGAAGACCAGAGTCCTGGACAGAGAGGGTAACAGGAGGAGTCGGGGATAAACATCAAACATCAATCGTGTGTCCTGATTTGGGAGTGATTGGGGGGATGGGGTGGGAGAGGGTTAGTTGGTATTCTCATGGCCTGATTTTTTTTGTTTCTATTCCTTTTATATCACTGTGTTTGAATCGAGGGGGAGGGGTGGTAACCGGAAATAAAGACCTCCGATCTTCCGCCCCACATGCAGTCTTTGTCTTTTTGGGGGGAATGGGGCCCCTTGTCTTCTCCACACCCGGGGCCCCTAAGCAGCAGTGTCGGGCCACGCCCCCTCGGTGGGAGGTCGGCCTGCGCTGGTGGCCGCAGATGGCCTAAGGCTGGCGGGCCTTTGATTGGCCCCGGCTTTGCCCTTGCCACGCCCCTCTGCGCTGGGATTGGCTTAGTGCTGGGATTCCCACCCACCCACAGCCCGCCATGGCGTCTCAGCTCCAGAACCGACTCCGCTCCGCACTGGCCTTGGTCACAGGTTGAGGGGGTTCTTTCCCCGGGCGGTTTGGGGTATTGGAGTGAGGTCAGGGGCGTGCCCTTGGAGTGCGCGGCCGCTGTGACCTCTGGCCCCTTACCCACATTTTACTTTCTGCCCTGTGACCTCTGATCCCTGCCCTCTCCTCCCCGTGCCCGGTCCGGCGTGTTCTGTCCTACCTCAGGTGCGGGGAGCGGCATCGGCCGAGCGGTCAGTGTACGCCTGGCCGGAGAGGGGGCCACCGTAGCTGCCTGCGACCTGGACCGGGCAGCGGCACAGGAGACGGTGCGGCTGCTGGGCGGGCCAGGGAGCAAGGAGGGGCCGCCCCGAGGGAACCATGCTGCCTTCCAGGCTGACGTGTCTGAGGCCAGGGCCGCCAGGTGCCTGCTGGAACAAGTGCAGGTGAACGCTAGGCCACTTTCCCCCTCTAAAGCTCTGATATTGCCTCCACTGCCCCGGCTTTTTGTGGGGGGTTTTTGATGCGTAACCTCCCCCTCCCATAGGCCTGCTTTTCTCGCCCACCATCTGTCGTTGTGTCCTGTGCGGGCATCACCCAGGATGAGTTTCTGCTGCACATGTCTGAGGATGACTGGGACAAAGTCATAGCTGTCAACCTCAAGGTGGCGATCTCTGAACCTGCGACGTTTGGCCCCCTTAGCCTGGGGAGGGAGTTGGAGGAGGGCTGTCACCCCAGCTGATCTTTTCTCCCTTGTTACCCTTTCCCGCCAGGGCACCTTCCTAGTCACTCAGGCTGCAGCACAAGCCCTGGTGTCCAATGGTTGTCGTGGTTCCATCATCAACATCAGTAGCATCGTAGGAAAGGTCAGGTTGAGTTGGACGAGGTCAGCCAGCCAAGTGGTATAGAGAGGAGAACCCCTCCTTGAGACTCCTGACTCATTCCACATCTCTGACTCACCTATAGGTGGGGAACGTGGGGCAGACAAACTATGCAGCATCCAAGGCTGGAGTGATTGGGCTGACCCAGACCGCAGCCCGGGAGCTTGGACGGTTGGTCAGATGCTTGAGGGTGCTGGGGAGCACCTGGGGGGTCTGAGGGAGGTACCAGCATTCAGCCCTCTCCAGAATCGGCAGCCACTCTCCTTCCCACAGACATGGGATCCGCTGTAACTCTGTCCTCCCAGGGTTCATTGCAACACCCATGACACAGAAAGTGCCACAGAAAGTGGTGGACAAGGTAGGAGGCTGTGGGTGGAGGGCAGAATCATTCAGAGACTCAATCTCTCTGGGCTTCACAGAGAGAGAGAGAGAGAGAGAGAGAGAATACTGGGCACAGTTCCTGGCAAACATTAAATATTCAATGAATGTATGAGAAATGAAGACAAAAAAGGGTCACAGACTCAGTCTTCAAAAAAATCCATAAAAGAAGCTTTCACCCACATGAGTATTTCCTTACAGATTACTGAAATGATCCCGATGGGACACTTGGGGGACCCTGAGGGTGAGCACTGAATGTAGTGGGGTCCCTGGGAAGGGGGCCTGAATGAAGAGATCCCCAAAGTTTGGGGATTTTCTAGGGGACTGGTGGTTGGTGTCTGTGGAGAGGTTTGTGGGGAGGGATGTCTTTGGTGGGAGATTATGGCTGTTTTGGGTCTATGGGAGTGAGCAGAATTCTGCCCTCTCCCCACCATTCTCATAGATGTGGCAGATGTGGTCGCATTCTTGGCATCTGAAGATAGTGGATACATCACAGGGACCTCAGTGGAAGTCACTGGTATGAGGCCAGCATGGGGAGGGAGAGGGCAGAGAAGTAGAACCCAGACTATATGAGAAAGCAAGTAAGGGGAGTCTGGAGCCACTGGGAAGGGCAGAGGTTCCCAAGGCCAGGGACAGAAGTGGGTACCCCCTAGCCCATTTGTGTCTCCACCCATGCATCTGTCCAAATGTTTCTGCCCCTCCCAGGAGGTCTTTTCATGTAACTGCCTCAAGGACCCTGGACTCTGCTCACCCCCCCACCACTCTGCCTGGCCTCCTGCTGATGAGGACTCTAAGTTCCCAGGATACAAAAGGGGTGGCAGTGTATGGTTCAGGAATGCTGAATATGGGAAGCAGGGGTGCTTGTGACCCTAATAAATTCCAAGTCCTCTTCCCTGCCACCTCCGGCTCTTCTTGTGTCCAAGCCCTCAGACCCTTCCCCACCTCCCCCTCCTTTCCCTTTCCCGAAGGATTGTTCCCTTTCTCTGCCTGGTCTCCCAGGGCAACCCCCGCCGCCGGGTGTGAGAGGAAAGAGTATGTGTCACTGTGTATGCGTGACACTCCGGGTCTTTTTGAAGGGAGGGGTTCGTGCGTCACCCCTTTCCACTGGTTCTGCAGCACCAGTCCCCTCCCCCCAACTCCCTGGGTTCTTATGGTCCCCAAGGGTGATTTGTTCATGGCCCCATCTTGGTGTCCAGTCTGGCCTTGAAAGGGGGTCTTGGAACAGGTGGCCCTCCCCCACCCCTCTCCTTTCTCTGAGTCCCCCCCTCCCCTTTCTCTCCACCTTACAATAGCTGCAGCCGGCCTGGGGTCGGATGGGGGGGATTAGGGGAGGGGGCCAGGATTAGGGGAATGAACCAGCCGATGAAAGGGGCTGGAGAGAGCAGGAGGGAGGGGGCTGGGAAGAGGAGGAGGAAGGGGAGGGGGGTCTGCGCTAATCGACTCTGGCGCCCACATAAGGACTGGCCACGGACTGAAGGAGAGGACAGGGAAGTAGGGGGGAACTGGGGTGGGGGGCGAGGGCACCCACTGCTGCCTTGTCCCAGGGACAGGCCACCCCCTGGCAGCCGCAGCCCAAGTCCGGGAGCCTCAGCTCGGGCGGGGACAAGATGCCCATCAGGGTCTCTAACTGCCCCCCACCCCCTCGCCCTGTATCCCTCTCATTCCCTACACTCAATGGGGATCGCTCTGCCCCTTCCTCTTCTCTTTCCTCCCCATCCCCTTCGTTTACTCTAGAGTCCTCGAAGAGGCTTCTGCCCACTTCCCACTCCAGACATTCTGCCCCTGTGTACCCCACCCACACGCGCACCCCCCCTTCCCAATGGGAGCTCCATCTTGTGTATGTCCCTGTTTCCGCGTGGTGTCTCCATTCCCCCTTTCCTCCCGTGCGCCTCCCTCCCTTCCCCGCCCCGGGCCGCGGCTCCTGATTGTCCAAACGCAATTCTCGAGTCTATGGCTCCGGCCGAGAGTTGAGTCTGGACGTCCCGAGCCGCCGCCCCCAAACCTCGAGCGGGAGAGCGGGTCGGAGGGTCTAGGGAGAGCCAAAGCAGAGGGTGGAGGGAGTCCCCAGGGTGGTAAGGGGAATCCCGGGCACATCGGGACCTAGGTGTGTTCTCAGGACTAGAAGGCTAAAGCGGCAGATCTTTTGCAGCCTTTTCCCCCGGGATCCTGGAATGGGGGTTACGGAGAAGTGAGGGGGGTTGATCCCCAGAGTCGCCAGGGTACGCAGAGTGGGGGAGGTAGCCCTTTTCACGAGCCCTCTGTCCCCTCCTGGGGTCCCAGATATTCCAGGCCCCGGCCCCCCGGAGCTGAGGCCCCGCGTGGGGGCCTCTGGAAGGGAACCGAGGCTAAGGTTGTTGGCCGCGCGACGGTGCTGGGCCGGGGGCGGAGACCGTGGTTCCCTAAGTGGCGCAGAACTCCCGGGACGCAGGATCCTCACGCGGGACGAGCCCGTCCCGTGGGCGGGAGAACCGCGGCGTCCACGTCCCGTCCCACCCGCGCCGCGAATGGTGGGTGACGTCTCCGCCGGCGGGGGGAGCGGGTGTAGCGGAGGAGCAGGCGGAAGTGACGTAGGGCCCCAGCGCCCGGGCCATGGCGGCGGCGGTGGCGGGAGCTGCTGTCTGAGCAGCGGTTGCGGACCGAGCGAACTTGGCCCAGGAGCCCGGGCCTAGGGAGAGGCGCGGCGGCGGCGGGAGCGCGAACGGCTGGAGCTGGGTGAGGGGCAGTGCCGGCGCGGGGGCGGGAGCGGGGGCGGAGAGGGGCGCTTCTGGAGGGGCGGGGTCTACGCGAGGGGCGGCCCCCCTGACGCCCTCCTCCCCTTCCCCCCACCCCCAGCCTTCTTCGCCTTCTCCTCGGCTGTGGAGCCCTGGTGGGGGGTCTGCGCCCGGTCACCATGACGACGCCGGCGAATGCCCAGAATGCCAGCAAAACGTGGGAACTGAGTCTGTATGAGCTGCACCGGACCCCGCAGGTGACAGGCATTCTCCCTTTCAGGCTTACCCCCTCCCCCAAACCCTTATATCCACAGACCGCATCACACAGCTTCTTTTCCGTAATTTGCTCTATTCTGCCTTGCCTGGCCCTACCTTTGAATCACCTTAATCTTTCCAAAGCACTTTCGCATTTAGCTCATTTAATCCTCAAAACAGCCCTGCCAGAGAGGTGGAACAAGTATTATTATCTTCATTTGAAAGATCACAAACACAAAAATTACCTTCCCTGTTCCTCATTCAGTGTCATAAGTCAGTGCACATAAGACTCACTTTGGGAGTTTATTAAAAGCAGAGCTTCATGCCCCCCAACATTCTGATTCAGTAGTGAATTGGGTTCTCAGAATCTGAATTTTTAACAGGCACCCTATGGGGTTCTAATACAGGTAGCACCAGGACTTTAAAAAATTTTGTTGAATAGTTTTTCCCAACCACAGATTTGTGCCATCTTCACTCCTAGGCCACTTAGCCACCTCAGATCCTCCTATTCCAAAGCTCCTACTCTTAGTTAATGGACACTAAAGTCTGTCTTTTCTCCATTTGCTCCAAGTCATCAGTCCTTCTCTTTCTCAGAATTCTTGTCTCCTATAGAGACCAACATGGGTCTTCTCACTGTATTTCTCAAAATTCTTATTTTATGGGCTGCTGTTTCTAAAACCCCTTTCCCTCTAACCCACACCACCTTTCTACTCACTGATGCCTTCAGGAAGCCATAATGGATGGCACAGAGATTGCTGTTTCCCCTCGGTCACTGCATTCAGAACTCATGTGCCCTATCTGCCTGGACATGCTGAAGAATACGATGACCACCAAGGAGTGCCTCCACAGATTCTGCTCTGACTGCATTGTCACAGCCCTACGGAGCGGGTAATAGGAGAGACATGTTTGAGATGAGATGAAGGGGTACAAAGTTAGGGCCCTCTCACTGGTCTTGGTTCAGCCTAGGCTTCAGTTCCCTTGACTGACCACTCAGGGCTTCCCTTCTCCTACCCCAGGAACAAGGAGTGTCCTACCTGCCGAAAGAAGCTGGTGTCCAAGCGATCCCTACGGCCAGACCCCAACTTTGATGCCCTGATCTCTAAGATCTATCCTAGCCGGGAGGAATACGAGGCCCATCAAGACCGAGTGCTTATCCGCCTGAGCCGCCTGCACAACCAGCAGGCATTGAGCTCCAGCATTGAGGAGGGGCTACGCATGCAGGCCATGCACAGGTGTGAGGGTCAGGAGAGAAGCAGAACTGATGGGATGGGTCCGTGGGTCAGTCCTTGTTGCCTGCTAGCTTCTAAGCCTCAGCATCCTAGGAGCTGACCACAGACTGATCATTAGGGCTGGAAATCATGGGTGTAAATTGCAGTTTCTTAGTAAACAACTGGCCCTGCTCTTCTTAAGAAAAATATAGGGCTGGGCACAGTGACTCACATCTGTAATCCCAGCACTTTGGGAGGTGAGGATGGGAGGATCACTTGAGCCCAGGAGTTTGAGACCACCTTGAATAACATAGGGAAATCTCATCTCTACAACAAATTAAACATTTAGCTGGGCATGGTGGCACATGCCTGTAGTCCTACCTTCTTGGGAGGCTGAGGTAATAGGATCACTTGAGCCTGGGAAGAAAGTGGATGTTGCAGTGAACCATGATCACACCACTGCACACTGCACTCCAGCCTGCTGGGCGACAGAACAAGGCCCTGTCACAAAAAAAAAAAAAGGAAAAATGTAGTTTACCCCATGACTTTCTAGAAGTTAGAACAGTAGAGCGATTTTGAGAATAAGCCCCGGATTCATACTGCTGGAAGTTAAATCACCTCCTAGGCCAGCATCTCTCAGTCTTTCATGTGTATCCAGATTACCTGTAGATCTTCAGATGCAAACTGTGATTCAGTAGGTCTAGAGTTGGGCCCGAGAGTCTGCATTTCACAAGCTCACAGGGGATGTGTATGCTGCTACCGCACTTTGAGAGGTGACAGCCTATGATCACTAACAAGTTACTTAACCTCTCTAAGCCTCAGTTTCCTCAGCCATAAAATAGAGGTAATATAATTACCTGTGTCATAGGATTCATTGTATTAGGTAAGGGGATTGGTGCAAAACACTTAGTATACTGAGTGCTTAGCACATTGTGTTTAATAAATATTAGGTATCGTCATTAGGATTTTTCTTATCTCTTAATTCTCTGAAGTTTAAAGTCTAAGCCCTTTATCCTGGATGCCTTCTAACCTTAACCACTTGCTTCTACAGGGCCCAGCGTGTGAGGCGGCCGATACCAGGGTCAGATCAGACCACAACGATGAGTGGGGGGGAAGGAGAGCCCGGGGAGGGAGAAGGGGATGGAGAAGATGTGAGCTCAGACTCCGCCCCTGACTCTGCCCCAGGCCCTGCTCCCAAGCGACCCCGTGGAGGGGGCGCAGGGGGGAGCAGTGTAGGGACAGGGGGAGGCGGCACTGGTGGGGTGGGTGGGGGTGCCGGTTCGGAAGACTCTGGTGACCGGGGAGGGACTCTGGGAGGGGGAACGCTGGGCCCCCCAAGCCCTCCTGGGGCCCCCAGCCCCCCAGAGCCAGGTGGAGAAATTGAGCTCGTGTTCCGGCCCCACCCCCTGCTCGTGGAGAAGGGAGAATACTGCCAGACGAGGTGAGGAGCCCTGTCTTTCCCCAGCCACTGAGAAACCAAAGATCACCTAGATTTCCATCAGAAGTGGGCTTTGCCCAAACCCAAAATACCACCCCAACCCAGAATCCATTTTGGAAAGCCCCTACCTCCAGTCCTCATCTGAGGCGCTCTGGCTCTAAGCCTGTCCTCCCTCCCATTCCAGGTATGTGAAGACAACTGGGAATGCCACAGTGGACCACCTCTCCAAGTACTTGGCCCTGCGCATTGCCCTCGAGCGGAGGCAACAGCAGGAAGCAGGGGAGCCAGGAGGGCCTGGAGGGGGCGCCTCTGACACCGGAGGACCTGATGGGTGTGGCGGGGAGGGTGGGGGTGCCGGAGGAGGTGACGGTCCTGAGGAGCCTGCTTTGCCCAGCCTGGAGGGCGTCAGTGAAAAGCAGTACACCATCTACATCGCACCTGGAGGCGGGGCGTTCACGGTGAGAGCTTCTGAGGGCAGTGGTAGAAGAGGGGAGAGGAGGGAGGGTGGTCTGGGCCACATAGAACCATGAGCCTGGTCTAACTCATCAGCACTCTTCCCCTATACATCCTCTATCTCTTTCTATGTCCCCTCTCCTTTCCCATCATCCATGTCCTTTTTTGCCTTATCGCTTTTATTATTCCTTTTTTCTTTCCTCCTCCCTTGGTCACCTTTTGCCTCTCATTCATTTCCTTTTCCATCTTCTCCAACTTTCCTCTCTCTTTTCCCCTCTCTCCCTTTTACCCCCTCCTCAGACGTTGAATGGCTCGCTGACCCTGGAGCTGGTGAATGAGAAATTCTGGAAGGTGTCCCGGCCACTGGAGCTGTGCTATGCTCCCACCAAGGATCCAAAGTGACCCCACCAGGGGACAGCCAGAGGAAGGGGACCATGGGGTATCCCTGTGTCCTGGTCTATCACCCCAGCTTCTTTGTCCCCCAGTACCCCCAGCCCAGCCAGCCAATAAGAGGACACAAATGAGGACACGTGGCTTTTATACAAAGTATCTATATGAGATTCTTCTATATTGTACAGAGTGGGGCAAAACACGCCCCCATCTGCTGCCTTTTCTATTGCCCTGCAACGTCCCATCTATACGAGGTGTTGGAGAAGGTGAAGAACCCTCCCATTCACGCCCGCCTACCAACAACAAACGTGCTTTTTTCCTCTTTGAAACCTGCAGTTCTGTGTGTCTGTTTATCAGGGGTGTACAAGAAAAAGAAAGGAAAATAGATTGGGGAGGGAGGCCTAGAAATAATGTAAAATCAGCCTTGGAAATGGGGAGAAAATGTCGGGTTATTCGAGATATGTCGTCGGAAACTCCAAATTAGCAAATATGTATGAAAATAGGAACCATCTATGAAGCTGGAAGAGAGGATAAAAAACAGAGGTGCCAAGTTAGACCCCAAACTTTCCCCCCTAAAACCTGAGTCGCCCAGGCTGAAATCCAGGGTTTCAACACCAAAGGGAAAGCAGGAAAATGGCTCAAAAGAGAAAGGGATGTGTGTAGATGTGGGAATGACCGTGATGTTTGGAAGTCACTGCGAGCAGCCGGTTTCTATAGCTGGAAAGAGGGAGGGAGGTGGAGAGGACTGCGGAGAAGCTCCCTGTTCGACATCCCAGTCCCCGGGCCACCTCCCAAAAAAGGGCAGGCTGGGCTGCAGACTCGGAGTGTGAGTGCACAGCCTTTGCCCGCCGGGCAGCGGGGCTGAGCGGAGGGAGGGTCGCCTGGGAACACTAGTTCTGTGCTCGTCCAGGCAGCGGCTGAGAGCAGAGGAGTGGGGGCATCAAGGAAAGCCGCGGCTGCCTTACTGGCCTCGAGTTCCGCGAGCGGGGCTGGGCACCAAGCCTGAGGCTGGGGGGACAGGGGCGCACGACTGCACTCCCGGTCCGGGGCAGTGCAGGTATTCGGGGAAGAGGAATCGCCTCTCCAGAACCGACTGCTGTTCCTTCCACCACCCGTAACCTCTCTGCCCCTCACTTCCTGTTTCCTCTGCTCTGGGTACCCCCAGCCCCTCTGGCCCCAAATTCCTCCCCCATGCTCAGTTCTCTGTCTCACTGGCAGAGGAGCCGGCCGTGTTTCCCCCTAAAGCCCGCTTGGCCCTCCCAGTTCCGCAGCTGCGCGGCCCGCCCGCCGATCCCATGGCTCCCTTCTCCACCCTTGGGATTTCTCGTTTGTTCGCCTCCTCTCCGGTACCCTCAATCCCGTAGATGCAGGTGGGCATCCTCCAGCCCCAGCAAGTACTGCGGACCAGTTGGGCTGGCTGGCCCCTTTCCTGCAGAAGCAGACAACACCCACTTCTACCCTCGTAGGAGCCCCTTTCTACACTCACTTCCCTGGAACCCGTGATCCTGACTCCCCTCCTCCCGGACCCCAAGCATCCAGGACGTGTACGGTATAAGGGGAAGTTGTAGTGGGAGGCAGGTGGGCGTTGTTCCTGGAGTTTCAGGGTAGAGAAGCAGGTGGGGAGGAGTTGGGTGAGATACAGAGGTGGAAGCCAAAAGTCTGGAGTTAACCTGACTTCTCTTCTGGCTCCAGGGGCTGCCGGGATCGTCTGTCCTCACCCTCCTTGTCCTCCCCAGCCCTAACCACCCGGCAGCCTCTTCTCTGTCTCTGCTGCCCGTCCTGCCTTCACTCTGAAACAGCCTGCCCCCTCCCGGGTCCCCAGTCCTCACCTTTGCCCCACACGCCCCCCTCTCTATTTATCACATTTCCTTTCGTGTCCCCCTAACCCCATCGCTTGGTGCGAGTGCTCTCTTGCCCTCCTCTCCCCATGACTGAACCTCACAGACATGGCTGTTTATTTAGGTGACACCATGTGGGAGACACAGAGGAACCCATTTCCATCCTGGCTCCACTGGGGCATTTCCTTTCCAAGTCCTTCAGTCCCTCCCAACCAAGCCTATGTTACTGGGTCAGGCAAGGTGAGAGATATAAAGTATGCAAAAGAAAACGTTACTATTTTGTTGAGGAACAAGATACATGTGGAATAGTTGACAATGCAGAGGAACAGGGTAGAGGAAGGAGGGTTGATACAGTATTAGAGTCAGACAAACGTGGGTTCAAATCGGCTCTGCCACTTACAAACTGAGCCACCTTGCACAAGGCACTGGGTCTTCCCTCTGTTTCTTCACCTGCAAAATGGGGGAGAGTAACAGGTTGCCCTGAGAATTGAGAGATAATACAAGTAAAGTTACACGCCTAACAGATCAGTGGCTCTCCCAGTGTGGATCCCAGACTAGCAGCATCAGCATCGCCTGGGAACTTGTTAGAAATGCAAATTCTTGGGCCCCACCCCAGATCTGCTGTTTAAGAAACTGGAGATGGGGCCAGCAATTGCATTTTCCCAAGCCCCCAAGTGCTTCTGATGTTCACACAAGGCTGAGGACACTGAAGAAGATGCCCCACAAAATGTTACGGCCTTGCCTTATACTATAAAGAATGGCAAAGGGCCCGTGTAGGGGTGCTCTGTGACTCCCAAGCAGGAGGATCACTGCAGGCCAGTAGGGAGGTGAGGAGCGGCCTCACAGAGGAGGTGGGACTGGGCTGGGGAAGGAAACAGAGAAGCCTTTCTGCAGTGGGTGAGGGAGATGGGGGGAAGCTCCCTCTCCCTTACCCTACCTACCACCCAGCACGATTTTACCTCTCAGGCTTCTCAGTCTCCAAAGCAGAGCAGACCATGTATCTGAACGCGGAAGCTGAGCTCTGGAGCCCAGAGCCTCAGGGCCCTGAGGGAAGGTTCCCCCAGGAGACCCCTGCCCAGGCAAGGCCTAACTCTGAGGGCCCTGTCCTTGCCTGGCAGCCCTCAACACCCTGGGAAGCTGCTCACAGGAGGCTGTGCTCTGGGCTTCTCCACCTTCACAGTCCACCTCAGCGAGGAGGGAGGTGCCGCTGAAACCGCCAACCACTTCTTCAGTTGGGTGTGGGGCTTAGCCTCTCCTCTCCCACCTCTGTCTCCTCTGCTTCCTCCTCCCCCATGCTGCTCTCACCTCTCTCCCCTCTCCCTGCAGGCTGGGAGCAAAGGGAGAGGAGGAGGAGAAGAGAGGACAGACCCAGCCCTCTACCTACTATGGCACTCCTTTACCTGCCAGCTGTCACAACCAACCCTTCCCCAACTCCCCTACCCGGGACCCCCATCTCCACCCACAAATCCACTCAAATTTCCTGCCTGGAATGTGGAGTCTCTTCCCACTGCTCTCACCTCTCTCAGCACAGCCTGGGCAAGGGGCCCTTCTCCTCCCCCTAATATAGGAAGTACTTCAGCCAAGGGGCCCACCTGACCCTGTGCGAACACTTTCACACAGGTGATAGGCCCTACTCCTGCAGAAAGTGTGGCCACAGCTCTTGCCACAGCTCACACCTGGCCCAGCACTGCGGCACACACCTGCCTGAACCCAATCACTGCCACCAGTGTGGCAAGGGCCTCTCCCCAAGGCTCCAGCCCGTTGCAGCCTGCCACTCTACACACAGGCAAGCAGCCTTACGTCTGTGCCACCTAAGCCTTCTTGTGGTAGATGAGGGTGCTGGCCCCCACTCCAACCTGCAACACCAGCAGCAGAACCATACCTGGGGGCGTCCCCATCACAGTGACCAGTGAGGCAAGGGCTATGGACATTGCTCAGGGCTGGTGCAGCACCAGCAAGTCTGCAGAAGCAAAGGCTGCAGGCATGGTTTCTGATACAGCCCCAGGCTGGTGCAGCATCACCAGGGCCACATCAGGGACAGGCTCTACTGCTTGCCTCTGTGGCTGTGGTTTCACTTGGAACACCCACCTGCCATGACACCAGGCCTCATATGTGGAGAGGAATGAGATGAACACAGTGGGGAGGCAGGGAATCAGAGCCCCTGTGGCTGCATCACCGCCCCCAATCTGCAGCGCTCTATGAGGGTGGCAGGGCAGCCTCAGAGACAGACTTCCTCCACCTGTGGGAGGCATAACAGAGCAGAGATCCACCCACTCCCAGCCAGGGTGACCTTCAGAGCAACCATAAGGGGTAGCTCGAGTGTCTCGCCTGAACCCACTCAAAGCTGGAATGGCCAGGTCCACTTCACTCTAGACCAAAGTGCCAAGTCCTAAGGGAGCTCCCAAGCCAGGAACTTTTCTCTGGAGAAGAATCCATACTTCTCAGGGTCTTAAAAAATTTTGTTTTTTATATAAATAAGAGGTCCTGGGGCACTTTTCCATCTCCTGTCCTCCATCGGAGAAATTTCACTAGGCTGTCTCAGACGTGCTGTTGTCGTGGATGGATTAGACTCCTTGGGACTTTCTTGAAGGGTCATTTTAAAGTGATAGCTTAGGCTGGGCATGATGGCTCATGGCTGTAATTCCAACACTGTGGGAAGCCAAGGTAGGTGGATTACTTGAGGCCAGGAGTTCAAGACCAGCCTGACCAAACCTGGCAAAACCCTGGCTATACAAAAAACACAAAAATTAGCAAGGCGTGGTGGCCCATGCCTGTAATCCCAGCTACTCAGGAGGTTAAGGCATGAGAATCACTTGAACCTGGGAGGCGGAGTTTGCAGTGGCCGAGATCACGCCACTGCACTCCAGCCTGGGCGACAGAGTGAACCTCTATCTCAAAACAGAACAAACAAAGAAAAAAATGCCCTTAAGAGTTCTTTTATAAAAATAAAAACAGAAAAAAAATAGATAACTTAATTTCCAGAGATCTCCAGGACAACCCCCTACCATCAAATCCTAGTCCCCCAACTAATCCCACCCAACCCCCAGAGGCTACTGGGTTCTTCCTGCCTCAGGTGTTCACACTACACCCGGCGCCCCTATTTGATGAGCCATCTTCCTGTGCCTACTCCTTGCTTCACCAGGTCCTGTTCTTACGAGTTTACTGTTACTCTTCATGTTATAGGGTAAGTGAGACCTTATTCTTGTATTAACTTGCCCCAGAGTATACTCTTTGGAACTCGGCAATATTTCTCCCTATGATGTACCAAGGAGGTTGATTACTGACACATGCTAGAAGAAATTAAATACGCTTAGTGGTCAAAGGATTACTTGAGAGACTGCTAATCATTTCCACCCTTTCGGGAAATGTGTATTGAGTCTACCATGTGTCAGGAGTTGTTCTGGGACCTGGGTATCATAGTCATGTGGCATAGCCCCTGCCTTCGAAGGATTTGATGTAGGGGCGGTTTAGAATGAGCATCTCAATATTGAATCCAGCACCTAGTCCTATCCATTTTATCTGCTCTAATATATCTCAAGTCTGTCCACTCGTTTTCATCCCTCCACATCCCTGGGCTAGCCACCATGTGGACCATGTGGCCTTCTCTGAGTCATTGCAGTAGCTGAAGAGGCTGGGAATGGCCTTCTCTACAGTATGACACACACCTAAGAGGGATCCTTTAAAAATGCAAATCTGATTGTTTCAGTCAGCCTCCTTAAACCTATTCAGTGGTTTTCCATTGATCTTAGGTTAAAGACCCAAGTCCTTAACCTGACCTCTAAGGCCCTGCAAGGGGTGGCCCCTCCTCTCCAGCCTCATCTCCCACCACACCCCCTCACTCGTGTGCTCCAGTTGCTGTCCACCTTGTGCTTCCTCCTGCACAGAGTCTCCAGGGAGGCTGGACCCTCTGTGGAACGGCTCCTTCCTCTGTTCCTCTCCTCTTAGCTCCTCTTCATTCTTCAGGCCTCACCTTCTCAATAGCCTCAGGGAAGCCTTCCTGACCTTCTTTTCAGGGTCAAATTCTCCTGTTATGAGCGCTCACACTAAGGTGTACCTTTCCTCAGAGGCACTTGGCCCTGTTGGAGTTCTACATTTGTTGATGATTATGTACAGACTGATGTCTGTCTGCCCCATTGAATGTAAGCTCCCTGAGGGCAGGGACTATGACTGCAGATGCTCACTCTTGCCACTCCCTGGACCTAACACTGGATACTTTATAAATAGTGGTTGAATAGATGCATTCATGGCAGGATCTGGGCAGGAGGCTAGATATTTCAGGATTTCAGAGGTGATGAATTAAGGCCATGATTCTCCCTCCTGTAGCTGCAGCCCAAGAATCCCATGTGCTATTACCTAACACTGTTACTTCCTCCTTAATTCCTGGCATCATTCAGGTCCACAGCCCTGCCTTCATCCCAGGCTTCCTCCATCTTGCCTGTGAGACCCTCTCCCTCTTTAACTTTTTAGTTCCCCTTTCTGGTTTTGCCTCATTGACTTCAGAAGCCAGCATGGAATAATGTCGCAAGACCCAGGATCCAGAACTGGAGGCCAGGTGCAGTGGCTCACTGCTAAAATCCCAGAATTTTGGGAGGCCAAGGCAAGAGGATTGCTTGAGCTCAGAAGTTCAAGACCAGCCTGGGCAACATAGTGAGACTTCGTCTCTACAAAATATTTTTTCAACTTTTATTTTAAGTTCCGGAGTACAAGTGCAGGATGTGCAGGTTTGTTACATAGGTGAACATGTGCTATGATGGTTTGCTGCACCTGTCAACCCATCACCTAGGTATTAAACCCGGTATCCATTAGCTATTCTTCCTGATGCTCTCCCTCCTGCCACTTCCCCTTCTGACAGACTTCAGTGGGTTATTGTTCCCCCCACCCACATGTGTCCAGGTGTTTTCATCGTTCAGCTCCCACTTATAAGTGAGAACATGTGGTGTTTGGTTTTCTGTTCCTGTGTTAGTTTGCTGAAGATAGTGGCTTCCAGTTCCATCCACATCCCTGTAAAGGACATGATCTCATTCCCTTTTATGGCTGCATAGTATTCCATGGTGTACGCATACTACATTTTCTTTTTTCTTTTTTTTAAGGTGGTGTCTTGCTCTGTCACCCAGGCTGGAGAGCAGTGGCACAATCTCGGCTCACTGCAACCTCTGCCTCCTGGGTTCAAGCGATTCTTCTGCCTCAGCCTCCCAAGTAGCTGGGACTATAGGCGAGTGCCACCACACCCTGTTAATTTTTGTATTTTTAGTAGAGACAGGATTTCACCATGTTGGCCAGGCTGGTCGTGAACTTCTGACCTTGTGATCTGCCCACCTCGGCCTCCCAAAGTTCTGGGATTACAGGTATGAGCCATCGTGCCCGGCATTTTTTTTTTTTTTTTTTTTTTTTTGAGATAGAGTCTCACTCTGTCACCCAGGCTGGAGCGCATTGGCACAATCTCAGCTCACTGCAACCTCTGCCTCCCGGGTTCAAGAAATTCTCCTGCCTCAGCCTCCTGAGTAGCTAGGATTACAGGCATTTGCCACCACACCTGGCTAATTTTTTTGTATTTTTAGTAGAGACAGGGTTTCACTATGTCGGTCAGGCTGGTCTCGAACTCCTGATCCACCTGCCTCAGGCTTCCTAAGTGCTGGGATTACAAGTGTGAGCCACCACGCCTGGCTGCATACTACATTTTCTTTATCTAGTCTTTCATTGATAGGCATTTGGGTTGACGCCATGTCTTTGCTATTGTGAATAGTGCTGTAGTGAACTACAAAATATTTAAAAATTAGCCAGGTGTGGTGGCTTGTGCCTGTAGTCCCAGCTACTTGGGAGGCTAAGGTGGTAAGGTTCGTTGAACCTGGGAGTTTGAGGCTGTAGTGCTCTATGATTGAGGCTGTGAATAACCACTGTATAGTGAGAACCTGTCTATTTCTTTTTTAATCTTTTTAATCTAGCTAACTAGGAATAGAAAGTAACTTCCAAAGTCAAGACAAGGATACCAGTTTTTACTGTTTCTATTCACCTTTCTGCCAAGAAGTCTGAAGTGACACAAGAAGAAAAAGAAGAAATAAAGCCATCACTATACATAGACAATTACTATACATAGATTGCTTACTATACAAAGAAAATTCACAAGAACCTACCAACTATTAGAAATAACAATTTCCTTGCCGGGGGCAAGGAGAATACACAAACATCAATATCCTTACACCACAGCAATAAACAGATAAAAGATTTCATTTTAGGCCAGGCATCGTGGCTCACGCCTGTAATCCCAGCTCTTCCGGAGGCCAAGGCAGGCGGATCATGAGGTCAGCAGATCGAGACCGTCCTGGCTAATACAGTGAAACCCCGTCTCTACTAAAAATACAAAAAATTAGCTGGGCGAGTTGGCAGGCACCTGTAGTCCCAGCAACTGGGGAGGTTGAGGAAGGAGAATGGCGTGAACTCAGTAGGCGGAGCTTGCAGTGAGCCGAGATTGCGCCACTGCACTCCAGCCTGGGCGACAGAGCGAGACTCCGTCTCAAAAAAAAAAAAAAAGAAAAGAAAATACCATTTGTCATAACAAAAATCATAAGATACTTAGGAATAAATATAACAAAGTCTGTGTATGATATTTATGGAGAAAATTATAAAGTTTTATTAGAGAACATAAAGAAGATATAAAAGAATAGGAAGAGATCCCCTACTCACAAAGACGGAAGTTTGATATAAAGCTGATAATTTTTCTCAAATCTAAAAATTCAGTACAATTCTAAGCAAAACTCCAATCAGATATTTTATGGAACTTGACAGACTGTTCTTAAAATTCTTTTTTTTTTTGAGACGGAGTCTCACTCTGTTACCGAGGCTGGAATGCAATGGCGCGATCTCGGCTCACTGCAAGCTCCACCTCCCAGGTTCAAGTGATTCTCCTGGCTCAGCCTCCTGAGTAGCTGGGACTACAGGTGCGCACCACCACGCCCGGCTAATTTTTTTGTATTTTTAGTACAGACGGGGTTTCACCATGTTGGTCAGGCTGGTCTTGAATTCCTGACCTCGTGATCTGCCCGCCTCGGCCTCCTCAAGTGCTGGGATTATAGGCATGAGCCACCACACCCGGCCTTAAAATTCTTATGGAAGAGTAAATGGCCAAGAAAAAACAAAACTTGAAGCAGAAGAATATGAGATCCCTTGCCTAACCATATGTCACAAGTTTACTGGTTGAAACTTAGAGTGATTAAAACAGTCTAGTCCTGGTATATGCACACATAAATAGACCACAGTACAGAACAAAACTTTTTTGAATCAGATCCTAATAGGGTTTGGATCTGTGTCCCTCCCTCTCCAAATCTCATGTCGAATTGTAATCCCCTTTGTTGGAGATGGGGTCTGGTGGGAGGTGATTGGATCATGGAAATGGATTTCCCACTGGGTGCAGTTCTCATGATAGTAAGTTATCATGAGACCCGGTTGTTTAAAAGTGTGTGGAGGCCAGGTGCAGTGGCTCTTGCCTATAATCCCAGCACTTTGGGAGGCTGAGGCAGGAGGATCACTTGAGCTCAGGAGGTCAAGACCAGCCTGGACAACATGCTGAGACATCATCTCTACAAAAATACAAAAATAGTAGCCGAGCATGGTGATGCATGCCTGTGGTCCCAGCTACTCAGGAGGCTGAGGTGGGAGGATCGCTTGAGCCCAGAGGGTGGAGGTTACAGTGAACTGAGATTGTGCCACTGCATTCCAGCCTGGGTAACAGAGCAAGACTCTGTCTCAAAAAAAAAAAAAAAAAGCGTGTGGCACCTCTTCCCTCTCTTCCTCCTGCTCCAGCCACGTAAGACATGCCTGCTTCCCTTTCACCTTCCACCATGATTGTAAGTTTCCTGAGGCCTCCCCAGCCATGCTTCCTATACAGCCTGTGGAACTATGAGCCAATTAAACTTTATAAATTACCTGATTTCAGGTATTTATCTATAGCAGTGCAAGAATGGACTAATACAGACCCTCAAAGATATGAGACTTGGCTATAATGGAAGTGACATAAATCAGTGGGAAAGTTCAATGGTTTTGAGTTAACTGGCTATCCAAACAAACACACAAAAAATAAATTCTACATTACATCCTACCCAGAAGTAAATTTCAGGTAGCTAGAGTAAAAAGCAAAACTGAAAACTATTCAAAGAAAATATAAGATCACATATTGATGATATCAGAATAGAGAAGGATTTCTTATACAAAATTTTAAAAGTACAAAAGTACAAGCAGTTAACAAAATGAAGAACACTATATGATTATATCAATAGATGGGGGAAAGGCGTTTGACAAAATTTAACATCCTTTCATGATACAAATTCTTAGCAAATTAGGTATAGAAAAAGTGTATCTCAACACAATAAAGCCCATATATGACAAACCCACAGCTAACATCATACATAATCATGAAAAGTTAAAAGATTTTCCTCTAAGATCAGGAACAAGACAAGGATAACCATTCTCACCATTTCTATTCAATATAGTACTAGAAGTTCTAGTCAGAACAGATAGGCAAGAGAAAGAAATACAAGACATCCAAATTGGTCAATGTTGACCAGGTTGGCCTCGAACTCATAGCCTCGCCTCCCTGTGCACCAGGACAGCTGGCTTGAGCCACTGATGCTCCCTAGGCATCCAAATTGGAAAGAAAGAAGTTAAATTGTCACTTTGTAGATGACATGATCTTATATAGAGAAATCCCTAAAGATACCACCAAAAAAACTATTAGAACTAATAAATTCAGTAAAGTTGCAGGATACAAAATCAATATTCAAAAGTCAGTAGCATTACTGTATACTAATAATGCACCAACCAAAAAAGAAATCAAGAAAGCAATCACATTTATAATAGCATCAAAAATATATACTTAGGAATAAATTTAATCAAAGAGGTGAGAAATCTGTACACTGAAAACCATAAAGCATTGAAGAAAGAAATTAAAGACACAAATAAATGGAAAGATATTCCATGTTAATGGATTGGAAAGATTAATATTGTTAAAATGTCCACACTACCCCAAACTGTAGATTCCATCCAACCTCTATCAAAATTCCAATGACATTTTCACAGAAATAGAAAAAAAATCCTAAGATTCATATGGAACCACAAAAGACAAGGACCAAAATGGCCAAAGCAATCTTGAACAAAAGGAACAAAGCTAGAGCCATCACACTACCTAATTTCAGAAGCTGCCACAAAGCTATAGTAATAAAAACAGCATGGTTCTGGAACAAAAACAGACATATAAGACCAGAATAGAGGCCAAAAATAAATCCACACATTTTATGGCCAACTGATCCTTTACAAATATGCCAAGAACATACAATGGGGAAAGGACAGTCTCCTCAATAAACAGTCCTGGGGAAACTGGATATCCACATGTAGAAGAATAAAATTTGACCATATCTCACCTCATATACAAAAATCAACTCAGGCCAGGCATAGTGGCTCACATCTGTAATCCCAGCACTTTGGGAGGCTAAGGCCAATGGGTTACTTGAGGCCAGGAGTTCGAAACCAGCCTGGCCAACATGGTGAAACCTACCAAAAACACAAAAATTAGCCAGGGGTGGTGGCACACACCTATAGTCCCAGCTACTCAGGAGGCTAAGGCACAAGAATTACTTGAATCTGGGAGGCAGAGGTTGCCAAGACCACACCACTGCACTCCAGCCTGAAGAACAGAGAGAGACTGCCTCCAAAAAAAAAAAAAAAAAAAAAAACTACTCAAAATGAATTAAAGACTTAAACATAAGATCTGAAATGGCGGGGTGCGGTGGCTTACACCTATAATCCCAGCACTTTGGGAGGCCAAGGCAGGTGGATCATAAGATCAAGAGATTGAGACCATCCTGGCCAACATGGTGAAGCCCCATCTCTACTAAAAATACAAAAATCAGCTGGGTGTGGTGGTGCACACCTGTAGTCCCAGCCACTCAGGAGGCTGAGGCAGGAGAATTGCTTTTCTCCTATATTTTCTTCTAGTATTTTTACAATTTCAGATCTTTTTTTTGAGATGGAGTCTCGCTCTGTTGCTGGGCTGGAGTGCAGTGGCATGATCTTGGCTTCT
Organism: Homo sapiens; assembly: GCF_000001405.40. Classification (NCBI taxonomy): domain Eukaryota; kingdom Metazoa; phylum Chordata; class Mammalia; order Primates; family Hominidae; genus Homo; species Homo sapiens. Next base: position 33,224,295 of record NC_000006.12, read on the forward strand.
TGACATTGGTCTGGGCAATAATTTTTTTGGACAAATGAGATTGCATCAAATGAAAGCTTCTGAACAGCAAAGGAAACAATCAACAGACAACCTACGGAAAGGGACAAAATATTTGTAAACTATACATCTGATAAGGGGTGAATATTTTTATAAGAAACTTAATAGCAAGAGTTGTTGAAAACCAAAAATCTGATTTTTTTTCTTTAAGTTGGGGTCTCACCCTGTTGCTCAGGCTGGAATACAGTGCCGCAATAATAACTCACTGCAGCCTTCAACTCCCAGGCTCAAGCAATCCTCCCACCTCAGCTTCCCAAGTAGCTGGGACCACAGGCACACCCCACCGTGCCCTGCTAATTTTTAAAATTTTTTTGTAGAGACAGGGTTTCCCTATGTTGCCCAGATTTATCTTGAACTCCTAGGCTCAAGTGATCCTCCTGCCTTGGCCTCCCAAAGTGCTGGAATTACAAACATAAGCCACTGCATCCAGCCAAAAATCTGATTTTACAATGGGCAAATGATCTGAAAAAACATTTCTCAAAAGAAGACACATAAATGGCCAACAGGTATATGAAAAACAAATGCTCAATATTGCTAATTATCAAGGAAATGAACATTTAAACCACAGTGAGATATCACCTCATACCTGCTAAGATGGCTCTGATAAAAAAAATAAAAATAAACCAAGAGATTACAAGTGGTGGCAAGGATGTGGAGAAAAAGGAACCCTCACAAACTGTTGGTAGGAATGTAAATTTGTACACCTATTTTGGAAAACAGAATGGAGCTTCCTCAAAAAATTAAAACTACCATGTGATCCAGTAGTTCCATTATCAGGTATATTTCGAAAGAAATGAACTCAGTATGTTGAAGAGATATCTGTATTCCCAAGTTCACTGCACCATTATTCACAATAGCCAAGACATGGAAACAACCTAAGTGTCCATCAATGAATAAATAGAGAGATTATGGAACATATACACAATGGAATACTATTCAGTCTTTAAAAAGAAGGAAATTCTGTCATCTGTGACAACATGGATAAAACTAGAGGATATTATGCTAAATGAAATAAACCAGGCACAGAAAGACAAATACCATGATTTCATTTACATGTGGAACCTAAAGAGTCAAACTCAGCCAGGCATGGTGGCACGTGCCTGTAGTCCCAACTACTCGGGAGGCTGAGGCAGGAGGATCTCTTGAATCCAAGAGTTTGAGGCTGCAGTGAGCTGTGATCAGACCTCTGGACTCCAACCCAGACAACAGAGTGAGACCCTGTCTCAAAATAAATTTAAAAAAATAAATAAATAAAATAAAATTGCAGAAGCAGAGAATAGAATGGTGGCTGCACAGGGGCTAGGGGGCGGGGGGCGGGTGTGGGCAGGGATTGGAGAGCTTTAGTCAAAGGATACAAAATTTCAGTTAGGTAGAATAAATTCAGGAGATCTATTGTATAACATGATGACTAGAGTTAATAACAATGTATTGTATACTTGAAAATTGCTGGCCAGCTGCAGTGGCTTATGTCTGTAAACCCAGCACTTTGGGAGGCTGAGGTGGGTGGATCGCTTGAGACCAGTTCGACACCAGCTTGGGCAACATGGTGAGACCCCATCTCTAAAAAAAATAGAAAAATTAGCTGGGCGCAGTGGCTCATGCCTGTAATCCTAGCATTTCGGGATGCCGATTGCTTGATTGCTTGACCCCAAGAATTCAAGACTAGCCTAGGTAACATAGTGAGACCCTGTCTCTACAAAAAATTGAAAAAATTAGCAGGATGTGGTGGCACGTGCCAGTAGTCCCAGCTACTTGGGAGGCTGAGAAGAGAAAATCACTTGAGCCTGGGAGGTCCAGGCTGCAGTGAGCTATAATCTTGCCACTGCACTCTAGCCTGGGCGACAGAGCAAGATCCTGTCTCAAAAAAAAAATAAAAATAAAAATAATTGCTAGGAGAGTACATTTCAAATATCACGTTTAAAATGATAGTATGTGAGATAACAGATACAGTAATTACTCTAGCCATTACACACACACACACACACACACATATATATACACACATCATGTTGTTACACCATAGATACAATTTTTATTTGTCGACTATAAATAAATGCACAAGCAATAAAGGAAAATATTGATACATATGACCACGTTAAAACATTTTTAAGCTTTTATAAGAAATCACATAGGCCGGGCGCGATGGCTCAAGCCTGTAATCCCAGCACTTTGGGAGGCCAAGGCGGGTGGATCACAAGGTCAGGAGATTGAGACCATCCTGGCCAACATGGTGAAACCCCGTCTCTACCAAAAATACAAAAAAATTAGCTGGACGTGGTAGTGGGTGCCTGTAGTCCCAGCTACTCGGGAGGCTTAGGTAGGAGAATGGCGTGAACCCATGAGGCGGAGCTTGCAGCGAGCCGAGATTGTGCCACTGCACTCCAGCCTGGGCGACAGAGCAGGATTCCGTCTCAAAAAAAAAAAAAAAAGAAATCACGTAAAGTAAAAGACAAGCCACAGACTTAGAGAATATTCACAATCTACATAAACAACAAAGGATTATATCCAGGATTCATAAAGAAGTTGCAGATCCATATGAAAAGGACAACGCAAGAGAATATGAGCAAAAGCTGTGAATAGGTGAGTCACAAAAGAGAAACCTAATGGTCAATAAACATAAGAAAAGATGCTCAATTTAACCAGTAATGTAGAAATGCAAATCACAGCGCGAGTTACCATTTTACACCCACAAAATCACCAAAATTAAAATTATTCTAACACTGTTGACAAAAATGTGGGACAATAGGAATGCATATATTTTGTGTTGAAGTGTAAACAGATACAACAAATTTGAAGAGAATTTTGGCACCAGTTAATGCTGAAAATGAATATTCCCTATGACCCAGCAATCTTGCTTCTAGATCTATTCCTTAGAAAAACATTTCTACACATGCACAAAAAGGCGAGGATAAAAATGGTCATTGCAGTATCAGTTAATTGTCAAGAAGAAGTGGAAATAAGCTAACTGTTGTTAAGTAAAATGGATAAATAAAGTATGGTTTGTTCTTATAATGGGATACTATACAGCAGTTAAATGAATTATAGACATATTTAGCAATGTAATGAGTAAGAAACTTGCAAAAATGGATGTTGTATGATATTATTTGTGTGAGTTTTAAAATACACAAAACAGTGGTATATGTTTAGGAAAGCAAACATTTTTTAAAAGTGCAAAGTACGCATGGGAATAATTCCCAACAACTTTAGAATGATAATTACTACAAGGAAGGAGAGAAATGGGATGGGCGTTAACCGAATTTGTAATCCATTTTTTTTATTTTTAATTTTAAAGAAAAGTGATACAAAGCAGGCGATGCAAAGGTGAGGATTTGCTTAACTGGGTTGCTGTGATCATGAAATGAGCCAATCAATGGGACAGTGCTGAATGAAAGTTGTTGCCAGTCTCTTTAGAAGGGTACAATGATGGTGGCTGTGCAGGTGGAGAGATGTGATTTCCTGACCTATTCTCTCCTCCACCCTGTGTTGAGTCTCACGCCTCCTATTGGACGGTATAAATTGGTATAAATCTTTTTTTTTTTTTTTTTTTTGAGACAGAGTCTCACTGTCACTCAGGCTGGAGCGCAGTGGCATGATCTCAGCTCACTGCAACCTCCGCCTCCCAGATTAAAGCGATTCTCCTGCCTCAGCCTCCTGAATAGCTGGGATCACAGGCAGCCGCCACCATGTCCAGCTAATTTTTGTATTTTTAGTAGAGACGGGGTTTCACCATGTTGGTCAGGCTGGTCTCAAACTCCTGACCTCGTGATCCGCCCGCTTTGGCCTCCCAAAGTGCTGGGAACAGGCATGAGTGACCACGCCCGGCTGATATAAATCTTAACAGCTACATGCCCCAATTTCCTCACCTACAAAATGTGTGTATTCAAAGTGCTACCTAATAGCATTGTCGTGAGAGTAAATAAGTTGTGTGAAGTGCTTTAGAACACTTACCTGGCTTAGAGTAACTGCTCTAGGCTACTGTTTTTGTTGTTGATGCTGTTATTATGGTTGTTGTTAGGTATCACCTCCAGCTGCATATAAACTCTTTTTTAATCTCAACTTCTAAAAATCTCATAAGAACCTTACTTGGCAACGAAAGTGCCCCAAAACTGAGAAGACCCAGACTCTTCCTTCAATGATCTAGATCAATTTGCACCTCAAATTCCTGTAAGGGCCAGGCAAGTAATGTGCCAAGTGCCAAGGGAAGGCTATAACAGGCTGGAGGGCACCCTCCCCTCCTAGAGGGGCAGCAGCTCCTGGTCCAGCGTTGCCGCATAGGAATTCAGAGCTGGCACTGCCGTGATAAATTGAAAATCTCAATTTTTCTGTAAAATCACTCTTTTTATTTTTCCTTTTTTTTTTTGGCAGGATCTCACGTTGTCACCCAGGCTGGAGTACAGTGCCATGATCCCAGTTCACTGCAGCTTTGACCTCCCAGGTCCAAGTGATCCTCCCATCTCAGCCTCCCAAATAGCTGGGACTACAGGTGTGTGCTGCCACACCTGGCTAATTTTGTATCATATACATATATATATAAACATACACATACACATATGTATATATACATGTATACATATGGGTTCAAGCATTCTTCTGCTAATTTTTTGTATTTTTAGTAGACGTGGGGTTTAACCATGTTGGCCAGGCTGGTCTCGAACTCCTGACCTCAAGTGATCCACCCGCCTTGGCCTCCCAAAGTGCTGGGATTACAGGCATGAGCCATCGCACCCAGCTAATTTTTTTAGTTTTTGTAGAGAGATGGTCTCACTATGTTGTCCAGGCTGGTCTCAAATTTCTGAGCTCGAGTGATCCTCCCACCTCAGCCTCCCAAAGTGCTGGAATCTCAGCCATGAGACACGGCATCTGGACAAAATATAAATGATAATGAATACACATCAATATTTTAAATCAAACACATTTAGATAAAGCTGACTTTTTGCCTGCTTTTTTTTGAAATTTTGGGCTGGGCCCAGTAGCTCACACCTGAAATCCCAGTGTTTTGGGAGGTCAAGGTGGGCAGACTGCTTGAGCCCAGTGTTTTGAGACCCCCCTGGGCAACATGGTGAAATGCCATCTCTACAAAAAATAGAAAACTTAGCCGGGCATGGTGGCACACATATGTGGCCTCAGCTACTCTGGAGGCTGAGGTAGAAGGATTGCCTGAGCCTGGGAGGTTGAGGCTGTAGTGAGCCATGATTGTGCCACTGCACTCCAGCCTGGTGACAGAGTGAGACCCTGTCTCAAAAAAATATATACATATTTATTAATTTTTATTATGTATTGCTATGGCATAAATGTTTGTGCCCCCCTAAAATTCATAAATTGAAACCTAATCCCCAATGTGGTGATATTAAGAGATGGGGCCTTTAGAAGGTGATTAGGTCATGAGGGGCCTGTCCTCATGAATGGGATTAATGCCGTTATAAAAGAAGCCCAGGCTGGGTGCGGTGGCTCATGCCTGTAATCCTAGCACTTTGGGAGGCTCAGGCGGGCTAATCATTTGAGGTCGGTAGTTCAAGACAAGCCTGGTCAACATGGAGAAACCCCATCTCTACTAAAAACACAAAAATTAGCCAGTCATGGTGGCAGGCATTTGTAATCCCAGCTATTCAGGAGGCTGAGGCAAGAGAATCACTTGAACCCTGGAGGCAGAGCTTGCAGTAAACCGAGATCACGCCACTGCACTCTAGCCTAGGTGACACAGCGAGACCCTGTCTTAAAAAAAAGAGGCCCAAAGGAGCTTGTTTGCCCCTTCCACCCGTGAAGATGCAGCAAGAAGGCGCCATCTATGAAGCAAAGTGTGCCCTCACTGGCTACCAAATCTGCTGGCACCACCTGCTTGGACATTCTAGCCTCCAGAACTGTAAGCAGTGTTTATTATTTATAAATTGCTCAGTGTAAGGTATTTTGTTATAGCAGTCTGAATGGACTAAGACAGATAGTTTTATAAAAATTAAACTACAGTTGGCATTTTGTATCTGTAGGTCCACACCTATGGATTCAACCAACTGAAGAATAAAAATATTTTTAAAATATATATGGCCAGTCCGGGCGCGGTGGCTCACGCCTGTAATCCCAGCACTTTGGGAGGTCAAGGCGGGTGGATCACAAAGTCAGGAGATCAAGACCATCCTGGCTAACGCGGTGAAACCCCATCTCTACTAAAAATGCAAAAAAATTAGCCGGGCATGGTGGCGGGCACCTGTAATCCCAGCTACTTGGAAGGCTGAGGTAGGAGAATGGCGTGAACCTGGGAGGCAGAGTTTGCAGTGAGCTGATATCCTGCCATAGCACTCCAGCCTGGGTGACACAGCAAGACTGTCAGAAAGAAAGAAAGGAAGGAAGGAAGGAAGGAAGGAAGGAAGGAAGGGAAGGGAAGGAAGGAAGGAAAGAAAGAAAAAATAATACAAATAAAAAATACAGTATAACATATATTTATACAGCATTTACATTGCGATAGGCACCATAGATAACCTAGGGATGATTTAAAGTATGTGGAAGAATGTGCATAGGTTATATGCAAATACTATGCCATGTTATACAAGGGGTTTGAACATCAGTGGGGGTTTTGGAATCAATCCCTGGTGAATACTGAGGATGATTGTATTCATAATCTCGTATTCAATGTCCATCTATTACAACATAAAGAATCAATATCATACTTCACAAGAGTTATATCTAGACCTACATGTATTCAATTTTTTTTTCAATAGGCTTTTGGGGAACAGGTGGTGTTCAGTTACATGAATAAGTTATTTAGTGGTGATTTCTGAGATTTTGGTGCCCCCATCACAGGAGGAGTGTACACTGTAAATGTGTAGTTTTTTATCCCTCACCACCCCTCCCACCACATGCATATAAATTTAACAGTAATAAGGATTGTTTAATACAGCAACATGTTCCTCAGCTATCCTTTGCAACTGTTGTAAATGCAGCACAACATACATCCATACCTCTAAAACAAAGAGAAACAAGAAAAACCACACTCAACACTATTGGGAAATGATACTTTGTCATGCTATTTGAGAGGTAATATTTAACAAGCTGGTTAAAGTGATTTCACTTACATGTTTCCACTGCTTAAATCCTCCCTACACTCCAAAGCAGTACATGCTTCAGAATCCAGGCAGAGGCACAACCTCAGATTTTCACAGAATTGGCTATAGTCATCTTTTGTTTCCAGGATACAGGGCAAGAGATTACAGAAGTCACCATTCCCCAGGGCTTGAACGGCGTTGATTACAAGAGCAGATGTGTAAGATTTCAGGTTGTGCTGTTCCAGCACTGACAGCAGATCAGTGACAGAGGTGCCCAGGTGTCATGTAATAAATGTGTGTGATAAGTTGTTTGTGATAGGTGAATCCCCCTAAAGTATGTGGGCCAGGGCAGGGCCCCTGTGGTTCAGATCTGAGGATGATACTGCTTCTGTGGGAAGATCATGACTTCTGTTTCAAATATGCTAAGTTAAGCTGGGCACCGTGGCTCATGCCTGTAATCCCAGCACTTTGGGAAGCTGAGGCAGGTGGATCACCTGAGGTCAGGAGTTTGAGACCAGCCTGGCCAACATGGTGAAACCCCATCTCTACTGAAAATACAAAAAGTTTGCCGGGTGTCGTGGCGGATGCCTGTAATCCCAGCTACTCCGGAGGCTGAGGTAGGAGAATCACTTGAACCCAGGAGGCGGAGGTTGCAGTGAGCCAAGGTCTTGCCACTGCACCCCAGCCTGGCCAACAAGAGCGAAACTCTGTCTCCCAAAAAAAAAAAAAAAAAAGCTAAGTTAGTAATACCTTTGGGACATCCAAGTAGGGATGCCAGGCAGGAAGGTGGTCAAATCTGGAGATTTGAGGCAAGAGATAAATTTGAGAGTAACCAGCTGATGGGAACTGAAGCCACAGGACAGGTGTGATCCCCTAGAAGGAAAGGGTAGCATAAGAAGAGGAGGGTCCAGGACCGACCTCTCTTGATGAACTCCAATATGACCAGGTGATTTCAGTCAAAGGCGGAGTGAGCCGGCTGAGGGGTGGAAGAGCAGCCGATGGAGGGATGGGAGGAAGCCAGAAGAGGCCAAATCCTGGAGGCCAAAAAACGACAGTGTTTCAAGAAAGAACTGGCCAGCAACGTCAGCTACTAGTGGCAGTTCAAGTAAGAAGAAAACGAAACAATGGACTTAATGACATAAAGTTCATTGCAAAAAAACATTTGAGTAGCAGCAAGGTAGAGATAAACACCAGCCTGAAAGGGTCGAGCAGTGAGTGGAAGTGAGAGAATTTTGCCCAGTTTTTTTATTATGAAAAATTTCAAACATACAGAAAACTTGAAAATATAATACAATATTGTTTGTATGTCGATCATTTTACTTAGATTTAACAATTGTTATTTATACATATATACAAATATTTATATATTATATATATACAAACATATATATATACACACACATATATATATGGTTCTTTTTTTTTTTTTCCAAGACAGGGTCTCACTTCATCGCACAGGGTGGAGTGCAGTGACCTGATCATAGCTCATCTCAGCTTCAAACTTTTGGGCTCAAGCGATCCTCCCACCTCAGCCTCTCAAGTAACTGGGGCCACAGGTGCATGGCACCATGCCCGGCTAATTTTTAAATTTTTTGTAGAGACAAGGTATCGCCTTGTTGCCCAGCTGGTCTCAAACTGGACTCAGGTGATCCTCTTGCTTTGGCCTCCCAAAGTTCTGGGATTACAGACATGAGCCACAGTGCCAAGGCCTATATACGTCTTTGTGGGCTTGTTTTTAGTTTTTTGTTTTGAGATGGAATTTCGCTCTTGTTGCCCAAGCTGGAGTGCAATGGCGCGATCTCGGCTGTACGCAACCTCCGCCTACTGGGTTCAAGCAATTCTCCTGCCTCAGACTCCCGAGTAGCTGTGATTACAGGCATGCGCCACCACGCCAAGCTAATTTTGTATTTTTACTATAGATGGGGTTTCTCCATGTTGGTCAGGCTGGTCTTGAACTTCCGACCTCAGGTGATCCGCCTGCCTCAGCCTCCCAAAGTGCTCGGATTGATTACGGGCATGAGCCACTGTGCCCAGCCCTTTTTTTTTTTTTTAAACATAGAAATTGTTGAGTGACTACTAAAACATTCTTGGACCATATGAAAATATAGGAAAGCATGTGCTTCACACCTAAGTACCTCAGCATGCATCTCCCAAAAATAAGGAGATTCCATAACCACAATACGTAATCACAGCTAAGAAAATAATGATCATGGCCAGGCACGGTGGCTCACACCTGTAATCCCAGCATTTTGGGAGGCTGAGGCAGGAGGATCACAAGGTCAACAGATTGAGACCATCCTGGCCAATATGGTGAAACCCCGTCTCTACTAAAAATACAAAAATTAGCCGGGCGTGGTGGTGCATACCTATAATCCCAGCTACTTGGGAGGCTGAGGCAGGAGAATTGCTTGAACCCAGTAGGGACAGGTTGCAGTGAGCTGAGATTGCGCCACTGACCTCCAGCCTGGTGACAGAGCAAGACTCAGTCTCAAAAAAAAAAACAAAATTAGAAAATAACGATCATTTCTTCACTTCATCTGATAGCAGAATATACTCAAATATTCCCCAGTTAGCCTCAAAATGTCTTTTATATATATATTTATATATATATATATCTTTCTTTTTAATTTCTTTCCTTCCTTTCTTCTGTTTTTCCTTCCTTCCTTCCTTCCTTTCTCTCTCTCCTCCCTTTCCTTCCTTCCTTTCCTTCTTTCTTTTTTGACTGGGTCTCACTGTCACCCAGGCTAGAGTGCAGCAGTGCAATCACAGCTCACTACAACCTCCACCTCCCAGGCTCAAGTGATCCTCCCACCTCAGCCTCCTAAGTAGCTGGAACTACTATTTAGGTGTGACCCACCACACCTGACTAATTTTTGTATTTTTTTTTTTTTGTAGAGACAGGGTTTTTCTCTGTTGCCCAGGTGGGTCTTGAACTCCTGAGCTTAAGTAATCCACCTGCCTTGAACTCCTGAGCTCAAGCAAAGTGCTGGAATTACAGGCGTGAGCCACTGCATCCAGCCTATGCATATATTTCAAATCAGGATCAAATCAAGGTACATGCGCTGCATGCATTGTGTTCCTCTTGGAGGGGTGTGGATCTGGTGACAGATGGTTGAGGGAGCTCACCTCTGATGACTTTCATTTTCTCTGTGACATAAGAGGGAGGTCATCAAGTGAGCATGAGGTGAGAGACAGAAGAGCCTCAGAGGTTCAAGGATCAGGGAGGTTTAACGTAGCCATTGACCAGAGTGATGTGGTTGGGCCACTAAACAATTCTGGGAGCCTCCTTAGAGTTCATGATCATGAGTGAGGAGTGGGAACCATTTCCTGATTGTGTGATTTCCCCCACCACCACCAACAGTTCTTGGCTATCAGAGTAAAATCCTGAAGAAAACAGATCACTGGGCTCATCCAGGGTTGGGGTTTTGCCACTTGGGTACAAAGGATGAAAATACAGAGGGGAAGGGGAGTTGGCGACATTGTCCAGAGAGGTGTTGAAATGAAGGGTTGTGGAGTTGAGCTGAATAGGGAGGGGCTCATAAGCTGGAAGACGGAAGGCATCATTGATCCAAAGGTCCTAGGAGACTGAAAATTGGTTGCGAGGAGGGCAGACAGACTGATGGACAGACGGTTAGGAGGTGGGGGCCAAGAGCAGGCTGCTTGACTGATTCTCAAGGAGGGGCTCTTTCAGGTGATAAGGTCCAGGGTATGACAATGAGAATGTGTGGCCGAGTTGGAGAGGAGAAGATTCTTGGGGATTAAGTGGCCAGGTTATTGAGAGGTCAAGTAGGGAATGGATCCTCCAGGTGGACAATGAAGTCTCCCAGAGGGAGGACTCAATGCAAAGACAGACGGTCAGCTGGGCCAGCGTTCCCCTGAGTGAGGTGGAGGGGTCTGGCAGACAGTAGCAGTGAGAAAGGAAGAGGAAAGTTTAGCCTAATTGCAGTGCCTGGAAGGCCGCGGGTTATTTTAAACTAGAGTTGGGGGCTGGGGGAGGAGTAGTCCGGAGGCAGCAATCTGAAGCCAGGAGAGCACCCTCAGCTGTAAGAAAATCAACAGCTCTCATTTCAGAAGCCTGCAAAGGAGGTAGTGCCCTCAAGGGAGAGTTAAATTTCACTTAACGCCAGGAAGTGGAGGGAATGCTCCAAGGAGAAGCTAAGGGTATGAGGGGGGCTACAGTTTATTAGAGGGCACAGGCAGGTTAGGGAGGGGGAAAGTGGAGGGCTGAGTCAGAGCCAGAAGGTACAGAGTGTCATGGAGACACAGTGCAATAGAGTAGGTGGGCTTGGGAGTTTATGTTTTCACTATGAAATGATAAAAACAAGGACAGGAGGCAGGCTGGATTTCACCCAGTTAGTTTCTTGGAAGCTGTAAAAAGTGGCGTTTAAGAATGTAGCCTTGGCCAGGCACGATGGCTTATGCCTGTATCCCAGCACTTTGGAAGGCCAAGGCAGGCGGATCGCTTGAGGTCAGGAGTTTGAGACCAGCATGGCCAATATGGTGAAGCCCCGTCTCTATTAAAAATGGAAAAAACAGCCAGGAGTGGTGGCAGGTGCCTGTAATCCCAGCTACTCGAGAGGCTGAGGCAGGAGAATTGCTTGAACCCGGGAGGCGGAGGTTCCAGTGAGCCAAGATCACGCCACTGCACCACTCCAGCCTGGGGGACAGAGCAAGACTCGTCTCATTAAAAAAAAAAAAAAAAAAAGAATGTAGCTTCAGGCGGGGTGCAATAGCTCACGCCTCTAATCCCAGCACTTTGGGAGGCCAGGAGTACAAGACCAGCCTAGCAAACATGGTGAAACCCCATCTCTACTAAAAAAAATACAAACATTAGCCAGGTGTGGTGGTATGCACCTGTAATCCCAGCTACTTGGGAAGCTTAGGTAGGAGGATGACTTGAGCCCAGAAGGTGGAGGTTGCAGTGAGCCAAGATGGTGCCACCACACTCCAGCCTGAGCAACAAAGCCAGACCCTGTCTCAAAAAAAAAAAAAAAAAAGAAAAGAAAAGAAAGAAAAGGAAGGAAGGAAGGAAGGAGAGAGAGAGAAAGAAAGAAAAGATAAAGAAATAAAGAAAGAAAGGCAGGCAAGAAAGTGGCTTCTAAAGCAGAACTGGCTGCATTCCAATTCCAGCTTTGTCATGCACTAACTGTCCTGTCTATAACCTTGGCAAGGTCTCTGGGCATCAATTTCCTCTCTGTAAAATGGGGATAACACTAGTACCCACCTCACAGGGTTGCTGTGACAATTCAAAGATGCAATGTGTTAAATGTTGATATGGTTTGGATCTGTGTCCCCACCAAATCTCATGTAGTCCCAGTGTTGGAGGTGGAGCCTGGTGAGAGGTGGTTGGATTATGGGAGTGGATTCTCACGAATGGTTTAGCACCATCCTCCTGGTGCTGTTCTCATGATAGAGAGTTCTGGCAAGCTCTGGTTGTTTAAAAGTGTGCCGCACCTCCTCCCTCTCTCTCGGCTCCTGCCATGTGAGAAGGCTCGCTCCTCCTTTGCCTTCTGCCATAATTGTAAGTTTCTGGAGACCTCCCCAGAAGGCAAGCAGATGCCAGCATCATGCTTCCTGTAGAGCCCACAGAACCATGAGCCAATTAAACCTCTTTTTTTTTTTGAGATAGGGTCTTGCTCTGTCGCCCAGGCAGTGGCGCAATCACAGCTCACTGTAGCCTCTACCTTCTGGTCTGAAGCAATTCTCCCACCTCAGCTCCCCAAGTAGCTAGAACCACAAGCACATGCCACCATACCCAGCTAAGTTTTGAATTTTTTATAGAGACGGGTTTTTGCCATGTTGCCCAGGCTGGTCTCAAACTCTTGAGCTCAAGTGATTAACCCTCCGGCCTCAGCCTCCCAAAGTGCTGCTAGGATTACAAGCATGAGCCACTGTGCCCAGCAAACATCTTTTCTTTTCTTTTTTTCCGAGACGGAGTCTTGCTCTGTCACCCAGGCTGGAGTGCAGTGGCATGATCTTGGCTCACTGCAACCTCTGCCTCCCCGGATCAAGTGATTCTCCTGCTTCAGCCTCCCAAGTAGCTGGGATTACAGGTGCTGGCCACCATGCCCGGCTAATTTTTGTATTCTTAGTAGAAACGGGGTTTCACCATATTGGCCAGGCTGGTCTCAAACTCCTGACCTCAAGTGATCCACCTGCCTCAGCCACCCAAAGTGCTGGGACTACAGGCATGAGCCACCGCGCCCGGCAACCTCTTTTCTTTATAAGTTACCCAGTTTCAGGTATTTCTTTATAGCAGTGCGAGAAGGGACTAATGCAAATGTTTACAACAGTGCGCAAATATTTATAACAGTGCTTGGGCTGTCACCTCAGACACACTTGGTGGAGCCTTGCAGGCCCAGCAGAGCAGCCTCTTTGATTACCTGAACCCTGCCCCTGGCTAGGTAGGAAACATGAAGTGGATGATAATGATGACTTGATGAGCAGTTGTGAATGCATAAATTATATGGAGACACTAAGGACTGCAACAGACAAGAAGATCTCAGTGACAAACGGGTTATTTAGGGCAGCAGCCAACTGACTCCCACAATGAGTGGGATCTGGACAAGAAGGCGTGGTTTCCCAAGGCCACTGAAGGTTTCATTGCTACATACCCAGCCAAGTGTGGCTTTTCTAATGGTGGGGCATCTAGCTCTCCTGCAAATGTACAAAATGTCAATGCTAGGAATGCAGAATTTCTGCAAAGAAAACCCCCCAAACCCACTGATCCTAAAAACAGGGGAGATAAAAGAAAAATGGAATGAGGATAATTTCATGTTGAAGAAGACAGAAATACAAATGTCTATATATCTGGTTTGCCTCCAGGAGAAATCCTCAGAAGACTTCAAAGTCAAGCTTTATGAAGATGATCAAAGAAATCTTAAAGGAGATGCGCTTTGCTGTTACTTGAAGAGGGAATCTGTGGGCCTTCCATTAAAGCTTTTGGATGAAAATGAAATTAGAGGCTGTAGGCCAGGTGCAGTGGCTCACGCCTGTAATCCAAGCACTTTGGGAAGCTGAGGCAGGTGGATCACCTGAGGCCAGGAGTTCGAGACCAGCCTGGCCAACATGGCAAAACACCGTCCCTATTAAAAATACAAACATTAGCCGGGCATGGTGGTGCATACCTGTAGTTCCAGCTACTCAGGAGGCTGAGGCAGCAGAATCGCTTGAACCCTGGAGGCAGAGGCTGCAGTGAGCCGAGATCATGTCATTGCACTCCAGCCTGGGCAACAAGAGTGAAATTCCATCTCAAAAAAAAAAAAAAAGAGGTTACAAGAAGAAGCTGTCACTACAACAAAAGCTGTTGGTCTGGGGATCTGCAAGGGAGCTGGGCCATCCAGAAGGTACCATAAGCAAGTTGTCATAATCAAACATATGTTTCATCCTATGGATATTTTTGGTTGTTTTGTTTGTTTTCTGAGATAAGGTCTCACTATTGCTCAGGCTGGAGTACAGTGGCGTGATCACAGCTCACTGTGCAGCCTCAACCTCCTGGGCTCAAGGAATCCTCCTATCTCAGCTTCCCAAGTAGCTGGGACCACAGGTGTACACCACCATTCCTGGCTAATTTTTTTAAAAAAATTTTTGTAGGCCGGGCATGGTGGCTCACACCTGTAATCCCAGCACTTTGGGAGGCTGAGGCGGGTAGATCACGAGGTCAGGAGTTCGAGACCAGCCTGGCCAACGTGGTAAAACCCTGTCTCTACTAAAAATACAAAAATTAGCTGGGCATGGTGGTGGATGCCTGCAATCCCAGCTACTCGGGAGCTGAGGCAGAGAGTCGCTTGAACCCTGGAGGCGGAGGTTGCAGCGAGCCGAGATTGCACCACTGCACTCCAGCCTGGGCGACAGAGTGAGATTCCGTCTCAAAAAAAAAAATTTTTTTTTGTAGAGAAGGTGTCTCACCATGTTTCCCAGGCTGGTCTTGAACTCCTGGGCTCAAGAGATCTGCCCCTTGGCCTCCCAAGGTGTTGTAGTCACAGGCATGGGTCACTGCACCCGGCCCATCCTGTGGATTTTAAGGATGATGAGTTGGTGCTAAATGAGCTCAGAGAACTTTCAGTGCTCAACATTGAGACCAATGAGGAATGTTTTGTTTGACAGACTCATGGATGGTGTGGACTCTGTGTTCTGGAGGAATGCAGAGGAAACGGATTATTATATTCAAGTCCTCCTTGGAAGGTGGTTTGTTGACCCAGACATGGAATAAGGTTACAGACTATTAGGTTCAGGGGACCTCAGGAAAAAGGAGGAAAATCTAAGGGGATGGGAGGCTTTCCTCAGTGCCTGTGAGGCCAACAGACACTTTCAATCTCCAATGTGTGTATGCTTCAGAAAGGGCAAGATGTTGGCTGTCCTTTCACTCTCCACCAGCTGAAATGTGGTCTCTTCCCATTATCGCCATTCTGACCACTCTTCCCAAGTCACAGACACTTCTCAGATGCCAAACCCAAAAGGCGTGGCTGAATTCATTTGCATCAACTCAGGCAATGAATTTGGGAGGAGAGTTCGCTTGTCAGAACGTAAGAACGTCACATTTTGCAGTTGGTAATGTGGAGTCTAGGGACCCTTGGAATCACTTCCCTAGCTGATCGCCAGCACACCCTCTTTCATTCATTCAATCACACTTTAGCTTAGGTGCAGCTGGGAAGGGACTTCGCGGATGTAATTAAAGTCACAAATTGGTTTATCTTGAGGTAATCCAAAGGGAGACTGTGCAGGAGAGGTCTGACTCAATCACATCCAAAGCCTTCAGTGGTGGCTGGAGAGGAGAAAACACATTTCTGCACTTAGGAACCTCCTTTCTCACCTCAATTCTAGCAGCTCAGATGAGGTGTCAGCTCCCTGCAGGCTCTGGATGAGTCCGTGGGGCCACAGAAAAAAGAACTGCAGAAAACTCAGGAATAAAAATGGAGACAGTGACACTTCCAAGTAAAACTACTAGAAGTCTTCAGAAAGTAAGGCAAGAAAAGGAAACTTGAGGACCAGAGAAGCTGCCAGGCCAGTTCATTAAGCCTTGGCTTGACCAGGAAATCCAGTGTTTTCTTGAAGGATGGAAAATCTGGAGATGAAGAATGGGAATCATGTACTGTCAAACGCAGTTGCCAAGGGGTTCAAGCCCAGGGGTGTGAAGAAGAGCTGAGACCTGCCTACAGATGCCAAGATTGCAGGGCTCATCCTGGACTATTAATGAGACCATCCAGAGGCCAAGGAGCTTACAGGGCTCACCTTTGGGGATACTGGCCCAGCAGTGCTGCAGATCCTACCCTGAGTAGAGTGACATGAGAACTGGGCTGGGGGAGTTGAGGAGAAAAGGAAGTCTCAAAGGCTCTGTGTGTTTGTGTGTGTGTGTGTGTGTGTGTGTGTGTGTGTGTCTGTGTGTGTGTGTGTAAACTGGAAATGGTTAAACTCCCCTGTGTGCAGTGGCATACCAAGCAGGGTGGAGTGGGGGGAGGAGGCTACACTGCAAGGGGTATTTTGTCACTAACATTTTTTTATAATTGCTGGTGCGCAGTATCAATAAAAAGTTGGCTTCAGGCTGGGCGCAGTGGCTCACACCTGTAATCCTAGCACTTTGGGAGGGTGAGGTGGGCAGATCACCTGAGGTCAGGAGTTCAAGACCAGCCTGGCCAACGTGGTAAAACCCCGTCTCTACTAAAAACACAAAAATTAGCCTGGCGTGGTGGTGTGTGCCTGTAATGCCAGCTACCTGGGAGGCTGAGGCAGGAGAATCACTGGAACCCGGGAGGCAGAGGCTGCAGTGAGCCAAGATGGTGCCACTGCACTCCAGCCTGGGCCAAAGAGTCAGACTCCATCTCAAAAAAAAAAAAAAAAAAAAAGTTGGTTTTAGAATTATTTTTAAATTCTCCACAGACAATACACCTTCTTATTACCTGCACCTGGAACAACCATCCCCACTCCCTGCCCATGGTAAGCTGCAGCCTGTGTGTCCTATGTGGGTAAACAGTCCAGCTCTACCAGATTGTAAATGGGGTTGGGGGGTCGGGGTAGAGGGCATGGCGAGTAAGGATTATTTTTCGCATAATAACAGTTTTATGCAGCATGGTTTTGTACAAGAGAAGTGTTTTCTAAATATTTGGCAAATAAATGAATAATTGAATTTGAGTAATAATGAAGAAAATATAAGCAGGAATTTTACAAGAAGACCTTTAGTTTAAACAAGAAGAAAGCAAGCCAGGCACGGTGGCTCATGCCTGTAATCCCAGCACTTTGGGAGGCTGAGGTGGGTGGATCACCTGATGTCAGGAGTTCAAGACCAGCCTGGCCAACATGGTGAAACCCCATCTCTACTAAATATACAAAAAAATAGCTGGGCATGGTGGTGGATGCCTGCAATCCCACCTACTTGGGAGGCTGAGGCAGGAGAATCACTTGAACCCGGGAGGCAGAGGTTGCAGTGAGCCAAGATTGTGCCACTGCACTCCAGCCTGGGTGACAGGGCAAGACTCCGTCTCAAAAAAAAAAAAAAAAAAAGAAGAAGAAGAAGGCATTCCTAATTACCCTGGTTGTAAGATAATACAAAACAGGAAATGACAGCATCATTAGAGATTTAAGGTTTCTTAACTTTTTACGTCTAGGACAGGTTTTGGAAGTCTGGTGAAGTCTGTGGAGTGTCAGAATAATCTTCAACTGCATAAAGTAAAATAAATGGGATTACAAAGGAAAACAATCATATTGAAGTACAGTTGTCAAAATGAAACAAAATGTGTAAGAAGAAGATCTAGTGGTGAGTCTAACCACTACCACTAACTACAAAGTAACCGTGAGCATACATGACATTTTGAAATTTCTGCAACTACTGGAAGATGACACAAATGTGTAAATTCTATTAACAACAGTCACATGTACTACAAATACCGGTGTAGGTTTATTGCCTACATTTATCATTGGAGAAAATGCTAAATTTCAGTTAGAGATTAGTGAAAATGAAATGTAATTTTCTCCTATTTTTGTTTGCCCTTTGGGATCCTGGATGAAGAGCCCTGCATTACACTGGGCACAGTGGCTCATGCCTGCAATCCCAGCTACTAAGGAGGCTGAGGTAGGAGGATCGCTGGAGCCTAGGAAGTTGAGGCTACAGTGAGCCGTGATCGTGCCACTCACTGCACTCCAGCCTCGGCAATAGAGCGAAACCCAGAAAGAAGAAAGAAAAGAAAAGAGAGAGAGAAGGAAGGAAGGAGAAAGAAAGAGAAGAAAGAAGAAAGGAGGGAGGGAGGGAAGGAGGGAGGAAGGAAGGAAGGAAAGAAGGAAAGAAGGAAGGAAGGAAAGAAGGAAAGAAGGAAAGAAAAGAATGAAAGGCCAGGCACGGCAGCTTACTCCTGTAATCCCAGCACTTTGGGAGGCCAAGGCAGGTGGATCACCTGAGGTTGGGAGTTTGAGACGAGCCTGACCAACAAGGAGAAACCCCATCTCTACTAAAAATACAAAATTAGCTGGGCATGGTGGCACATGCCTGTAATCCCAGCTACTCGGGAGGCTGAGGCACGAGAATTGCTTGGCCCAGGGAGGTGGCAGTTGTGGTGAGCTGAGATCGTGCCGTTGCACTCTAGCCTGGGCAACAAGAGTGAAACTCCGTCTCAAAAAAAAAAAGAAAGAAAGAAAAGAAAAGAAAAGAAAGAAAGAAAGAAAGAAAGAAAGAAAGAAAGAAAGAAAGAAAGAAAGAAAGAAGAAAGAAAGAAAGAAAGAAAGAAAGAAGGAAAATAGCTCTGCATGAGAGCCAGTGATGTCTCAGAGTGGGAAGGAAGCCAGGTCAACATGTTGCCCCTACCAACAAGCCCTTAGGTTGACAGGAGGTGCCTCTCCCAGCTTTACATTCAGAGCCAACCTCCCCAGGAGGCTCTTTTCCATCCTAAGCCTTGTTTCAGGGATCAGGGAGTGGCAACTCTCCACATGCCTGCATGCTTCCATCTGAACCAATGTTGAAGGCTCTTCTACTATTCAAAGCCCCTAAGGATGTAACATTTGGAGAAAATATGCTAAAAAGACCTGGTACTCAGAGACAATTTTCTCCAAATGTTTGAATGGGAGCATCAAATGAGTCCCCAGCCTTGAAGGTTGGGTTGGTCTGGGGAGGAAAACTAATTGTCCTTTCAGCTCAGCTATATCATCAGTCCCAAGGCAGACGTTCAGAAGATTCTTTTCTAGTTCATAGGGAAAATGACACTTAATCCTATGAGAGCCCCAAAGGCAGAGGACATGGGATGTGGTATCAGGAACCTGGAAGACATGCTTTTGCAATGGGGTACACAGCACTTAAGTGAGGGAAACCACCAGGAAGTGGCACTGGCCCTGGAATTCCCTTCATGTCACACAGGGACAGAGAGGAAACTAACATTTTCTAAGGACTTATTCCATACCAGGGGCTGCACATTCTGTGTCTTATATCTATTACAAACTGTTTCTTCATAAGGCAGGTGATTTGTTTTTCTTTTCTTCTTTTCTTTCTTTTTTTTTTTTTTTTTTGAGACAGGGTCTCCCTCTGTCACCTGGGCTGGAGTCTAGTGGTGCCATCTCGGCTCACTGCAACCTCTGCCTCCCCAAGCAATCCTCCTGCCTCTCAGCCTCCGGAGTAGCTGGGATTACTGGCATGCACCACCACACCCAGCTAATTTTTGTATTTTTGGTAGAGACAGAGTTTCGCCATGTTGCTCAGGCTAGTCTCGAACTCCTGTGCTCAAGTGATCTGCCCACCTCAGCCTCCCAAAGTGCTAGGATTACAGGCGTGGACCACCATGCCCTGCCTGTTTTGTGATCTGCCCGCCTCGGCCTCCCAAAGTGCTGGGATTACAGGCATGAGCCACCACGCCTGGCTAGTGCCTGTATGTGTGTATGTGTGTGTGTATGTATGTATATATATATATATATATATATATATATATATATATATATATATATATATTTTTTTTTTTTTTTTTTTTTTTTTTTTTTGAGACAGAATCTTGCTCTTTTGCCCAGACTGGAGTGAAATGGTGTGATCTTGGCTCACTGCCAACTTCTGCCCCCTGAGTTCAAGCAATTCTCCTGCCTCAGCCTCCCAAGTAGTTGGGATTACAGGCACCTGCCACCATGCCTGGCTAATTTTTGTATTTTTAGTAGGGACAGGGTTTTGCCATGTTGGCCAGGCTGGTCTCAAATTCCTGACCTCAGGTGATCCACCTGCCTCAGCCTCCCAAGTAGTTGGGATTACAGGCGCCTGCCACCATGCCTGGCTAATTTTTTTATTTTTAGTAGAGACACGGTTTTGCCATGTTGGCCAGGCTGGTCTCAAATTCCTGACCTCAGGTGATCCACCTGCCTCAGCCTCCCAAAGTGTTAGGATTACAGGCGTGAGCCACCGCACCCAGCCTTTTCATATATATATATATATATATATACTTTTTTTTTTGAGACAGAGTTTCGCTCTTGTTGCCCAGGCTGGAGTGCAATGGCGCAATCTTGGCTCACCACAACCTCCTCTGGGTTAGGGCAATTCTCCTGCCTCAGCCTCTCGAGTAGCTGAGATTACAGGTATGTGCCACCATGCCTAGCTGATTTTTTATATTTTTAGTAGAGATGGGGTTTCTCCATGTTGGTCAGGCTGGTCTTGAACTCCAAAACCGCAGGTGATCCGCCCACCTCAGCCTCCCAAAGTGCTGGGATTACAGGCGTGAGCCACCGCGCAGGGCCTCTTTTCATATATTTTTAACTAAATTAATAAAACAGCTGGGGCAGTGGCTCATGCCTGTAATTCCAACACTTTGGGAGGCCGAGGTAGGAGATCACTTGAGCTCAGGAGTTCAAGACCAGCCTGGGCAACATGGTGAAACCTCGTTTACCAAAAAATACAAAAATTAGCCAGGTGTGGTGGCACATGACTGTAGTCCCAGCTATCCCAGAGGCTGAGGTGGGAGGATTGCTTAAATCCATGAGGTCGAGGCTGCAGTAAACTGTGATCATGCCACTGCATTCCAGCCTGGGTAACTGAGCAAGACTCTGTCTCAAAAAACTAAAAACTAGGCAGGCGTGGTGGCTCATGCCTGTAATCCCAGCACTTTGGGAGGCCGAGGCAGGCAGATCACATGAGGCCAGGAGTTTGAGACCAGCCCAGCCAACATGGCAAACATGTATTTCAGTGTCTACTGAAAATACAAAAATTAGCTGGATGTGGTGGTGCGTGCCAGTAATCCCAGCTACTCAGTAGGCTAAGCCAGGGGAATCGCTTGAACCCGGGAGGCAGAGGTTGCAGTGAGCCGAGATGGTGCCTCTGCACTCCAGCCTGGGCAACAGAGCGAGACCCTGTCTCAAAAACACAAACAAATAAAGAAAACTCCAAAAAACTGAAAAGTAAATAAATAAATAAAACAAAACAAAATGTGGAAGCAATAGCAAAGGCTTGACCTTGCTCCAAAATCACAGGTTTTTTTTAAGCTGTGTTCTTATAAACTTCCAAATGAGATGAAGATAAA
Organism: Homo sapiens; assembly: GCF_000001405.40. Taxonomy (NCBI): domain Eukaryota; kingdom Metazoa; phylum Chordata; class Mammalia; order Primates; family Hominidae; genus Homo; species Homo sapiens. The sequence goes on from NC_000006.12 coordinate 33,245,854, forward strand.
CTTCTGCTGAGAGGGGCATGGTCATGACTTACAGTTTGGGCAGGACAAAGTATTTTCCATCACACACACACACACACACACACACACACACACACACACACTCACCTTCACACATACGGTGTTATTTCTACTAAGTTGTACTTGATTCTTCTCCAGTGGCTCTGTCTGGAGTTTATTTAATGTTACTAGTTTGCCAATGAATAGACTAAGACAATAAGCAATTTTGCTTTTATTTCTTTATTTTAAAAAACTGCTTGTTAGTCTTATGAGAAAACAAAGTGAAGAATAAAGGTAACTACTGCATGTACCACAGTAGCGAGAGAAAAAAGAGTGTCAATTAATCTAATTGATAGTCAGAGGATTGCATGGCTATTAGTGATGGAGTCGGGATTTGGGCACGTGTACATTTGTTGGATTTTGCAGCCTGGCATCTATATCCCATTTGTCTGGTGGCAAGATCCCATTTTTGCGTTGGGGCCATTATCCTCCAACATTGGGTAGTCTATGGTACTATTCCTCAAGGGACCCTCCCCTTCCTCAGATGAGTGTGAGCACCTGACCCACCCTAAGCCTATTGGAGTTCTCTCTTTTTGATCCAAAGTAGAAGCACTGACCATTGGTGTCTGCTGCCTGGATGCTGGAACTATCCTGGCTTCTGTCCTTTCCAAAGACCGCCTGTTCAGCTTTTCCTTCAGTTCTGTAAATATTTTTTCAATAATTTACTATTACTTATTAATCTGTTGCTTCTCTACAACCGGCTGCCTCCTCAGCTCCATGACTCCCAGCCTGGAGTCATAGAACAAAAGCTGAATGTGGGCACAGAAGGTTCAGCCACTGAGTGCCTATATGGTTTTGAACTCATTATTTGAAATTCAAGCTCATTACCTGAAACAGGAAGAACACCTCCTCATAAGGCTGGTATGTGAATTCAATTAGATGAAATATGTGCTCTCCGAGATCAAGGACTTTGATTTAGTCTCTGCTGAATCCGCAGTGCCTATCACAGAACACAGAGAAGAGCTTCAATAAATGTGTTGGTTTAATGACAACTGCTTCTGAAAACACTTTGTTAACGCTAGTACGTAACATGAATAGCTGTGTCCATTATGTCCAGGGTGAAGTCAGCCAATTTCGATTCTCCTCTCCTTAAAGTTTTGTCTTGCTTTCTCTTTCTTTCCTTGAATCTTCACACTAAATCTACTTTGTTTTTTAATTTTTTAAAAAGAGATAGGGTCTCACTCTGTCACCCAGGCTGGAGTGCAGTAGTGCAATCATAGCTCACTGCAATCTCTAACTCCTGTTCTCAAGCAATCCTCCTGCCTCAGCCTCACAACTAGCTGGGACCACAGGCATGGGCCACCATGCTTGGCTTTTTGCTTTTTTTTTTTTTTTTTTTTGGTAGAGATGGGTCTCCCTATGTTGCCCAGGCTAGTCTCAAACTCCTGTGCTCAAGATCCTCTGGCCTCTGCCTTCCAAAAGGATTACAGGCATGAGTCACCACCCTGGGCCTCTGACTACTTTATTTTAAAGCCCAGCCAATTTATATCTTTTTATTATTATTATTATTATTATTTTTGAGACAGAGTCTCACTGTCACCCAGGCTGGAGTGCAGTGGCCATCTCGGCTCATTACAACCTCCGCCTCCCAGGTTCAAGCGACTCTCCTGACTCAGCCACCCTAGTAGCTGGGATTATAGGCAGGCACCACCACGCCAGGCTAATTTTTGTATTTTTAGTAGAGATGGGTTTTCGCCATATTGGCCAGGCTGGTCTAGAACTCCTGGCCTTAAGGGATCTTCCCGCCTCGGCTTCCCAAAGTTCTGGGATCCCAGGTGTCAGCCACCTCGCCAGGCTGCTTGATATCTTAAAATCAGAAAAGCCACCCATCTTAAGTGGAGGGTGGGTGGGTCCATATTTACAGGAATGGAAGAAAGGAGGATGTTCCCTCTCTTTTGTCCACGTTCAGCAGCTCTGAAATTAATGCCAAGGCGAGCAAACGCCCGCCCCCCACCCCCTGCCGCCCTCGCCTTATGCCGAGACTTTGCTGTTGAACACGAAGTAAACGTTTCCCAGAAAGCCCAGTTTAAGAAACAATTCAGGGCGAGGTGAGGGCACAAAGGTAGAGAAATAAGGGGAAATGATATTTCTTTAAAGAACAGAGATCCCTGAATAGCACCGGGGGCCGTTACAGCCCATGAGGACATCTCCGAGTCCTTCTATATGACACTAGGGACCCCCGTGCCATATACAGACACTGTTCTCAGAGATTAGGAGGGGGAAAGAGGATATTGCCACAGTTCTGTCCTTCGAAATGACTCCAGATGCTTCTGAGTCTGTGAGGCCCCTGTGTCCGTCATCAGCAAAACAAGTGAGGGAGAAGTTTGAGGAGTGATGACCCTAGCAGTTATGGGTTTAAGCCTGGGAATCTTAAGCCACAGAGCAGAGGATTTGGGGGCTGAAGAAAAAGACCCTCCGCAGCTTCAGCGCGAAGAGGGCGGCGGGGACCGGGGTGGTGGGGGTGGAACCTCGCCGCCTTCCGAAGCAGGAGTAAGCTGCAGAGGCTGCGCGGGGGTTTGAGCGGAGCGAGAACAGCTCCTTCCCTTGATCATGCTGCCCTCCGGAGGTCAGTTTAGGTATCGCCGCTCCCTTTCACGCTGTTTTGTCTCTTCACCGTCTGTTCTGGATCATCCTGTCCAGAGAGACCGTTGGGTCAGAGGGTTCCTGTGGACCCCTGGGGCGAGCTTAATGTCCCCGAAAACTGCGTGCTCCAGTATCACTTGAATGCCCACCGGGTTCCGGAATCACGAGTCTCCAGAGCTGTCCCTTCGCCCCACGGCTCACATTCCAGGTCTGCCCCTCAGTGACTTCTGCAACAACACGCGCTTCTCGATCAGCTCTGAGGATTTGGGTTCTGCGACGGACAGGGGAAGGAAAGAAGGAAGGCTGTGAAGAACCGTGGTGCCTGCCTGCACAGCCCTCCTCGCGTGCGAGCATTAGTTGGCTAAAGTCGCCTGTCTCGACAGTCTCCCCTGCGGGGTATCTGGGGACCCTTTCTTTGGGAATCCACGCTCTTTGTCAGAGTAGCCAATGCCTCTCCTGTCCAAAATCTCATACCCTTGGCCCTTCTCCCGTCCTCGCGCTGAGGCTGGAGTCAGGTCAAATGTCAGAACATCTGGATGTCCCAAGAGTGACACCTGGGAGTGGGTGGGCAAGAAACCAGTAGCGGGAAGGGAAAGTGGAGGAGCAGAGGATTCCCGGGGCCGGCGTCTGGGGTGAGCTCGCGGCCCCTCAGAGCCTGGCACATCGCCGCCTGGCATCCGGCAGGCGTGAGGGAACGCATAGCGCAGCGAGTCAGGCGGGGTAAACCCGGAGCAACGCGGAGGCGGTGATCTGGGCAAGGGCGAGGTCAGTTAAGGACGCAGTTCTGGCCCCGCCCTCAAGGCACGCCTGGCCAATCAGGAATCGCTGATTCACCAAGCCTCTCCTCCTGCGCTCGCCCTCTTCTGCACTTCGGTCTCAGGCGCAAACACGTTCAAAGTCGCTAGGCCAAAGCGCTGAGATACGGTTTCCCAAGCCAATTAGAGAGCGGCTCTCGGATATGGGGCGGAACCCTGAAAAGGCGAGAGCTGAGATGCCGCTCCGTTCTGCCTTACCACGCCGCCCCCCAGCGTCCGCCAATTAGGAGAGCCCGGAGCCGGATCCACTCTCAGCCTCAGGAAGCAGCAGCCTCCGCTCCGCGGCGGGTGTGCTCGGCAGTCACAGACCCACTCAGGACACCTCCCGTTGCCGACGGGCTAGACCTGCATCCGAAGGGCCTAAGCGGGGAGGAACCGCTTTCCACCACTCTCCAGGGACCTGGGGAGGGAATGTTTAGGCCGTAGGGGTGGAGGACACAGGAAACGTAACATTTTTCCTTAACTGCGCCTCTCTTCTTAGGCCTTAAAGGGGTCCCCGTGTCTCTCCAGTCTAGAGCCTAAGTTCAAACGAGGCGTATAGGCGAGGACAGCAGGAAGGCTCCAAGTCAAACAAACGGATGGTACGAATTTCGCCTGGTCTAGCCCTGCCCCAACGGTGTGGGTGTGGGTTGGGTGCTGCAGCCCCCGAGCAAGGGGCTGTCACAGCCACAACCAGAGGAGCTATGGAGCTGCTACGGAGGAGGGATTCCAGAGTCAGCTTGGGCTTGTCCCAAGGGAGCCCTTGGGACAGTGTCTGGGGCTGCGCGGCCTGGTTCTCATCCCTTGCAGCATCTGCTATTTTAGCCAGGGGCCACCTTCCTCCAATGGCCTGGGAGTAGCTAGAGGTTAGAGGTTACACCCACCAGAAGGGATGTAAGCCCAGGAAGTAGTCAGAAAGGAAAGGTCATTCTAGAGATGGGGCCACCTGAAAAACCTTCAGGAGGAAGGAGAAAGGAAATGGGATAAGTGTCATGTCATACTAAATATTTATTTTCTGCAGACTGACTTCGGAGTAATTCTTGAGCCAGGAGGGGAGAGGTTAGTGTTCAAATTGCTGAGATCTTAGGTCAAAAAGCTACAGAAAAGAAATCACTTTGAAAAACACAATGACTCAGAGGCAGTCACCCCTTGCCAGCAATTCCAAGAGCTGAGGAGGCTTCATGCCTCAGGACATGGTGACTAGTTGAGTGAACCAGAGATTGAGGCAGTGGTTTTTACAGGGGAAGAAACAAGCCTTGGGTGTATGGGAGCAGGAAAGGAGGGTGACAGACTGGAGAAATGATAAAGGCCATTTTGGAAGCCCACAGGGAAGTGGTCTTGGGAAACCTGAAGACACTGGGATATTCAGAAGGCCAAGGGGATCCAGCTTATCCTGTTGGGCAAGGTGCTGGGAGTGAAGGCAGGTAAGCCATGTCAAGGGCCTGGGAAGCAAGGGGAAAACTGGAAGGGGTACCCCAGGTGAAGAAGGGTATGGAATGGGGTGCAGAAGTCCATGGAGATGACCGGCAGATCTCAGGGCGGTTTCTGGCACATCAGAAGTTGGGCTTATGCTTCTTGAGCTCCACCATAAGGTGGTGAATGTTGATGAGCTCAGCCCGGGCAGGGAGGGCTCGGAGCTGCGGCTGGGACAGCACCCGGTGGAAGCGATGATAGAGCTGGATCAGCTGGGTCAGCGCTCCCTGGTCAAAGAAAGTCATTGAGGGATCAAACCGTAAAATGGTGCTAATAGTGATGATTAAGAATCAGGTTAGGCGGCCAGGCGCAGTGGCTCACACTTGTAATCCCAGCACTGTGGGAGGCCATGGCGGGCAGATCACGAGGTCAGGAATTCGAGACCAGCCTGGCCAACACAGTGAAACCCCATCTCTACTACAAATACGAAAATTAGCTGGTTGTGGTGGCAGGCACCTGTAATCCCAGCTACTTGGGAGGCTGAGGCAGGAAAATCACTTGAACCTGGGAGGCAGAGGTTGCAGTGAGCCGAGACTGTGCCACTGCACTCCAGCCTGGACAACAGAGCTAGACTCTGTCTCAAAAAAAAAACAAAACAAACAAAAAAAAAAGAATCAGGTTAGGGCTCATACAGAACTTTGGGCACAGCTAGTAACTGAAGACCAAGGGTCACTTAGATGATGCTGAGCCCAGCAAAAAGATGGGGAAAATAATTAATGATGGGGGATCTGAGTGGGGCCTGGGACTTGCAGGTCACCTGAATGATACTGGTGCCATTTCTGAAGTTGGTGAAACTCCGCATTACATCCTGACTCAGAGATTCCACTGATGATTTCCAGGAACTACCAAAGCCACGGATCAGCTGAGTTACCCGGGCTAATAGCAGGAGGAAACAGTGTCAGAGAGGGATCTGGCTGATCTTCAACTCCACTAAGTTCTCCCCAAGGTATAGCCATCCTTATCATCAAACCCTCTTTTCTGGTATTCTCTCAATCCAGTCTTTCATACTCTATTCCCCCACCATGTAATCTGCATCCTTTCATTTTTCTTTTCCACTTCCCTTACCACTGATCCCATCATTACCATATTTTCCTCATACCTTCTTCCCCTCGAAGTCGCTCAGCCTGTCCACGCTCAATCAAAGCCTCAGCCTCCTTCACAAATGCCACTAAACCCCCAAAAGGGGGAGACAGCAACTCTTCAATGAATTCCTGGAAAGACACAAACACATATACACAGGTGTCCTGGTGTCAGCAGATTTGCCCAATTCTGGCATCATGACTAATGTAGATCCATCTGAATGGCATCTTTCAGCTGCTGCAAAAGTTAAGGAAAATCCTCTATGGAGAAAAATATCCTCAATCCTAATTTTGGCCCATACAGTTCCCCTGGTTAAGATCAAACAATGAACTCAAAGATCACTAGACACAAAAGAAGGGCAGCTACCAAGAGAGTCAGCAGACACAATAAGCAATAGCTGCTGACCTTAAGAACTATCCGATACGGATAGCAGTTGTACTGTGTGCAATGTCTAAAGTTAAGGATAGGCCGGGCACAGTGGCTCACGCCTGTAATCCCAGCACTTTGGGAGGCTGAGGTGGGCAGATCACCTGAGGTCAGGAGTTCAAGACCAGCCTGGCCAACATGATGAAACCCCATCTCTACTAAAAATACAAAAATTAGCTGGGCATGATGGTGGATGCCTATAATCCCAGCTACTCGGGAGACTGAGGCAAGAGAATCACTTGAACTTGGGAGGCGGAGGTTGCAGTGAGCAGAGATCATGCCACTGCACTCCAGCCTGGATGACAGAGCAAGACTCCGTCTCAAAAAAAAAAAAAAAAAAAAAGGATGTAAAAATGACCAATTAGTAAGAACTATGAGGAATGAACAGACTTGAAAAAAGGAAATTTTTTTAGATATGAAAAGCCAGTTTTAGAAAGTCAACAGATTAACAAGAATTATACAATGAATTAGAATTTATAACTGAAGAAAGGACTCAGAATGTAGCACAGACAGAAGATGGAAAATTTTGAGATAGTAGGAGATACAGAAATCTAATTAATGTATCTAGGCACTGAAATTGATGGCTACTAACATCACAAAGAGAGCCAAGAAGACATTATGTGCTTCCTGATGGAAATACATACCACTACCTCTCAAATATCCCTGTAGAAAAAAAAAAACTAATTTAAATCTGACCAAGCCTTTCCATCTAATTACACACTTATGAGAAATACACCAGACAGAGGAAGTTTGGCCACACCATGGAATGCAGTCAGCAAAATCTAAACTGTACATCATTCTAGATGACAAATGACTCAATAACTCAGTTTCTTCCAAAAATAAATTGCAGAGGAGATGGAAGGGAAATCTATAGACTAAAAAAAGACACATATATGGACTTTATATGGATCCTGATTTGAACCATAAAAATCATTTATGAAGGCCAGGCACAGTGGCTCATGCCTGTAATCCCAGCATTTTGGGAGGCTGAGGCGGGTAGATCACCTGAGGTCAGGAGTTTGAGACCAGCCTGGCCAACATGGTGAAATCCTGTCTCTACTAAAAATACAAAAATTAGCTGGGCGTGGTGGTGGGTGTCTATAATCCCAGCTACTCAGGAGACTGAGGCAGGAGAATTGCTTGAACCCGGGAGGCAGATGTTGGAGTGTGCCAAGATCGGGCCATTGCACTCCAGCCTGGAGGCAACAAGAGTGAAACTGTGTCTCAAAAAAAAAAAAAAAAAAATCACTTATGAAATAACTGGGAAAATCTGAATAGTTATTTTAGATAAGATAATTTTTTTAAGTGTGATAATGTATTGTAGTTTTTAAAACCATCTGTTACCAGGTGTGGTGGCACACACCTGTAGTCCCAGTTACTTAGGAGGCTGAGGTGGGAGGATCACTTGAGCCCAGGAGTTCGAGGCTGCAGGGAGTTATATCATGCTACTACACTCCAGCCTGGGCACTACAGCAAGGCCCTATCTCAAAAATAATTTTCTTAATAAAAATAACATTCTGATACAGATGAAGTGATAATATTCATCTGTATATGTATAAGATTTAATTCAAAGTAACTGGGGGACACAGAAGGAGGATAAGCAATAGGTGTTGGTATAGATGAAACAAAACTGTCCGTGAACTGCTATACACCGAATATCACTGATGATGCCTGGGGGTTCACTATGCTTTTCTAATAGCATAGTGAAATTTCCCATAATAAAATGTTAATTTTTGTTTAATGTAAAAGGGAGATTCAAACAAAAAAACTCATAAAAGCAAACAACCCAGACAGAAAGATCTGGTAAGAAGAAAGTGAAATTATTATTCCATTTAAAAATAAATTATTAATACTAAAATTAGCCAGGTGTGGTGGTGCATGCCTGTAACCCCAGCTACTCAGGGAGACTGAAGCAGAAGAATCACTTGAACCGGGAGGCAGAGGTTGTAGTGAGCCAAGATCATGTCACTGCACTCCAGCCTGGGCGACAGAGCAGCAACTTGTCTCAGTAAATAAATAAATAAATAAATAAATAAAAATTGTATCTTTTCTATTCTTCCCTCAAAATATTCACTTATATCCACTGAGGGTGTCAAATAACTAATATGCTGCAAGGAAGGATCTTTCTATAATCAAGGCATCTTTGTGATGTGATTTTGGACAGAGATTAAATAACCAAATTCAACCTATTACAGTTGCCTAAATGCAGTCTCACACACACATATACAAACAATAATGTAGCAGTGTACGGTGGGGCACAGGGAGTAGACTTGCCAAAGAAAAGTTGAACTAACAGTGATGACCCCTGCTAGGCAGGAGCCATAAATTATATAATGTGTTGTAAGCATGATATATACACCTGATTTTGAAGACTTCATCTTAGAATAAATTTTAAGTATATCTTTTTTTTCTTTTTTTTTTTCGGAAACAGGGTCTTGCTCCATCACCCACGCTGGAGTGCAGTGGCACAATCACAGCTCACTACAACCTCAACTTTCCTGGCTCAGTGATTATCCCACCTCAGCCTCCTGAGTAGCTGGGACTAACAGGCATGTGCCAACATGTCCCACTCATTTTTTTTTTATTTTTTGTAGAGATGGGGTTTCACCATGTTGTCCAGGCTGGTCTCAAACTCCTGGGCTCAAGCGATCCTCCCTGCCTTGGCCTGTGCTGGGATTACAGGTGTGAGCCACCGTGCTGGCCTCAGTACTATTTTTTATTGATTATATGTTGAAATAATAATATTTTGGATGTAGTGGTTTAAAAAATTATTTCATCTGTTTCTCCTTACTTTTTAATGTAGCTTCTAGAAAATTTAAAATTATTTAAGTGGCTCACATTTGTGGCATGCATTATATTCCTATAGGAGTACTGGTCTGGACTTAGATGAACTTTAAGCTTTCTATAACGCAAAAGAGAACACCTTGATAGCAGAGGAGTGACCAGAGGAAACAGTGCACTGGGCTTTAACAATCTTTCCTACGTAGTATGAAGCAGCAGCTGACCAAAAAGGACCAGAAGCATTGATGGCAGCTGGCGAGTCTCTATACCTGGCAAATCCAGTGACAAATCCCAGCTGCTCTCAGCAGAAACAACTGGTTTAAGTGCATCTTTGTGGGTGCCTTAATCTCCTGCAATGATCCCGCCTCAGCCTCCCAAGCAGCTAGAACTACAAATGCATGCCACTACGCCTGGCTTTTTTTTTTTTTTTTTTTTTTTTTTAAAGAAATGGGGTCTTAGCCGGGCATGGTGGCTAACACCTGTAATCCCAGCACTTTGGGAGGCCAAGGCGGGCAGATGACGAGGTCAGATCAAGACCATCCTGGCTAACATGGTGAAACCCCCCGTCTCTACTAAAAATACAAAATACAAAAAAAATACCGGGCATGGTGCTGGGCACCTGTAGTCTCAGCTACTCGGGAGGCTGAGGCAGGAAGAATGGCATGAACCCGGGAGGCGGAGCTTGCAGTGAGCTGAGATTGCACCACTGCACCACTCCAGCCTGGGAGACAGAGGGAGACTCTGTCTAAAAAAAAAAAAAAAAAAAAGAAATGGAGTCTCACTATGTTGCCCAGGCAGATCCCCTCAAACTCTCAAACTCCTGGGCTCAAGAGATTCTCCCATCTCAGCATCCCAAAGTGCTGGGATTACAGGCATGAGCCACAGCACCAGCAACAATTCTTTCAAAATCAGGAATATGAAAAGGGTTCTCACTATCACCTTTCTGTTCAACTTCTAAACATCATCCTGGGAGTGTTAGCCAGTAGAATAAGAAATCAAAAACATAAGATGTTAAAGACAAAAAACTAGAAAAGATTTATTTATTCCTAGTAGAACTAAACATACGTATTATACCCACCTAAAAATATGGCAAACGACTTACAGTGTCTTTGTGCTGAAAATTTAAAAAGGTTATCAAAAGACATTAAAAGACTCTCTTAAAAATTGGAGGAGGAGGCCAGGTGGAGTGGCTCACATCTGTAATCCCAGTTTAGTGAGACACTACAAAAAATTAAATTTTTAAATTTTGTATTCTCTACAGAAAAAAAAAAGCCAAGTGTGGTGCTGTGTGCCTCTAGTCCTAGCTACTCGGGAGGCTGAGACAAGAGAAGCACTTGAACCCAGGAATTCAAGGCTGCAGTGAGCTATGATTGTGCCACTGCACTCCAACCTGAGTGACAGAGCAAAACCTGTCTCAAAAAAAAAAAAAAAAAAAAAAAAAAAAAAAAAAAAAAAAGGATAGGGAGCCCATGATCATGATCATGGATAGGAAGTTTCAATATCATAAAGTATCAATTCTTCCAAATTAGTCTATAGACAATGTAATTCTAATCAAAATCCTTAAAGACTTTTTAAAATGTGAAAACTTTTCGAGACCAGCCTAGCCAACACGGTGAAACCCCATCTCTACTAAAAATACAAAAATTAGCTGGGTGTGGTGGCACATGCCTGTAATCCTAGCTACTCAGGAGGCTGAGGCAGGAGAATCACTTGAACCCAGGAGGCAGAGGTTGCAGTGCGCTGAGATTGTGGCCCTGCACTCCAGCCTGGGTGACAAGAGTGAGACTCTGTCTAAAAAAAAAAAAAAAGAAAAGAAAAAAAAAGAAAAGAAAAAGATTTTCTATAAATGGTTCTGGGCCAACCATCCACATAAAAAAAAGAAATAGATCCCTACCTCACATCACACACAAAAATTAATTCCAAGTAAATTTGAGACTTAAAGGTAACAAAAAAATTCTCTCTATATATTTGTTTATTCTTTAATTTTATTATTATTTTTTGAGACAGGGTCTCACTCTGTTGCCCAGGCTGGAGTGCAGCAGCACAAACAGGGCTCACTGCAGCCTCGACCTCCCAGGCTCAAGTGATCCTCCCACCTCAGCTACCTGAGTAGCAGAGACTACAGGTGTGTGCCACTATGCTTGGCTAATATATTTTTTTAATTTTTTGTAGAGATGAGGTCTCACTATACTGCCTAGGCTGGTCTCAAACTCCTGGCTTCAAGCAATCTTCCTGCCTTGGCCTCCCAAAGTGCTGGGATTACAGGCTTTAGCCACTGCACCTGGCCAAAATTCTACAATATTAAGAAGAAAATGTAGCATAATATTTTTCTGGCCTTGGAGTAATAAGGAATTTCATTTTTTTTTTTTTTAAACGGAGTCTCACTCTATCACCAGTCTGGAGTGCAGTGGCACGATCTTGGCTCACTGCATCCTCCACCTCCCTGGTTCAAGTGATTCTCCTGCCTCAGCCTCATGAGTAGCTAGGACTACAGGTACGCATCACCACGCCCAGCTAATTTTTTTGTATTTTTAGTAGAGACGAGGTTTCACCATGTTGGCCAGGATGGTCTCGATCCCGTGACCTCGTAATCCACCCGCCTCAGCCTCCCAAAGTACTGGGATTACAGGCGTGAGCCACCACACCCAGCCCAGGAATTTCTTAAACAGGACAAAAATAGTCAGGCGTGGTAGATGGTGGCTGTAAGCCCAGCACTTTGGGAGGCTGATGCGGGAGGATCACTTGAGGCCAGGAGTTTGAGACCAGCCTGGGCAACATAGTGAGACTCTGTCTCTACAAAACAACAACAACAACAAAAATTAGCTGGGCATATGGCACACACCTGTAGTCCTAGTTACTTGGGAGGCTGAGGGAGGAGGGTTGCCTGAGCCCAGGAGGTTGAGGCTACAGTGAGCCATGATCACACTACTGCATTCCAGCTTGGGTGACAGAGCAAGACTGTTACTAAAAACAAAGACATAAAAATGAAGGACAGATAAATTCAATCATATTAAAATTACAAATTTCTTTAATCAAAAAGCAACATTAAAAAAACAAAGGCTGGACGCGGTGGCTCATGCCTGTAATCCCAGCATTTTGGGAGGCTGAGGCGGATGGATCACCTGAGGTCAGGCGTTCAAGACTGGCCTGGCCAACATGGCAAAACCCATCTCTACTAAATATACAAAAATTAGCCGGGCGTGGTAGCACACGCCTGTAATCCCAGCTACTCAGGAGGCTGAGAAAGGATAAGTGCTTGAACCCGGGAGGCAGAGGTGCAGTGAGCTGAGATCACACCATTGCACTCCAGCCTCGGCAACATGAGTGAAACTCCATCTCAAAAAAAAAAAAAAAAAGGTGCAAGGATTTCTTGAGCCCAGGAGCCTGGGCAACACAGAAAGACCCTCATCTCACCAAAAAAAAAAAAAAAAGTAAAAAGATACATACTAAAAGATAATCTGTAACCTACGTATAATCAACAAGATTAGTATGTAGATGATGCAAAGAACTCTTATAAATAAAAAATACTAGCAGACTTATTTTTTTCTTTATTTTTTGAGAGAGTCACGCTCTGTAACTGAGGCTGGAGTGCAGTGGCATAATCTTGGCTCACTGCAACCTCCGCCTCCCAGGTTCAGCGCCCCTGAGGAGCTGGGACTACAGGCATGCGCCACTATGCCTGGTTAATTTTTGTACTTCTAGTAGAGACAGGGTTCTGCCATGCTGGCCAGGCTGGTCTTGAATTACTGGCCTCAACTGATCCATCCGCCTCAGCCTCCCAAAGTGCTGGGATTACAGGTGTACACCCTGCCCAGCCACAAGCCGATTTTTAAAAGGTCAAATGCTATGACAGCCATTTTACAGGAAAAAAAAAAATTGTATAGTTGTGGTGACGCTCCTCACACAGAGCACCAGCTTCAGGGAGTCTGTCCCTTGCAGACCCCTGACCCGGCAACGGATGAATGAGGTACACTGACACACAGATACTCTGCTTTGCCAGTCCAGCTGAGTGTGTCCAGGCTGTTTACAGACTCCCTGAAGAGTACTGTAAACAGTTGCAATGGCGGCCCTGACCAGCTAGTGAGACTCGCATTTATTCAGTAAAGATTAATTGACAAAGACTTGAGTCAACACCACTACGGGGTAACTGACATTGTGGACTTCCTGAGTAGAAAGCAGTTAAGCACCTGCGGTACATCAAAGATTAGTCTTAAGACCATATGAGTAAACAAGCTACCTAGATAACTTCCCCACATTCCTTTGTTATTACTCTAATTTATTTAACTAAAGGTAAAGATCAGGTCGCCTTCAACCATATCTATTACTGAAGTTATGCAAACTCTTAGGCCTTCCAAGAGGGTTTGTGGCTATCATCACTAATATTTTTCCCACCAGCCTGACTGAACCCCTACATATAGTTACTAAACATTTGAAATGATGCTCAATGTTATTAGTAATCAGAAAATTACAAATAAAACCCACTGAAATACAGGTTGAGTATCCCTAATCCAATAATCTGAAATCCAAAATGCTCCAAAATCCGGAAGTTTTTGAGTATCAACATGATGCTCAAAGGTAATGCTCTTTGGAGCATTTCAGATTTCAGATTTTCAGACTACAGATGCTAACCAGTAAAAATAATGCAAGGAATCCAAAATCCGAAAAAAATCAAAATCTGAAACATTTCTGATCCCGAGCATCTTTAGCAGCATCCTTGGTCTCTAAAAAAAAAAAGAAAAAAAATGGCAAAGACCTGATAATACCACATGTTGGAGAAAATGTGGCTCAGTAGGAATTCTTACATATTGCTGGTGAGAAGGAACTACTTAGGAAAACAATTTATCATTGTCTCATAAAGACTAATACTGCATATCTTATTAGCAGCAAGACTACTGTCCTAGGTTTATACCCAAGAGAAACTTTTGATGAAGATAATCAATATCTATGTGTGCTAAAAGACATGATTATTCATAAAACAATGCTCACAGAAGCAAGAAACTGGAAACAATCCATTTATAGAATATGTTTAATCACACAAGTCATATATGGCAGTGAAAAGGAATGAGCTATAGCCATATGCAATAACATGACAATATTAGAAAAATTATGCATGAAAAAAATCCTGTGATTCTGGGGTTTTTTGTTTTGTTTTGCTGTTTGAGACAGGGTCTTGCTGTGTTGCCAAGGGTAGACTACAATGTCATGATCATGGCTCGCTGTAATCTCGAACTCCTGGATTTCAAAGTGGTCCTCTCGCCTTTGTCTCCCAAATAGCTAGAACTACAGGTGCATACCACCATGCCTGGCTTTTTTTTTTTTCTTTTTTGCCTTGCTGTTTTCTTGCCTTGTCTCATCAGTGTTTATATCATTAAAAAATAAAACAACCCAGTGCAGTGGCTGTTTTGTTTTTTAATGATATAAACACTCACAAACACACCACACAATCCAAGTAGCAGCAGCTTGGCAAAAGTCACCATCAAACTATGAAATCCTACTGAAACCATCCCTGTGCTTCTCGTGCACAGGTACTCGTTGATCTAAATGTTGCATTTATTGTGTTCTTGCTTTTTTCCCCCTTTTTTTGTGTGTGTTCTTGCTTTTAAAAGTAAAGCTATATATATGCCAAAACAAAAATTCGTTGTTTTCCAGTGTCATTAAAAACAGAATCTAGGCCGGGTGCAGTGACTCATGCCTATAATCCCAGCACTTTGGGAGGCTGAGGCGGGTGAATCACCTGAGGTCAGGAGTTTTAAGACCAGCTGGGCCAACATGGTGAAACCCCATCTCTACTAAAAATACAAAAATTAGCTGGACATGGTGGCACGTGCCTGCAGTCCCAGCTACTCAGAGGCTGAGGCAGGAGAATCACTTAACCTGGGAGGCGGACGTTGCAGTGAGCTGACATCGTATCGCTGCACTCCAGTGTGGGAGTCAGAGTGAGACTCCGTCTTTAAAAAAAAAAAAGAATCATAAGATTTTTCACTTGAGGGCAGTAATTCAAGACCAGCCCAGGCAACAGTTGTCTTTTGTAAAGACAACTGTCTTTACAAAATTAAAAAATTAGCTGGCACACACCTACAGTAAACTCATTTTTGGTAAAAGTGCCAAGAACATACACTGGGGAAAAGATAGTCTCTTGGTCAGGCACGGTAGCTCACGCCTGTAATCCCAGCACTTGGGAGGCCCAGGTGGGAGGATCACTTGAAGTCAGGAGTTCAAGACAAGCCTGGCTAACATGGTGAAATCCCGTCTCTACTAAAAACACAAAAACTAGCCCGGCGTGGTGGCAGGCATCAGTAATCCCAACTATTCAGGAGGCTGAGGCAGGAGAATCACTTGAACCAAGGAGGCAGAGGTTGCAGTGAGCCAATACTGCACCACTGCACTCCAGCCTAGGTGACAGAGCAAGACTCCGTCTGAAAAAAAAAAAAAGAGAGATAGTCTCTTCAATAATGGTGCTGGGAAAACTGGCTATCCATTACACAGAAGAATGAAACTATACCCCTATCTCTCGCCACATATGAAAACCAAATCAAATGGATTAAAGACTTAAATCTAAGACCAAATTATGAAACTACTACAAGAAAACACTGGGGAAAATCTCCAAGACACGGGTCTGGGCAAAAATTTCTTGAGCCATACCCCACAAGCACAGGCAACCAAAGCAAAAATGGCCAAATGGGATCACGTCAAGTTACAAAGCTTCTGCACAGCTGGGCACGGTGGCTCACGCCTGTAATCCCAGCACTTTGGGAGACAGAGCTGGGCAGATCACCTGAGGTCAGGAGTTTGAGACCAGCCTGACCAACATGGTGAAACCCCATCTCTACTAAAAATACAAAATTAGCCAGGCATGGTGGCACATGCCTGTAATCACAGCTACTCAGGAGGCTGAGGCAGGAAAATTGCTTGAACCTGGGAGGCGGAGGTTGCGGTGAGCTGAGATCGCACCATCGCACTCCAGCCTGGACAACAAGAACAAAACTCCATCTCAAAAAAAAAAAAAAAAAAAAAAAAAGCTTCTGCACAGCTAAAGAAACAATAAAGTGAAGAGACAAAGAATATTTGCACATCCCATCTGCCAAGGGATTAATAACCAGAATATATAAGGGGCTCAAACAACTCTACATGACAGTCTAATAATCCTATTAAAAAATGGGCAAAAGATTTGAATAGATATTTTTCAAAAGAATACAAATGGCAAACAGACATATATGAAAAGGGGCTCACCATCACTATTATCAGAGAAATACAAATCAAAACTACAATGAGATCTCATCTCACTCCAGTCAGAATGGCTTTTATCCAAAAGACAGGCAATAGCAATGCTGGCAAGGATGTGGAGAAAAGGGAACCCTTATACACTGTTGGTGGGAATGTAGATTAGTACAAACACTTTGGAGAACAGTTTGAAGGTTGCTCAAAAAACTAAAAGTAGAGCTACCATATGATTCAGCAATCCCACTGCTGGGTATATACCCAAAAGAAAGGAAATCAGTACATTGAAGAGATATTTGCACTCCCATGTTTGTTGCAGTATTGTTCACAATAGCTAAGATTTGGAAGCAACCTAAGTGTCCATCAACAGATGAATGGGTAAAGAAAATGTGGGATATATACACAATGGAGTACTACTCAGCCATAAAAAAGAATGAGACTCAGTCATTTGCAACAACATGCATAGAATTGGAAATTATTATATTAAGTGAAATAAGCCAGGCACAGAAAGACAAACGTCATGTGTTCTCACTGATTCGTGGAATCTAAAAATCAAAACAATTGAACTCATGTACTCATGTACGAAGAGAGTAGAAGGATGGCTACCAGAGGCTGGGAAGGCTAGTGGAAGGCTGGGGAGAAGGTGGGGATGATTAATGGGTACAAACAAAAATAGGAAGAATAAATAAGACCTACTATTTGACAGCACAACAGGGTGACTATAGTCAATTATAACTTAATTGTACATTTTAAAATAACTTAGTGTAATCGGATTGTTTATAACACAAAGGATAAATGCTTGAGAGGATAGATAAAGAAAAAAATAAAATTCATTCTAAAAATAAAAAATTAGCTAGGCATGGTGGCTCGCACCTGTGGTCCCAGCTACCCAGGGGGCTAAGGTAGAAGGATCACTTAAGCCCAGGCTGTTGAGGCTGCAGTGAGCCATGTTCATGCCACTGCACTCCAGCCTGGGTGACAGAGTGACACTTTGCCTCAAAAAAAAAAAAAAAAAAAAACCAAAGACAAAATAAAATAAAATAGACCAATAATGACAGTATGTTGTGAATCAAGAGTTACAGTAATTCCGCATACCTGAGATCCATTATGCCACTCCCTACACACACACACACACACACACACACACACAGAGAGAGAGAGAGAGAGAGCTGAAAACAGCACAGAAGGCTGTCTCTTCCCTTTTCCCCACACCCCTACCTGTGTCCGAGCATTGAGCAGCTGCTGGAAGCTCTCAACCTCTTTGCTGTCATCTGCAGCCCGCTCCTAAGGGAAGACAAAGGGAAATGTCTAGTTTGGGGAAAGCAGTCCTTCACTTCAGGATGTCCCCTTCATTCCACACTTATTGTACTAAGCTGGACACTGTGCCAGACTCCAAGAGTAAAACACTGAACAAGACAGGCATCATCTCTGCCCTCACAGAGCTAACAGCAGTGGGGGAAACCGAATTTTCTGGGTAGGAAGGCAAGGAGAAGGAGCACCTATTACCATCAGCACACCCAGCATCATGTCATAGTTGTTGATCAGAAACACAAGCTGCTCCTTCCTTGAGGAGAACTCAGCTGCCACTCGGAGGACAAAATTCTCCACCTCCACCTGAAAAGGCAGAGAGGAAGAGGTGACACCAGAAAGCAAGGTCATCTGGGCCCCATCTGGCTCCTCCTCAGACTCCACCCACTGGAAGCAGCCCTGCTGCTGGGAAGTGTCTCCTGTCCGACCCTCACCTGCAGCTGTCCCAGCAATTGCATGGTCCGTTCATTAGGAATTGTCTGGTTGATACTGACAAGAGCGGAGGAGAACTCTGCATAGCGGCGTGTGATCTAGGAGAGAGTGGGAAGGAAAATCACACCCACCTCCTGGCCCAACCAACACAACCTCCCAACTTCCTTAGCCAACCCACCTCCATGTGATGTGACTCTACCTTCAGTCCCTCCTACCCACAGTGCACCACTCACCATGAGTTTCACCACCCTCCCAGAACACCTGCTCATAGCGTGGCCCATGACACAACTGTGACCTTGGCCAACCCCCACAATGATGCTTAGAGCCCTGCCTTTCAAGAACCCTTTGTTACCCTTGCCCTCCCTCACATAGTGGGGCCGAGTATCCAACCCCCCTAGGCGCTGGGGGTCAGTGCTTCGGACGCTCTGAACATTCATCTCCAGGATCAGTTCAAACCGTGGCCATAGCAAGGCAAGCACCTGTTCCCAGTACCTGTGGGCTTAATCAGAATCAGAGGTCAGCCAGCAAGGAATGTTGGAGGGGGATGGGAGGGAGTGGGGCATCATTCAGTTTAATGGTCAATAGCTAGTTGTGGGGGTTGGGGGGCAGTGGTTGGAGAAAGGTGAGTCAAAAAGCAGCACTACTGCCTCCGGAGCAAATGAATGGGAATAAAGGTTGATGATACCAGGTCAGTAGGAGTCTAAGGTCAGGGCAGAGTCATGCAAGACCAAGAGAGTTCGTGGCCTGTTGGGCATCAAGGACCAGAATTCAGTGACCTGTCCAGGGCAGGAACATCCCTCTTTGCTGCAATGTTACGGAACCGGAGAACAATGTGGATACAGAGAAAAACAGCAATGGCATCGTAGCAGTCAGCTAGATAAGAATCCAGGTGTTTCTGTGTGATTGGGGAACAAACAGAGGATTAAAAGAGAATGTCAGTTTGTTGTCCTCAGTGACTATGAACAAACGCATTTGTTTCTTTGGGGATGATGCACTGGACAGGACAGAAGGGAGAGACGTAAAATGGAACTGCCCCCTGCTTTCCTGTCCAGGATCTATGTTTTTGGCTTTTTTTTTGTTTTTTGAGATAGAGTTTCACTCTTGCCACCCAAGCTGGAATGCAGTGGCACAATCTCGGCTCACTGCAACCTCCGCCTGCCTCCCAGGTTCAAGCAATTCTCCTGCCTCAGCCTCCTGAGTAGCTGGAATTATAGGCGCCTGCCACCACGCCCGACTAATTTTTGTATTTTAGTAGAGATGGGGTTTCATCATGTTGGTCAAGCTGGTCTCGAACTCCTGACCTCAGGCGATCCGCCCACCTCAGCCTCCTAAAGTGCTGGGATTACAGGTGTGAGCCACTGCACCCGGTGTTTTCGGCTTTAGAGACAGGTTGTTTTGTCACCTAGGCTGGATTGTAATGGTACAATCATAGTTCACTGCAGCCTCAAACATCTGGGCTCAAGTGATGTTCCCACCTCAGCCTGCCAAGCAACTGGGACCATGGGTGTGTACCACCATGCCTGGTTAAGTTTATTTTTAAATTTTTTGTAGAGACAAGGTCTTGCCGCATTGCCCAGGCTGGTCTCGAACTCCTGGCCTCAAGCAACCTTCCTGCCTTGGTCTCCCAAAGTACTGGGATTGCAGGCATAAGCCACTGCACCTGGCCACACCAGGATCTATGATCACAAGCCTATCACAGCAGAGTTCAGGGCTGAGCTTGGGTCAGGGGTTTGAGCACCAAGATTTGGGGGACCCTCAGTTTTCACGTGCTATTGCCTGATTGTGGGTCAGCAGTAGGGGTAGTCTCAGGGACCCTACGCACTGAGGATTTCATGGGGGAGTAACACTGTGACAAGTCTAAGTAACAAGTTTTTTTTTTGAGATGGAGTCTCGCTCTGTCACCCAGGCTGGAGTGCAATGGCGCAATCTTGGCTCACTGCAATCTCCTCCTCCCAGGTTCAAGCAATCCTCCTGCCTCAGCCTCCCGAGTAGCTGGGATTACAGGCCGCGCACACCTGGCTAATTTTTGTACTGTTAGTAGAGACAGGGTTTCATCATGTTGGTCAGGCTGGTCTCAAACTCCTGACCTTGTGATCCTCCCGCCTCAGCCTCCCAAAGTGCTGGGATTACAGGCGTAAGCCACTGCACCTGGCTATTTTTTTTTTTTTTTTTTTTTGAGACAGGTCTCACTCTGGAGTGCATGGCTCACTGCAGCCTTGACCTCCTGGGCTCAAGCAATCCTTCCACCTCAGCATCTTTAGTAGCTGTGACCACAGGCACACATCAACACACACCCGGCTAATTTTTCATTTTTTGTAGAGATGAGGTTGTTGCCCAGGCTGGTCTCAAACTCCTGAGCTCAGGCAATCCTACTGCCTTGGACTCCCAAAGTGCTGGGATTATGGGTGTGCACTACCACGCCCAGCCAAGGCTTAGACATTTTAGAATGAGGCGATCCTGATTTCAGTTCTACCAGAGTCATGACCCCACTATGCTGCTGATGAAGACTGGGGACAAAGGTGTTGAATGGTACAGGAAACAGGAGTCTTACCAGGGTCATGCTGAGTGTACGGCCCATGACAGCATGGAACAGGTCGTGTGCAGCTGGGCCAGACACAACAAAAAATTCACAGATGAAAAGGTATTCGCGGCAGGAATTGTCTAGGAGGGCGTAGTGCTGGCTGCGGAAGAGGGCCTCAAATGGATACTGGGAGAGGAGGAGTAAAGAAGAAAAACAGAAGGGATGGACCCCAACACTGACTTCCCATGGATATGGCTGGAAAATCAGTAAACCTGAGTAATAAGAGCTAGGCAGACCCTTCGCATCTATCTAGGTCCGGGCTGTCTAAGAGCAAGCTGAATGGGCACTGAAAAGGTGGGGGAACATAGGGGTACAAAAAGGGCCTACACCCACCTGCTGTTGCTACTCCTGCATCCACCTCAACACCTGCCTCTGACTGTCATTCCCCTCATCCAGTCTCTCCCCTCTGCATGCCCTTAAGTCAATGGTTCCCAGCTCTTTTCACATCACAGCAGGCTGGAGTGATTGGAGAAGGCCACTCCCAAGTCTAAGGGGATTAAGACAGGGCCTGCAGGTTGGGAAGCTCTGCCCTGAGGTCTGGCCTTCCCTCCCCACCGTGCTCAGAGCCTCTTTCGTGACTGAAGCTTGTTCCTCCTCATACCCTCTGCTCTCCGCGCTGCGCTGTGTGAGGCACCAGGATGGGGGCCTCAAGTTCAGTGGGGGAGATGACAGAGCCGCGGGTTCCTAGGGTGAAAATGGTGTTCCTGCTGCGGAGCGATGGCTTTGAGAAGAATCGTAAGATGGGTCAGAGTCAGGGAAAACAATGAGACCATAACTGGGCCCAAAGACTCACTATCTGTGGGGACCCCAGACAGGCAGACGTGGCCTAGCCAGCCCTCTTTCCCAGTACTAGGGCCCCACGTGCTGACATCTGTGAATGGGCTTCAGGGTGTCTCTCCCTCCCTTGCAATCATATGCAAAACTATGTGTCAAAATAATGTGTGCATCTTTCTGGGGAGGGAGGCTATAGCTTTCATCACATTCTAAAAGGTTTCAGTCCCATAGGAAAAGGTAAGGAGCAGTGCATTGGTGGCTGGAGTCGAAAGTCCTCCCACTCTCAAGGCCTGGCATGAGGGTTCCCCAGTACTAGGATATCTTTCTTTGCTGTATCTTCCACACCCATTAGATCATCTTTCTCAGCGACTTCCTCATACTAAGGAAAGAGAAAAGAGAACTGATAACCGTCTCTTCCCACAACACAATAAAATATTCCTTGCCCAGGGATGTCCCCTCCTCCCAGTCCATGTGCCCAGGAATACCTCTCCCTCCTGACCTTACCTGCACCTTCATGAGCCGCCCCAGGTAAGAGCGGTAGTAAGACAGGTAAATCTTGCTCAGCGTCTCCACATATTCATCCCTGATCTCCTTTGCTGTTGCTCGTTCATTGCCCAGCAGAAACTGATAGAAGAACCTAGGGGGTCAGGAACATGTCAGTCTACCTGTCTCCCAAGAAACCAGATGCCCACACTAGGCCGCTCAAAAACTCAAAGGCCATCCCATGCACTTCCTTGGGGTTGTGACCTGTACTTCAGCAGGGCCGTCTGGGGGATCTGATAGTTGGTCATGGGTTTCCTGAAGGAATAAATCTTCTGGAGGATAAACTCTCGGATCTTCGTCACTGCCTAGATGTGGGGAACCAAACACAGGGCATGAAGCTGCAACCCTTTTGCTGTATGAGAGGAACTGGGGGAAGCAACAAATGGTAAACATAGGCAGAAGGGTGGTGAATATCTCTTTGGTATTTCTCAAGATTTTCAGGGAAACCCAGAGAGACAAGAATGGGGCTGCCCAGAAAAGGCAGGGTGAAGTCCCTGGAGACAGGCTACAGTGAGCTCTGCCAAGGAAATCCATAGTGAAGATCTTGGGAAGGCTGCTTCCAGTAGCCTCCAGGGTATCCATCCCTACTTCCCACCTTGACCCGGAGCCGATCGAGCACGCCTCTGACATCTGCGCAGGCTGCTGTGCCTCTAGCTTCCTGCTCTCTGACTGCGGCTGCCTTGGCATCCAGCTCCTGTAGCTGCTCCAAGAACCTGGGCTCTGTCACTGGAGCCTCCAGAATTGCCCTGGTTAGCAGGGAGGGGTGGGATGAGTTACAAGGGAGACCCAGACATCCCTAAACCAGACCCAGACCACACTCCTTACCTCCAGCCCCTGTCATCTCTACCACCTTGCATTGTACCATATAGTCAGGACACATGTACAAAGTTTTCTATTCCTGGACCTCCCCACTATACACCTGATCTTACATCATTCTTAATCTTAATCTTTGATGCCTAATGCATACCTAAAGAAATGGTGGTTAACCTGGCTACTAATTTCTAAAAAGCACTTAACCTGGAGCCAGGAGACCCATATGGTAAATAGGGTGGGTCACCCCAGCCCATCCACCTGCTATGGACATTATAACCCTTCAAACTGGTAACTCACGTGACCAGAGCAGAAGGCACCACCAGACCATCAACAAGCTCCCCAAGTTTCCCCCGAACTGCCTGGCGATTTCGAAGTCGAATGTTCATGGCTCCTGACTGTTCCTGCAGTGTCCGGATCTCAGAGCTGATGGAGCTGAGGTCACTCTGAAAAGCTCCCAACATCTGCTCCATTCGCTGTAGGGAGGGTAGATGTTGCCGGAGTGCTATAGGGTTTGTAGGGGATAAGTGGGCCACCAAAGACTCTTTGTGAAGTCTTCAGTATTTATCAGTCCTTGAGGGTGGCAGATGATGAGACACCCCAGATTATCAGGAAATAACATTAAATATGGCAGTAATAACAAAAAAGGCTCCTGAAGTCATCTTGAAAATGACCCTAACCTGTCCCCATCTTGAGGCTGATGACCTAAAAATGGCACCAGAGTCCATGATCTGGTTCAGAGTAGCTATTAGGGGTCACAGGTCATGATTACTAACCTCCAGGACAGCATCACAGGCTGTGATCTGGTTGTGTAGAGATGCTATATTCTCACTCTCTTGAATATCTGATCCACAAAAAGTCAAGGGGCCTCATGGTGAAGATGGGAGATCCTCAGATTTGTAGTACCTCTCCAATTTCTCTTTGAAGTGATAGAAACCTCAGAGATGTTGACCCCAGCTGGGACATCTGTACCACACGCCACAAAATCCCCATGTCAATAGCACCACCCCTTCCCTCTGCTGGAGGATACAATCCCGAATGGATTTCTGTTCAATCTGCTGTAGCTCCAGCTCAACTTGCTTTGAATAGTGACGGAGATCTACACCCTGGGAGAACATAAAGATGACAGGTCAGAAGGAAGTCTCAGTAAAGGGACACTGTAACAGAATCAGTGAAGGACTAAAGGGTCAGATACCAGGCTGATACAACAAAAGCAAGAGACTGTTGTTTTTCCTTTTGGGGTAGAATAGATAGAAGGGCAGATTAGTACAGGGGAAAGCCTCACCGTTTTAAGAGCTTCCTTTACTAACTCATCCTCCAGATTTGCCTGAATGTGAACTGGAAATAGAAGTTTATCATAAGGGTCCAGCTCCACAGCTCCCTCTCCCCACATTGAGTATCTGCACACCAATCCCTACCTTATTCCTTCCAGCCCCCATGCCTCTCAGATTACAGGTACTGCACCCACCCCATGCCATCGCTTACCATCCACTTCATCCAGGATGAATTCATCAGAAGTGATATCCAACTCCCCAAGTTGCAGTGGTTCCTGGAGCCCAGGACCACCCGCCTGGAAAGGGATAAGTTAATGGGAGTAGGGTACGGTGAAAGACAGAAAGAAAAAATATAATTGGATATCCCCAGTCCTTCAAGTGAGAAGGAGCTGCTTTTACTGGGAGCCACAGGTACTGCTTTGAAAAATTCTAAGAGTCTCACGTTGTACCCACTCTCCTATTTTGTGCTGATGGGTAAGGAATACGACAAGGAGTGAGACGATCCAGTGAGACAGTGGAGGTAGCCCAGCATGGTGGTGGGCTCCTTGTAGTCCCAACTACTTAGAAGCTGAGACGGGAAGATTGTTTGAGGAGATCAGGAGTTCAAGGTCAACCTGGGTAACACAGGGAAACCCGTCTAAAGAAAACAAAAAAAGGTAAAAGACAAGACAGTGCAGTGGAGGCCGGACGCAGTGGCTCACGCCTGTAATCCCAGCACTTTGGGAGGCCGAGGTGGGAAGATCACGAGGTCAGGAGATCGAGACCATCCTGGCTAACACAGTGAAACCCCGTCTCTACTAAAAAATACAAAAAATTAGCCGGGCGCGGTGGCGGGCGCCTGTAGTCCCAGCTACTTGGGAGGTTGAGGCAGGAGAATGGCGTGAACCCGGAAGGTGGAGCTTGCAGTGAGCCAAGATCGCGCCACTGCACTCCAGCCTGGGCGACAGAGCAAGACTCCGTCTCAAAAAAAAAAAAAAAAAAAAAAAAGTGCAGTGGAGATGACCGAATGAGGAAAGCTAGGAATTGCAGAGGATAGAGCAGAACTTGCACTTAAATTTAAGACCCTCAGACTCCTGCCATCTTGGGTGTTCTATCACACCTCTGGGGAACCCCAGGCTTTCTAGAAATGTCAAAACACATAGTGTTTACCTGCATGCCAGGTGCAATCTTACACATATTCATCTAATCCTAACGACGATGTATACAATAGGTTCTATCTTCCTCACCTTAAAGGTGTGAGAAATGATGGCACAGAGAAGCTGGTTAACTTGCCCAAGGGCACACAGCGTGTAAGTGGCAGAGATAGAACTCAGGCAGTCTGGCTTCAGAGGCCATGTTCTTAACCTTTACACTATACTACTTCGTGACTCTACCCCAAAATGTGGAGTGAAGTTGAAATTTTGTGCCCCAGAACATGAGTTTCAGCCACTAGGGTCCCGCTCAGGGTCGGGTCTGATCACAGGGAAGGGTACGGGGAGCCAAACAGGTAATATCACGGGTAGCAGCCAAGTTCCCACCCTTGTGCCTAAACCCAGCTCAGGTCTTTCTGAAGCTAGGAGCACCGGAACTACGGAGGAGAAACAGCTCCGCGCTCTCACCAGCGGGCCCTCTTCCTCCTCCATATCTGAGGTCCCAGCCCGCAACACCAGTTCCCGGGCCGCAGCCGCCATGGTCGCAGCGGCGGCCATTCCCCGCAGCCTCACTTCCGGCAACTGTCAGTCCCGGCGAGTCCGTTCCCCGGAGTGGAGCTACAAGTCCCAAAGGGTCTTCCTCAGCGCGAAATCGTTCCCAGATATTTGAGTTAAGTTGTTTGACTCCAGCTGTCCCCTTTCAGCTCTAACCACTTCACCCAACTGCAAATGGAAATATGGAAGTCTGAAACACAAACTAGCCCCGGAACCTTCGCTGTTCTCTTACCTATGAACCTTACGAACTGTAAAGAAAGGCGCACCGGAAGTTGTGGTACCCAAGCCATACTCTCATAAATCCAGCCAGGTCGCGCTGAAACAGTTTCCGGAAGCACTTCTCCTAGATCGCACCGCCTCTTCCTCCTGGAAGCTATATAATGATATCGCGTCACTTCCGCTCTCTCTTCCACAGGAGGCCTACACGCCGCCGCTTGTGCTGCAGCCATGGTAAGACTGGAATCCGTGCCGTGATCCAGCGGCATCGCAGCTCGGGCAAGGAAAGCCGGCTGTCAGGGTTCTGGAAACGTCCTGCCCTGAGGGCCTGCGACTTTCTGTATGGAGCCTTGGATCGCGTCCCTGGAAAGGGACACCAAAGATTTCCAATTCCGGAGAGCGGGCCCGAGGAAGGGTCACTGCTCGGGCGCACGAAAGCTGTCTAAGGCTTGGGCGTATATGGGGAACTCTGGCTTTTGCCACGCACTTTTGGGAATGGGCAGGAGACCTGCTTCCTCTCTCCAGAGGTTGCATTTTCCCAAGCTTGAACGCTTCATGTGCCTACTCTGCAGGACTGAGGAGTTTGCTCTGTGGTGTGAAAACCTAAGGAATGGGGGGCGGGTGTCTTGCCACTTGTGTGACAGGCTTAACCTTTTTGTATGAAGTTCGTTTGCCTTATCGGCCTTACTGTTTGATAGTTTACTGTGTCTGATTTCTTCCCCCGTACTTTTTCAACTAGTCTCTAGTGATCCCTGAAAAGTTCCAGCATATTTTGCGAGTACTCAACACCAACATCGATGGGCGGCGGAAAATAGCCTTTGCCATCACTGCCATTAAGGTAAGTGAAGTAGGGTAAGGAATAGGGAATGTAAATGAGAATTGGGTTGTGAAGACATAAGCAAAAATGAAGCAAGGCTGGGGAGACTTGAGTCTCATCCAGATCACCTTGACTGCTGGATTAAGAAAAGAAAGTGGTTTAGGGAGAGACTGACCCCTTTAGCATTTACCACAGAAAATAAGTGATTAAAGCCAAGATAGTGGTCTAAGGTCAAGCCAAAACATTTCACCTGGGGAAGTGGGGAGGAGGTATGGTTGCTCACCCGAATTCGCTAAGATTTTCCTGAACCACGAGCTTGTGAGATTTCTTCTAGATTCGGTTTCTTTACCCATCCCACCATCATAACAGCAACCCTTCCTGCGAAATTTATATTCCCTGAGAATTGGAGGATTATTGGGCATCTTGAGGGATAAGTAGAAATACCAACAGATAAAAAGTGTGAAGAAGCCTGTAGATGGAGGGTGGAAGAAGTCTGAGTGGGACATTTACTCAGATGAGCCATAATTGACACTCCTTTCCTGTCGAAGTGTGAAGGAGTACATCCATCTTTCTTTGGCTTTTAAGAATCGAATCAATGAATGCAAGAATATTATTTCACTTGAGTATTTCTCTCCACAAACCTAATGAATTCTTGGCTTTCTAGATACATAACGTTCTTTTTTTTTCCCTTAAGTCAGAATGTGTAGTTAGTTGTGGAAATAGCCTACCAGTATGTGTCCATGCGTGCAGGGCTAGGCCTGTCTTCTTGGCTTCTGTTGCATGGTAGGTACTTAGGCGACGTTAGGGAATGGATAGTAGTAGGGATACTGTTGGCTCTGTTGAGGAATTTGTAGAGGGAAATTCCTTCTGTTGGGTGCTCTGTGAAACTAATAAGGCAGTGTGAAATACTGTACTTATTTCAGAGACCGGCTGTGAGGCTTAAGTAGAGGTGCAGCATTCATAAGTGTAATAGAGAATAACCTTCATGGATGTATCTAACTAAAAATTAGAAATCTTATTTCATCTATATCTCTTCCCACACCCATTTTGAAGTAAATCTTTTCACTTGTAAACATATAATTAAATTTGAGGCTTAGTGCAGTGGCTCACTCGGAGGCTGAAGTGGGCGGATCCCCTGAGGTCAGGAGTTCGAGACCAGCCTGGTCAACATGGTGAAACCTCGTCATTTAATTAATAAATTTGAAAGACCCTGCTCTCTTCTGAATCAACCTAATAATTTGACCCTTGGTCATGTTTATTTATTTATCCCGAGACAGAGTCTCACCCCGTCACCCAGGCCGGAGTGCAATGGTGCAATCTTATCTCACTGCAACCTCAGCCTCCCAAGTAGCTGAGATTACAGGCACACGCCCAGCTAATTTTTGTATTTTTAGAAGAGATGGGGTTTCACCATGTTGGTCAAACTGGTCTTAAACTTCTGACCTCAGGTGATCCACCCACCTCAGCCTCCCAAAGTGCTGGGATTATAGGCGTGAGCCACTGCACCCAGCCACATTTATTTTTTGAGACTGTCGCCCAGGCTGGAGTGGCGGAATCACTCTTCACTGCAGCCTCGACCTCCAGGGCTCAAGTCAATCCTCCTACCTCAACTTTCCAAGTAGTTGGGGCTACAGGTGTGCACCACCACATCTGGCTAATCTGGATCTTGCTGTGTTGTCCAGGCTGGTCTTGAACTCCTGGGCTCAGTGATCCTCCAGCCTCAGCCTCCTAAAGTGCTGGGATTACAGGCATATAGGCATGAGCCACGGTGAAGCCAACCCTTGATCTCTTTCTTGCAGATAGGAACTGCCATTTGTTTTAGTTTCCTGGAGCCTACTGTAACAAGTTCATATAAACTAAGCAGAAAATTACTCTTGGCGCTGGAGGCACTTAAGAATCCTACCTTGCCTCTTCCTGTCTTCTGGTGGTTGTCAGTAATCCTTAGTGTTCCTTGGCTTGTAGCTGCATTACTCCAATCTGTTGCTGTCATCTCATGGTCCTCTTCGTGTCTCTCTCATGATTTGTCATTGGATCTAGAGCCCACCCTAATCAAATATAACGTCATTTTACCTAATTATTTCCGTAACGACCTTATTTCCAAATAGGGCCACATTCTGATGTTCTAGTTGGACAAAATGAGGGGCAGGGCTCAGTATTCAGTTCCTCCTTCACTCTCCAAATCACTTTGGTTCATGAGTTCAGATGGCATGGGTGCTAGTGCTGGTGTTGATGTGATGCTACCAATGTAAGCATTAGTTTCTTTTTATAATAACTTGGGCAGTCAGTTCTGGGCACTGACAAAATTGAGTTTGTGATCTTGGAATACTTTGATTATGGGGATACAGTGATTTGCCTAAATAATTGTGACCCTTAGAGATTCTGAGGAACTGACAGCCCAATACCTTAATCAAAGCCTGTAACTCATAAGACCCTGGTTTACTGCATCAGCTTGGAGTGGCAGGCCCCTTGTTCTCCTAAATGCAAGAATCAGAAGGCACTTAGTGACAACTACATATGCTGAGCAATGGGGGAAAAAAAAGATACTGCCTGCTTTCAAAGGGTTGTCTGTAATACTAAATTCTGTGTTCATGATTCAGTCATACCCCTGAACAAAGTTACTTTTTTCTTTTTTTGAGACGGGGTCTCACTGTCGCCCAGGTTAGAGTGTGGTTGCGTGATCTTGGCTTGCTGCAACCTCCACCTCCTAGGTTCAAGCTATTCTGCTGCAGCCTCCCAAGTAGCTGGGATTACAGGCACCTGCCACCATGCTCAGCAACTTTTCTTGTATTTTTAGTAGAGACAGGGTTTCACCATGTTGGCCAGGCTGGTTTTGAACTCCTGCCCTCAATGTCATCTGCCCACTTGGGCCTCCCAAAGTGCTGGGATTACAGGCGTGAGCCACTGCGACCGGCCCAAAGTTAACCTTCTGTCGAACGGTTTATATCTGGAAAGGTGGGTGAGGAAAGGGTGACCTAGGGGATTGCAAAATAGATTATTGCAGATCCTACCTTTGTGAGCTTTTTGAATGAGGCTATAAAGGAATTTAAAAATCAGATTCAACACTAATTCCGAAACCCCTCACTTCATTCAGGGTGTGGGCCGAAGATATGCTCATGTGGTGTTGAGGAAAGCAGACATTGACCTCACCAAGAGGGCGGGAGAACTCACTGAGGATGAGGTGAGGACAAGGAAGGGGGCTGGGGGTGGGGTCAGCCTCAGAAAGGGGTCCATCTAGATCTGACCTTGGTCTGCCTGCCAGGTGGAACGTGTGATCACCATTATGCAGAATCCACGCCAGTACAAGATCCCAGACTGGTTCTTGAACAGACAGAAGGATGTAAAGGATGGAAAATACAGCCAGGTGTGTACTGAAATGAGGGCAGGATTAGAGGAAGGGTGGAGGGTCCTAACAGAATTGGGCATAGGAGGTCAGGGGATAAAACATCCCTTGCCCCCTCCTCTGAATCCAGGTCCTAGCCAATGGTCTGGACAACAAGCTCCGTGAAGACCTGGAGCGACTGAAGAAGATTCGGGCCCATAGAGGGCTGCGTCACTTCTGGGGGTGAGTGGGGGGTCTCATCTCCCTGCCTACCTCGACTCAGCATTCCTCCTACTCGCTCTTCTTTTTCCCCAACCTTTTGTTTCTGCTGTGCATGACCTGTGACTCTTCTCTTTTTACCTGCAGCCTTCGTGTCCGAGGCCAGCACACCAAGACCACTGGCCGCCGTGGCCGCACCGTGGGTGTGTCCAAGAAGAAATAAGTCTGTAGGCCTTGTCTGTTAATAAATAGTTTATATACCTATGGCTTCCTGTCCTTTCTGTCCATTCTAATAGGGAATGTTAAAGTGCTGGGTCCTTTTTCCATTTAGAGCTGCCCTACTCAGTTGCCCACACAGTGCTATTAGTTTTAGCAGTGGTGATGCTGCAGACCCCCCAGTCTCCCTATATGTAGCTAGTGATGTCCCTCTCTGTAAAGAGAAATGTGAGGGTAAAACAGTTCAGCCTTGAGGGGCTGACCCAGACCAGTTTAGAGACCAACACCCTGGGGTTGGTGTGCAGCATCATTGTGGAGTGGGTTAGCTGAGCCTAGCCAGTTGCAGTTAAGGTGAGTTTGCAGGTCTTGGTCACTCTGGGTTTTTTTGTTTTTGTTTTTGTTTTCTTTTAAGGGGTCATCTAGTCATAAGGGAAAATCCTTCGGGCTGTGACCGAAGCAACAAAGGCAAAAACGCGGACGTTGGTTATGAAGGGTGTGGTCTCCCTGGTGGAGTACGTCGGTGGGTTGGGATGGGGAGCGGCTGGACAGACCGGTCTCACTCCGTTTGGTGCCACTCCACCCGCCCGGGTTTCCGCGCCCTGCCGCGCTGCTCCGACGCCGCTTCCGGCGGGGATGGGAGCGCGCAACGCGGAAGCGGGCGGCAGACCGGCCGCCGGGGCGAGGCGGGGGAGGGGCCGTGAGTGCCGCAGTCGGCCAGCCATGGAGCGGAGCTTGCTGGCGGCGAGGCCGCGGCGACAAGGTAGCCACCCCCGCAGCATGCCTCGACCGCGGTCCGCAGCTGCACCGCCTCTCCC
Source organism: Homo sapiens (assembly GCF_000001405.40). NCBI lineage: Eukaryota > Metazoa > Chordata > Mammalia > Primates > Hominidae > Homo > Homo sapiens. The sequence continues at coordinate 33,277,275 of NC_000006.12, forward strand.
CGCCCCCCAGGGTGCGCTGGTCCCGGTCGCGCGCTCAGACCTCCGCATCCCGGGCGTGGTCGGTTAAGTCCCCGGCCGTGACCCAGGCCCGGGGAGCTAGTCTCCGCCCTTCGCTCTTACGGATCCCCTCGGAGTACGCCGCACCATGCAGCTCAGGCTCTTCCGGCGCCTCCTTCTCGCCGCTTTGCTGCTGGTGATCGTCTGGACCCTCTTCGGGCCTTCGGGGTTGGGGGAGGAGCTGCTGAGCCTCTCACTAGCCTCCCTGCTCCCAGCCCCCGCCTCACCGGGGCCGCCCCTGGCCCTGCCCCGCCTCTTGATCCCCAACCAGGAAGCTTGCAGTGGTCCCGGGGCCCCTCCCTTCCTGCTCATCCTGGTGTGCACGGCTCCGGAGAACCTGAACCAGAGAAACGCCATTCGGGCTTCGTGGGGCGGGCTGCGCGAGGCCCGGGGGCTCAGGGTACAGACGCTATTCTTGCTGGGAGAGCCGAACGCACAGCACCCCGTGTGGGGTTCCCAGGGGAGTGACCTGGCCTCGGAGTCAGCAGCCCAGGGGGATATCTTGCAGGCCGCCTTCCAGGACTCCTACCGCAACCTCACCCTAAAGACCCTCAGCGGGCTGAACTGGGCTGAGAAACACTGCCCCATGGCCCGATACGTCCTCAAGACGGACGATGATGTGTATGTCAACGTCCCTGAACTGGTATCAGAGCTGGTCTTGCGAGGGGGCCGTTGGGGGCAATGGGAGAGAAGCACGGAACCCCAGAGAGAGGCTGAGCAGGAAGGAGGCCAGGTTTTGCACAGCGAGGAAGTGCCTCTTCTGTACTTGGGCCGGGTGCACTGGCGCGTGAACCCCTCTCGGACACCGGGGGGCAGGCACCGCGTATCAGAGGAGCAGTGGCCTCACACCTGGGGCCCCTTTCCACCCTATGCCTCAGGCACGGGGTATGTGCTGTCAGCGTCTGCTGTGCAGCTCATTCTCAAGGTGGCCAGCCGGGCACCCCTTCTCCCATTAGAGGATGTCTTTGTGGGGGTAAGTGCCCGACGAGGAGGCCTCGCCCCAACACAGTGTGTCAAGCTGGCTGGTGCCACCCACTACCCGCTAGACCGGTGCTGCTATGGGAAATTCCTGCTGACGTCCCACAGGCTGGACCCCTGGAAGATGCAGGAAGCCTGGAAGCTGGTGGGTGGCTCTGACGGGGAAAGGACTGCGCCCTTTTGCTCCTGGTTCCAGGGAGTCCTGGGCATCCTGCGGTGTCGAGCAATAGCCTGGCTTCAGAGCTGAGAGTGCCTGGGGCCACAGGAAAGGCAGGAACAGGACCTTCTCTCTCCCAGGCCCAACGCAGGGGCCCTCACTGGCTGCAGCTGATCTGTTTCCTTATACCAGATCCTCAGTCTCACTAAAGACAGCGATATGGGAGACACCCAGGGGCCTGGCCCGCCAGCCCAAAAGATGGTCATCGGGAAGAGAAAAAGAAAAAAATGCTGCAGTTGTTCTCTCAAGCTAGGGCAGAAGAGGGGTGTCAAGCTCCTCAATAAACTTGTCTCCACTTCTTCGAGTGCAGTGTGGTCTTCACCAGGACCCCCAGAACACCACAAACCTGGAGAGCCCAGAGGCTGCCAGACCCTGCTGCATGGGAAGGACATCTCCAGGGACATGGGAGAGAGGACAGCCTCTCTGAGGAGGAAGGCCCCTAAAAGGCAAAGCTAAGGCCACAGCAGCCACAAGGTATGGGGTGGGGGTAGAGGCAGGACACTGACCCCTCCGATCCTAGAATGGCCTCATGCTTGGCAAGGGGGAGGGGAACAGGTCCACAAGATGATCCAGACACATTATCCAAAAAATCGCTTTCCTCTTTAATACCAACCCACCCCAGGAGACAGCTGTCCACCCCCAGTTGGGGAAGGGGCCACACTGCCCCCACCTCCTTGTTCCAGGGAACACTCATTTCCCTACAGGTGATCTTGGGGAGAGACTGTTCCCAGGCAACCCTGGAGTCTGGCTCAGCGCACAAATCTGTCCAGGGCAGATGGCCGGGCCCCCGTGGGCTTGGCCTTCGCCTCCTTATGATGCTGCTGCTGAAGGCTCTGCCGGACCTTGTCCTGGGGACCGGAGACGGGGAGGACACAGGCACAGAGTGAGAAGTGGCAGGCTGACAAGGGCAGAGGCACAAGCAGGAGGGTGCAGCCTGTGGAAGGCCCGGCCCATGCCAATGCTCATTTACCCTGTGTTCCTCATCCATGACCTTCCTCTTCCTCTTCACCAGGCTTGCCGTGGAGCTGCGGCCCTTCTGCTTTGGCTTTGGCTGGAAGGGAGCCTTAGCCTGCGGGTCATAGCCCTGAGGGAGGGGACAGGAGTGATATCTGTTACAGCCTCGGAGTCAGGGAACTGGCAGCACCCACCTGCTGGCCGCACTTCTGGGGACAAGCCATGGTGGGGAGAGGATGTGGGGGAGAAGACGGGCCTGGGCATTCAGGGGCCTGCTCCATACCAGCCTCTCTATCTGCTCCTTCTTTCCCTGCTCCAGGGAGATGACATCCACCTCGGCCAGGGCTCGTGGGTCCAGACAAATAAGCTCTGCAGGTACCTGGGGGTGTCACAGAGGGACAGGACTCAGCAAGGAGCCACAGGAGGGTAGCACCAAAAAGAGAAGCCAGGGAGGCTGCTGAACCCCTCTACCCAAGACCCCCAGCATGAGACATCAGGAGAGCTTTCTCTACCTCCAACCCCAAACCACACCTTCCCCAGCAGCAGGGGCCTCACTCTCTGCAGCAGGGGAACCTCACCTCCAACAGGGGCAATCTCACCCTCTCCAGCAGGGGGGAACCTGACCCTCTCCAGGAGAGGGAATTTCACCCTCTCCAGCAGAGGGAAACCTGACCCTCTCCAGCAGGGGGAATCTCACCCTCTCCAGCAGAGGGAAACCTGACCCCGTCCAGGAGAGGGGAATCTCACCCTCTCCAGGAAGAGGAAACCTTACCTTCTCCAGCAGGGGGGAACCTGACCTTCTCCAGCAGTGGGGAACCTGACCTTCTCCAGCAGGGGGGAACCTGACCTTCTCCAGGAAGGAGGAACCTCACCCTCTCCAGGACGGGGGAACCTGACCCTCTCCAGCAATGGGGGGGATCTCACCCTCTCCAGCAGGGGAGCCTCACCTTCTCTAGCAGGGCCTTCACCTCCCACTCCTGGCGCTGCTTCCGGCTTCTGTATGGATTACTCTCCAGGCCATCGAAGTTGGGCTCACCGGCCCCTGAAGGGAGGGAGGGAGAAGCATGGAGCCATAAGGAAGAACCTCAGTCCAACAGCTCCAGCCCAACTAAGCCCCCAGTTCCTGGATGTCTCTGGCCCAAACTTCCACCCAGAGTTCATTCACTTCAAGCCCCATCCCCTGGCCCACTCACCAGGGACCAGCATGCTGGTGATGCCCCCAGTGTGCCCCACCCCCAGCACATCTTCAAAGGGGCAGAACTGAAGGCCATGCACAGGGCCTGAGAGCCGGTGGGTGAGGTAGGGCTGTTCAAGGGAGGGTGGGCTGGCCTTGCCCTGCCCTGCCCAGATGTTGACAACGTCACCCATTCCCGCCACCAGCAGTCCCCTCTGGGAGAAGGCCAGGTGCCCTGCTCCATGGGGCAGGGTCCGAGTGCTCAGAGGCTGGTACGTCCCTCGCAAGTCAAAGATCTTCAGCTGGTGGTCTAGGCCAGAGGTGGCCATGTACCTGGTGAGAGAAGAGGGATCAATTAATATGTCAGTAAATGGGTTTACCAAGCAAGCTGTGGCCAAGTCCAGGCATCAAGTCTGGCTGGGGAGAAAAAGATTAATAGTAATAACCACTGCCATCACCCTGAACACTCCACAGGCATCCTCTCAGTTAAGCTGCACACAACTCATACTATTTTTATTTCCCTTTAAGAGGTGAGGAAACTGAAGCTCAGGGAAAGGAAAGCTAGGTCAGTGAATGGTCAGGCCTGTCTCTTTAGCATCTGCCTCTAACCTGCTAACACCACACAGCCCTCTCAAGACACGGGCGTCAAAAGGAACGCCCACACGACAGGCTGCACCCAAATGTGATGTCCCCCTGTACACACATGCAGCACACAGCCCAGCAAGGGGAAGGAGCATGTGCAGTGGTCAGAAAGGCTTCATGGGAAAGGTGGGATTTGAGCCATTCTAGATAATTCTCAAAAAATTACAGGAAGTAGATACACAGCAGGTTCAAATGCATTAACACCAGAGTGTTGAGACTGAGAGGGAAGCAGAGGTTTGTTAGGATTGGTGGGAAACATGGTCAGGAAAATCAGGAGCAGACAATTTGTGAGGTTTCTTTAAAGTCAGACTGAGGACCCACAGCTCATGATCCCAACATTGCTCTCTGGCAGTGACAAATCACAAAGTGAAGGCTCCAAGGACTTGAGAAGACCTACTCAGGGAAGTGGTGAAGTAATGCACTGGAGGCCCTTGCCCTGCCCCTCTGTGTGCTTTCCCTGGAAGGAAGGAGGGAAGGTTGGTGACCAAATCCTCTCCAGGAATCATGTACTGCATAAGTTGTTTACTTTCAGAAGTTGGAGTTCCTTTTCTTTTTTTGAGACAGGGTCTCTCTGTTGCCCAAGCTGGAGTGCAGTGGCATGACCCTGGCTCACTGCAGCCTCTGCCTCCCTGGTTCAAGTGATTCTCGTGCCTCAGCCTCCCAAGTAGCTGGGATTACAGGCATGCGCCACCACCGCTAATTTTTAGTAGAGCCAGGGTTTCGCCATGTTGACCACGCTGGTCTTGAACTCCTGGCCTCAAATGACCTGCCCACCTTGGCCTCCCAGAGTGCTGGGATTACAGGTGAGGTTGGAGTTTCTATGTTCAAGTTGTTCCTTAGAGAGGGAAGCTGAAGGGGGACCAGCCAGGTAGGGGATGTATGTTTGCCAAGAGGCCAAGGAGTCTCTTTTTTGCCTTGGCTGTGAACCCAGGAGAAGGGAACTGAAGAGTTCTTATGAGCAGAGACTTGCACAGTGATGGAGCCCAAGAGAGGACCAGCTGGATACTTCCGACAAGATAATCAGCGCCCTGACTTTACCAAAGAGAAAGGCCATCAGTGCAAACCAGGAATTACCGAGCGCTCGTGGAACACAGGGTCACATCCTTTGGTGAACTAACAACTCAAGGATGCATGCTGGCTCTTCTCCCCTCCACACACCCATCTATGGGACCCCTGGGTAAAGACCAGCCCAGTGCCAAATGGGAGTCTACTGTACTACTAGTAAGCAGCAGTTCGGCTTTGAGAAGTCAACGCAATCCAATCATAATACAAGCTACCAGAACACCTCTTAAGAAAGATGGTCAGCCTCATCACTGGAGCCCCCGTGGCCTGACAAGCTCCTGAGGAGGACCAGAGAAAAGCAGGGATGGGCTGAAGATCACAAGGACCAGAGCTGTTTAGCCTCAAGGTGTTGATTAAACTTCAGGCCTCAGCGAACTAGTGATTAAGCCCTAAGCACAGGAGTGGCTGACCCAGGTAGCCCACGGAGGGCAAGCTACAGCTTTGGCCCAGTGGCCCAGAGAGGGCAGAAACCCTTGGGCAGGCCTTCTGACTCTCCTAGAGCCAGGCTGGTATAAATATGGAGTAAAAAGGGCAGAACCAAATCACTCATTCACAAAGATACAATTACAAAGGCCAGACACGGTGGCTCACGCCTATAATCCCAGCACTTTGGGAGGACAGGCGGGTGGATCACAAGGTCAGGAGTTCAAGACCAGCCTGGCCAACATGGTGAAATTCCATCTGTACTACAAATACAAAAATTAGCCGGGTGTGGTGGCACACACCTGTAGTCCCAGCTTCTCAGGAGGCTGAGGCAGGAGAATCGCTTGAACCCAGGAGGTGGAGGTTGCAGTGAGCCGAGACCACACCATTGCACTCCAGCCTGGGTGACAGAGTGAGACTCCGTCTCAAAAAAAAAAGATACAATTATGCAAAAACAGGGAGCGGGTGGTGGGGGGGGTGGTCCCAGCATCCTGGAGACTTTGAATAAGCTGGTGGCCAAGCTGGATGTGGTGGCTCACAGTAATTACTCTGTAATCCCAGTACTTTGGGAGGTTGAGGTAGGAGGACCGCTTGAGCCCAGGAGTTCAAGACAGAGACCAGCCTGGGCTACATGGTGAAACCCCATCTCTACAAAAAATAGAAAAATTATCCAGGTGTGGTGGTGTGTACCTGAGTCAAATTCTGGGTGACAGGAAAATTCTGGGAGATGAGAGCAGGTCAAGAGAAACTTTAGGAGGCGGTGACCTATCCAGTGATGGACACATTGAGTCTGGGATGACAGAGGATAACTGTGTAGAAACTAATGGCATCACCTGAGCTAGGCGTGGTGGCTCATGCCTGTAATCCCAGCACTTTGGGAGGCCGAGGTGGGTGGATCACCTGAGGTCAGGAGTTTGAGACCAGCCAAGCCAACATGGCAAAACCCCATCTCTACTAAAAATACAAAAATTAGCGCATGCAGTGGCATGCACTTGTACTCCCAGCTACTTGGAGGCTGAGGCAGAACAATCACTTGAGCCTAGGAGGCGGAGGTTGTAATGAACCGAGATCGCGCCACTGCACTCCAGCCTGGGTGATAGATCAAGACTCCGTCTCGAAAAATAGTAATAAAATAAATAAATGCATCACCTGGCCAATCATTCTCAAAAACCATAGCCATGGCCGGGTGCAGTGGCTCACGCCTGTAATCCCAACACTTGCACTTTGGGAGGCCGAAGCAGGTGGATCACGATGTCAGGAGTTCAAGATCAGCCTGGCCAAGATGGTGAAACCCCATCTCTACTAAACATTAAAAAATTAACTGGGCGTGGTTCGTGGGCGCCTGTAATCCCAGCTACTCAGGAGGCTGAGGCAGGAGAATCGCTTGAACCCCGGGGGGCAGAGGTTGTGGTGAGCTGAGATTGTGCCACTGCACTCCAGCCTGGGTGACAGATCAAGACTCTGTCTCAAAAAAAAAAAAAAAATAGCCACAAGTTTTTATACCTAAAGGATAACGGGAGCACCACACCAGGGCAGGCTCAACGATTCATCCTTTTGTCTCCAGAACCTCAGCGCAGAGCCCTGCCCACAGCAGGTGCCCAGTGAATACCTGATGACAAAAGGAATCAGAGGAAAATACAAATCAGACAGAAAAGCTGTGGAAAATGCAGATACTCCCTCAGGAACAGCAGAAATCCAAAGCAGACACCACCTCCACCCCTCACATCAGCCAGACCTGGAGAGAACGATCATCTTGAATGACAATGATGAACACAGCGCTCCCTATTTTGCTAAGCGCTGTGCTAAACTATATGCCTTAACTCATCTTAATGTCTACAACAGCTTATATGAGGGCTTTAAACCAAGGCTTGGTAAACTACTGCCCATGGGCCAAACCTGGCCCATCATCTAGTTCTGTATAGCCCACAAGCCAAGAATGGTTTTTACATTTTTAAGTGGTTGAAAAAAAATCAAAAGAATATTTTGAGACTGTGAAAACCGTATGAAATTCAAATTCCAATATCCAACAAATAAAGTTTTATTGGAACGGGGCCACACTATTTACTTAATACTGTGGCTGCTTTTGCTCTACAACACACAGCCGAGTGGTCACGACAGCGACTACAGCATCCTGATTTGCACTGCTGCTTTGTACACTACAAGTCACAGTGACACAGTCGTAAGTGCTTCACAGCATTTCAAGCACCTCACATATCACCTATCATTACCTGTGTGAAAAGATGTTTTCAAAGATGAAATACTTGCAATCTCTACAGATCAGCATGAACATGAATATCTACAGTCAAATTTGACCATCTGGAACACTAACTTTGTACATCAATTAGGCAAAATGTTAACCTCAAAAAGAGAAATTCAGTTCTTCCCATTAGTAGATCTGTATTACACAAATATATTTGATTATTATTATTTTTTTTTTCTGAGACCGGGTCTCACTCTGTTGCCCATGCTAGAGTGCAGTGGCATGATCACAGCTCACTGCAGCCTTAACCTCCTGGGCTGAGGTGGGAGGATCACCTCAGCCTCCTGAGTAGCTGGGACTACAGGCATGCACCACCACACCCGGCTAATTTTTCTATCTTCTGTAGAGACAGAGTTTTGCCATGTCATGGGTGACATGGCTTGTTTCGAACTTCTGGGCTCAAGTGATCTGCCCACCTCAGCCTACCAAACTGTTAAGATTACAGGCATGAGCCACTGTGTCCAGTCTCATATTATGTTTTGTTTGTTTGTTTGTTTTTGAGACGGAGTTTTGCTCTTGTTGCCCAGGTTGGAGTGCAATGGCACAGTCTTGGCTCACTGCAACCCCTGCCTCCCAGGTTCAAGCAATTCTCCTGCCTCAGCCTCCCAAGTTGCCGGAATTACAGGCCCCCGCCACGACACCCGGCTAATTTTGTGAATTTTTAGTAGAGACAGAGTTTCGCCATGTTGGCCAGGCTGGTCTCAAACTCCTGACCTCAGGCGATCCACCCGCCTTGGCCTCCAAAGTGCTGGGATTACAGGCGTGAGCCACCGCACCTGGCCATATTACGTTTAATTTTATAACCTAAAAATGTGTGGGCCAGGCGCAGTGGCTCACGCCTGTAATCCCAACACTTTGGGAGGCCGAGGCGGGCAGATCATCTGAGGTCAGGAGTTCAAGACCAGCCTGGCCAACACAGTAAAACCCCGTCTCTACAAAAAAATACAAAATTAGCTGGGCATGATGGCAGGTGCCTGTAATCCCAGCTACTTGGGAGACTGAGGCAGGAGAATCGCTTGAATCTGGGAGGCGGAGGTTGCAGTGAGCCGAGATCACGCCACTGCACTCCAACCTGGGAGACAGAGCAAGACTACGTCTCTCTCAAAAGATTTAAAAAAAAAAAGGTCAGGCGCAGTGGCTCACGCCTATAATCCCAGCACTTTGGGAGGCTGAGGCGGGCAGATCACTTGAGGTCAGGAATTCGAGACCAGCCTGAACAACATGCTGAAACCCTGTCTCTACTAAAAATACAAAAATTAGCCAGGTGTTGTAGCAGGCGCCTGTAGTCCCAGATACTCGAGAGGCCAAGGCAGGAGAATCACTTGAACCTGAGAGGTGGAGGTTGCAGTGAGCTGAGATTGCGCCATTGCACTCCAGCCTGGGTGTCAGAGCGAGACTCCATCTCAAAAAAAAAAGTTGTGATAATTTGTTTTCTCTTGGTATTTAAATGCCTACATGGTACCCTTTGATTTTACCTCTTATCAGCAAATCATAAAATATTTACTATCTGACTCTTTACAGAAAAAGTTTGTGGACCCTTGAAATGGACACTCATATTTCCATTTTCGGGGTCAGGAAACTGTGGCACACAGAGGTTATGAAATATGCCTATACTTGCAAGGCCCATCCGTGGTAACACTGCGATTTAAACCTGGGCATCCTGGCTTTAGACTCTGTGCTCCTAAAGCACACTGCCTTCCACACCTTTCTGCCCACCTATGACTCCTAACACCTCACCCCACCAGTGACTTACGTGCCTGTAGAATCTACTGCCACAGCCCGGACCCCACCACGATGACAGAGAATCTTTGCCAGTGGCTCCTTCATAGCTGGACTCCATAAAGACACAGTACCTGGAAGAGAAGAAGAACCAAAGTTGCTAATACACACCTAAGCCTGAGGTTACTAAACATGGGAAAGATGGGAACTCAAGACCAAGAGATAACAAAAAAGGGAAATAAAAGGGTAACTTTAAGGGACTCATGAAGTACAAATATAGAAGAAAAGCAAGTCAGGATGGTCAGAGTCAAAACTAAGCCAGGTACTGACCATTGCTGTGTCCGAGATGGATGACGGCATTGTAAGGGTTCTGACTCATAACATCGAGCCGCCCAGCTCGAGCATTCAGAGCTGCCACAATCTTCCCCACTGACACATCCAGGTAGGTTAGAAACCCTGTTTCTGACTGAGAGAGAAAGACAGAGAGAATGACCCAGTCCTGATTGCCCTCTGTATTCCCTCTGCTGGGGTCCTAAAGGAGAGGTGGTCATCCCAAGGGCTTCCAACCAGTTCCTGAGCTCCATGGCCACTCACAGCTGTAGCCAGGAGGAAGTGGAAGGGCAGGAACTCAAGCCGTGTTACTCGGTCACAGCGGCGGATACAGTGGAGCTCAATGCCCTGATTGTCATAGATGTGGAGCCAGCGGTTCTGAGCAACAGCAAGCAGTGCCTCAGAATGGAGAAACCTGGGGGAGAGGAAGAGTGGTTCAATTGGGAAATGAGGTCACAGGCTATCATTCAATCAGGAATGGACTATCTCACCCCAACTGACCGCTGACAGTGAGGCCACTGACCGGATGTCCCGCACCGCCTCCATGACGTTGATCTCGCACATAAGCTTCTTTGTTACCCAATCAAGGGCAGCCACATGACCTCGGCGCCCTCCAAAAGCCAGGTGTCTGTTGGAGGTGAGGGGCAGGCAGGGTGTTAAGGCAGGGGACCACCGACTCAGACAACTTGAGGTCTGCCCCACGCCAGCCCCATCTCTCCAGGCGGGCAGACACATGTTGCTGTAGGTGCTTACCCTCACACCCAAGCAAATCGAAGGACCCTCCCCTCATCAGCAACCCAAACATACACTGGGAATGGCTGAAGTGGTTAAGGAAACACATCTTAGTTCAAGAGTCACTAGAATTCAACCTTACCTTCCAGTTCGAGAGTAGTTTAGTCTGTAGGGTCCAAACTGCCGCAGATTCAAGTCAAAGTGCTGGGAAAGAGAAGAGTGAAAAAAAAGAGTGCCCTGCAGTAACGCCTTCTTCTAGCCCCCATTCCTCTATTGTCCTGCACCACCAATCAATCCCTTGGCTCCTTTACCTCCTCAGGCTCACCTTGGCTGCACTTGCAATGTCCACAGCCTCCACAATGTCAGCCTGGCATATCTTTGCTGTGTCTTCCCCATCCTCCCCTTCCAGAAACCTGAAAGCAAGGGTTAGGATGGCAGTAAAGCTTCCCAATATGAAGCAAGTATACCAACATAAAAACGAGAAAAGACAGTCCCAAAAGGCAGGGAATGGGGGTCCAGATTAGGGCTCACTCACCCAGGTTCTTCAGCAAGCAGCAGCTCAGAACGAGCAGCTTTGATACTTGTTTCCTCTTCCTCAGCTTCAGCCACCTCAAGTCGGCTTCGAGTTTTGGCTTTAGAATGTGGTAGCTGTAACATTGTTGGTGGGGAGGAGTGGCAGAAGAACCACAGGATAAGTGGGGTCACAGGAGAGCTACCTGTCCCAGCCTCCATCCAACTCACCCAGACACTCCCTGCCTCCAGCACTTCCCAACTCTCCGGCTGGACCTCACCTTTCGGGATTTGTCAATGCGACAGAACTTCTGGACCACTTCCACAGGGACGGGGGCGGGGCCTGGGAATGGATCTTGGGTCTAGGGGAAAGGAGGACGCAATTAGCAGACAGCCTTGGATTGACCCCAACCCTCTCACTCTCAAGGAACGAGGCGGCCTGCCTCGCCACCCATCAGGTCCCACGCTCACCCCGGACAAGCCGCGCTGGGACTCCGGGTTCTTCCATTCTCGGGGTTTCTTCGGGACCTGAGGCTTCTTAGAGATCCGAGACTTCTTTAAGATGTAAGCATTTTTTGGTCTCTGAGGACGGAGCTCCCGATTCTTCTTGTTACGAGGAGGCCCTGGAGAGGCTCCGGCTGTGGTCGGAACGGTCTCTTCCTCCCAGTATCGCCGCGGTTTCTACAGGCACATCAGGAACTCCGCACTCACGCCCCGCCCCCCGACCCCACAGCTAAAAACTTCGTTTCCCACCCAGGGAGGCCTCTACCTTTCTCTTGGTCTGAAGTTTGTCTTTCTTGGGCGGGACATCCTTGCCCGGCTTGGGGGCTGTCTCCATCTCGCCCACCCGAACGGCGATCCACGTGCAAAACTCCTCTCAGCTGCCACACAGTCGGCTTGAAAACTCCCGGAAGCCCTCTGTCCTTCATCCAATCAGCAGCGTACCAGGTATGAAGCTCTCTAGGTGCCATCTTGAGTGAGGGCACGCTCTCCTTAGAGGGGCGGAACAGTTTTTGGCACCTTATCGCGAGCGGCAGCTTATGCAAGAGTGATTTAAAAAAGAAAGGCAGGTCCGGAGCCAGGGGCTAAGTAGCGGTGCGGTTTCTTTTTCTGGATTAGTTTCCCCATCTTGCCTAAAAATGTCCTAGTCTAGTCTTTTTAGCAGAACTCCACTCCCTAAACATGTCAGAACTACACTTCCCATCAAGGGTCAGAAAGAAACTTCCGGCACAGTCTTTTCCCAGCATTCCTTGTTTACTTCCGGGTTTATTACTACTGAAGGAAGAACGTGAGTAGGTTAGGATTTCGGTTGAGAGGCTTGGGGTCTTGCGTTTCGCCCACCATCTCCTGGGGACAGGGTGGAGTCGATATCCGGGACGGGGGGGAGGTTGCGGTGCCCCTCAGGGCTACCTCTCAAGAGTGCTATCATTTCCGCAGGCCAGATCAGAAAAGGGAGCTCAGGTACCTTCCAGAGAGTGAGACCCAGCGCCCTTGTCTCGCACCCAGTAGGCTTTCATCCCCGCCATGGCGGAGCTGATCCAGAAGAAGCTACAGGGAGAAGTGGAGAAATATCAACAGCTACAGAAGGGTAAGGGAACAGGGTCGGTATGGTCTCGCCCAATGCACTTACAACCCAAAGCCATTACCGAGATAAGGTTTGTTGCCCCATCTGGGCCCTCGCGTGCAGAGACTTCCCCGCCTCAGTCTCAGTACTCTTCCCTGTTCACTCACCCGCTGCCCCCATCCTTTTCTGCTTCCTCAGATCCATATCCACCTGACTAGGATTGTGGGGATAGGTGGCACATTTGATGTTTCTAAATTGCCTTTCCTCTCATCCCCAGACTTAAGTAAATCCATGTCGGGGAGGCAGAAACTTGAAGCACAACTAACAGAAAATAATATCGTGAAAGAGGTGAGGGACTGGGATTTGTGGGGCGAGGAGGGACCTGTACTAGCCATGGTTCTGATCACATATGTCCCATCCCTCCATCAGGAACTGGCCCTGCTGGATGGGTCCAACGTGGTCTTTAAACTTCTGGGTCCGGTGCTAGTCAAACAGGAGCTGGGGGAGGCTCGGGCCACAGTAGGGAAGAGGCTGGACTATATCACAGCTGAAATGTGAGTTTTTATTCCACCACCGTGTGCTGCACCCTGTGATGCAAGTGAACCATTGGAGTAGAGGTGTTGAACCATTGCAGAACAGCTCTCCATAGTGGCCCCTAGTCCTCCAGTTCCTCCAACCCTTTCCTTCCCTTTTAACCCCCCTTCTTCTCCCTCCCCTGGATCTCAAGTTTTCCACCTATCTCTTTCTTGCGTTTAGCACTCTCCATAGTGAGTCCTACTAATTTCTCCCTTTCTGCTTGTCTCCCTTGTCTCTCCTTAGTAAGCGATACGAATCCCAGCTTCGGGATCTTGAGCGGCAGTCAGAGCAACAGAGGGAGACCCTTGCTCAGCTGCAGCAGGAGTTCCAGCGGGCCCAGGCAGCAAAGGCAGGGGCTCCTGGCAAGGCCTGACCCCATGGTGGGGGGAGGGGAGGGGAGGGGAGGGAATGAGGCAGCTCTAGGATCTATACTGTAGCTAATAAAATGTAAAAACACCTGGCTCTGTTTCCTGACCAGGCACTTCTGTCATATCCCCACAGCCCCTTCCACCTTAACACACACCACCTGTATTACCCCCTCAGGTTCAAACTCTTGCACTTGGAATCTCTTTGTGGCACAGTGTTCTTTCTTGAAAGTGAAATCCTAAATGTCTTCAAACCTACTTCTTGCCTGTATATACAACCCTTAACTCTCCCTCATCTTGGTTGGCATGATTCTTTTGGAAGGGCATTTGCAACATACCATATTGCTAGGAATGTCGGTTTAATTGAAAAAGAATACACAGTTCTCTAACCTGAGGCCCCAGGATGAAATGTGGTTACCCTCCTTGCCAACAGCCCTGGCATCTCTATTAGTACTTTTCAGCCTCTGTCTTCCTAGAATTTGCTTGAATGTAGCTTTAAACTGACTTAAAATCCCAGCATGTAATGCTTTATGGTATTATAAGTCCTCCCAAGTTTATATGTTGTCCATAAAGTTGTTCTGCCATTTCCTTGTCCTAAAATTGTTTTATACACATTTGCAGCAAGGGACCAGTGGTAGAGAGGTTACTGGAGAGAAACTGTTCTGAGGAAACTTTTTTCACCAATACCTCACTTTTTGCTCTGTTCATGGGGACAGAAAACATTGTGCCCCTTCCTGTTCCATGGCATCTACCTTCAGCCAATTCCCCACCCCCACTCATAGCAGCCAGTTCATATGTACTGCAAGGACAGGGGAGTAGAATTCAGGTAGTGTTTTGGTTTATTATCTTAGTGTTGTCACAGTGATAGAAACCCCCAGAGTGGGAAGAAGAGCTCCTGCGAGGACCTACATTTTGCCATTCCCCTCTGCCCTGGGGCTCAGAGCCTTGAAGCCTTTGCTTGGCCCTTGCATGTTAGGATATGGCCAAGAATCAGAAACTGATGCGTTTTTCCAGCACTACCTGTGTGCTGCACTCATGGAAGGTGGGAAGCTATACACAGGTATCCAACTTGGTTATAAGACACCAGTTCCCACAGGGCTGGATTTCTCAGCTGTCTGGTAAACCAGTGGCACTTCACTGCCCCAGGGTGGCTGGCTCCCTTTCTGAATTTCTGTCTCAATGTGATATAATTGCCACCATTCAGGATGGCTACCCACATCTGGTATGAACACCATGACTTCTGTAAGCCAACGGGGCTTCCTCCTCAGAACAGTGCCCGTGCAATCTTCCTCCCTGTGGCCTTGATCCTGGGAAAGGAGCCCCCTCCTCCCTCACTCGGAGGAGTTCCTGAGGCAGACGGGCCACTGGTGACGCCAGGTGTAGCAGTAGAGGACCTTCGCCGCTGCCGCAGGAGGAAATCGTGTGAAGCTCCATCCATGGCGTAGAATACATTAGCCGAGGCTGGGATAGTCAGCTCTGAAGGTTCAGGGGATGGATGTAAAGCACACACACAGTTGTTCCCCCCACAGCCGCCCAGATGTGGAAGTACTCCACTCTCCTCCCGAGTCTGCCTTTCCCTCATGGCCTCTGACCTCGCTCCCCTGGTAGCAGCTGTACCAGCTCATACTCTGAAGCCACTGCAGAGTCACGATTGTTTTTCTTAAGGACACGACTGATGACACTTGGAGCCTTGTCCTGGCTTGTCACCTGGCAGAACAGGAGACCAAAAGAGCAATCAATCAGCCATGATTTCCCATCCTTCTACCCTCAGCCACTGAACCCAACCACAAAATGTTACTTGTGTCCAAGGCTTTAAAATGAACAGGAAAACCCAATATGGTGGCTTCCTATACCCCATAAGCCAGCCCACATGGTGCCCAGTGAAACAGAGCTGCTTCCCTGTGGGGAAACTGCTGTTGATTCTGAAATTTTAACACGGCGACCAAAAGTTTAAGGTGTAGCAACTAATGCAAAATAGCCATCAAAATAAAACAAATTTCAGCTTCTATTGAAGACTAGAGTTTAGAAGATAAAATTAAAAATAAAACATAACTGCCAAAACCAAAGGTCAAAATTAAAACTACATTCAATTCCATTTGGCTGCCCAAACCTCAGACAACATTTATAGTCCAACAAGACACCATCCTTCACCCCAACTCCATCCCAAGGCTCCCTCACCAAAATGCTCTTATAGACACTGCCATCTTCCCCCAACTCCATCTGGACTCGGATGATACGGCAATCAGAGGCCCCTGGCCCAGATCCCTCTCCCCCATATCCAGTCCCCCCGGAGGCCTCTTCTGCACCCCCACTCAGCGGGGAGCCACAGGAGGCTGAGCGGCGGTGACCTCGAGAAGGCCTAGGGGAGGAGGCTGGTGGGGAGAGGTGGCTGGGGTCAGCTGGACTGTGCAGGGATGGACTGCTTTCCAAGGCAGAGTCTAGTGACGAGACAGATGGCCACTTCATGTGCTAGGAACAAACAACATGGGACTGGCATGAAGGCAGGGAGGTTTAAGGAAGAAACATTTACAGAGTGAGGGTCAGCGTCAAGGTCAGAGTCAGGAGCAGAGCTCACCTGGGCCAGCCGAGTCAGCAGAGGAGCAGGAGTTGTAGGCGCCTCATCTCCCCCAGTACTGGGCCGGTCACAGGACACAAGCGGGGTAGGGACCCCAACAGAGCCCAAAACCCTGCAGTGGCAGGAGATTGGGAGGATCAGAGAAAAGTGGAAGTCCCAAGAAACCACCCCCCAGCCAGTGAATCTCTCACTCTGTCCACTGCGAGATGACCAATGTTGGCCGAAGCACCCGTGGGGCAGGAGGGTCACTGGAACCAGGTGGCTCCACCTCACAGGATACACGATGGCTGGGTTAGGGGGGCAATAGGCAGAGCTCAGGACATGACACCAATCCCCCACACCTGGCCAGAACCCTGGAGTCCCAACCTCACCCGCCAGTCACCTCTGAGCCTCTGTCAGTGGCCGGAGCCCCTGTAGCCACCTCTGGATATCATGGTCAGGTTGGAGGTTATAGCCACGACATTCATTCTGGAGCCGTCGCAACTCAGAAAGGACTGCAAACTCCTGGGAAGGAGCCCTCAAACTGCAGGAGCCAAAACTCAGGGACCCCTGACTTTTCCCCCTCCCCTTCCTGGAACATGGATAGGGAAGTCCAGCATCCAGCCCAGACACTCCGCTCACCTTCCTCCGCTTGTCAAAATTGATGTATCCATTCTGCGAGGAAAATGGGGATGGGGTGAAAGTTCCAACCCTACCTTCCGGCCACAGAGAGAGAATATCCCCTCTCTTAAACACACACAGCCACATCCAACTCACAACCACTTCCCTCCAGCCTCTCTGACTCTTCGATCCCTCCCTGCCTTCCTCCTCAATCTATCATGGCCTAAGCACTCCACTTGACCCTTTAAATTGAATTTCTCAGGTAGACAACGAGTCTGCTTTGCAGATGAGAGGACTGGATAGTATCCAATTCGACAGGATTCCTTATCCAGAGAGGATAAGGAACTTGTCCAAGGTCTCAGTATTTGTTTATTTAACAAACTCTAGCAATAGAGCAGGAGCCCATCACAAAACCTAGATGTGCTTACGTTTCAGGCACGTTCTAAGCACTTGACAAATACAAATTCATTTAACCCTTATAACAGATCAATGTAGATGCTATTTCTAGTTTCCCATTTACAGATCACTGAGGCGACTTGGCACAGAAACAGATCTGGCTCTGTCCCACACTCAGCTATTTGTGCCTTACAGCCCCTTGCAAGGGGCGGGGGGGTCTGTCCGACCCTGCAGCCCACTTGTTACATCATTGCAATGACACACACACACACCACTGACCTCCAACTCATCCTTGGAGGCTGCATCCAGCATCACAAGGTCCTTCAGGAAGGTGCCAAGGTATGGGACCACACCCTGAAGTCAGGGGTCAGGGTCAGAAGTGCCTGCCATTGACGTGAGGGCCCTCCATCCCTCCGCACTTGCCCTCCTCATTGCCTCAGAGAACAGATTTCATTCTCCTCACCCCTCTGTGCCTCCCTTACCCATCCTTCAGGCTGCTCCCCCAAAACATACTCCTCACCCCTTCATAATCACCACCCCCACGCCCACCACCCCGCTAGTCACTCACCCCACCCCGGGAGCCAGACCTCGGGGCCTTCTTGGAGTGTGGCTCCAGAGGAGACTGCAGCTTCACCTCCTGGTGGTGACAAAATAAAAGAGACATGGGGGAGCAGTAGGGAACAAGGAGAGGTGGGAATGCCACAAACCAGGCTCTCACCTGCACGAGCAGCTCCCGACTCTGGGAATAATTATCCTCCTCGGAGAAAATCTGGCAGAGGCTGGAAAAGACTCTGAGGCTGTCCCTGGGGAAGGGAGAAAAGTGGCCCTGAGGACAGGCCTGGCTCTGTCACCCCCTCTTCCCCGCCTTCTGAGGAACCCCCACCCCAGTCCAATGCCTCAGCCTCCGCACCTGGTTGCTTCCCCCCAGGCTGCCCGAAGCCTGTGGATGGGGCTGGACTGCAGGGCTGACACCACGGCATAAACTGAAGAGAAGTTTCGGAGCAGCCGGCACTCCTGTGGGGGTCAAAGAAGAGAGCTAAGGCTATGGGAGGCCTCTCCATTCCATGGCCACAAACCGTAGGGCAATCTTCTCTCTCACCTCTGCCACGCGGATCCACTTCTCCAGGAGCCGGGCCCTCTGTGGGGGACGGAGTGGCCGTATGGTCACCTCCCCAGGTCCCTCTCCAGTGGAAGTAGCCCCCAGGACAGAACTAACCACTGCCCCTGCCACCTTGTTAAACTGTGTGACAGTAGCTCGGACAGATGGGCAGAGGTGAGAATGTCCTGGCCGGTCTCTGTGACCCCACAGGCCTCCCAGGCACTGAGAGGGGATCAAATTGAGAAAAAGTTCCTGCAGGGTAGAGGTCAGAGGTTAAAGTTCATAGTCAAGTGAGGTCAGCCTTCCAATATCAGGGATCTGAGGATCTCAGGTGGCCAAGGAACCAGAGGGGCACAGGGTTTGAAGGGTAACGACCAAAGGGAAAAGGGGAGAATCAAAATGGTAGGTGGAGGAGGCTAGGAGCTGGATCAGGAAGGGGTGGAAGCAAGGAAAGGATCTGGAGTCAAGGAGAGGTTAGTAAGGGGTCAGGGGGCATAGGGGCCAGAGGTCAGGGTCTCACCGCATCTAGCAGGGTCAGCTGTTCGGCCAAGTGGTCAGCGAGGAACACCAGGACATCCGTGGGGTCAGCAGGGGGATCGCCGGGGAGGGCCAGGGGCTTAGGAAGGTCGGGGGCCTGGGGGTCCACCCGGGACCGGAGATTGCGGATGAGGTCAGCGCTGCCCCCCCCAACACCCTTCCCTGCTGCATACCCTGTCTGAAGTAAGAAGCTCTCAAGCCGGTCAAGCTGACCCTTGGCCTCAGAGCCAAAATCCTCAGGGTGAGAGGCCAGCCAGGTTGACAGTACAGAGATGGCTACCCTGGGAGAAGGGAATCAGCCAAGGGTGAGAGGTAAAGCTGCAGCCTGGGCAGAGGGGACTGTGAGATTAAGAACCAGGGGTCACTCACTCTGTTGTCCTCTCTAGTTCGTCGGTAGGATGAGATTCAAGGGCTTCCAGCCTGAGGGGGAGAAGAGGATCTATCTGTCCATTTTTCCCAAACCCTCAGTGGCTTTGACTATTTTGGTGGGATGTTGCGGCTTTAGGAAATCCGGGCAGATACTCCACTACCCTGCGTCCCTTATGACTCTGACCTGTCAGCCATAAGCCCTAGCAAGGCAGGCGTGGAGGTGAAGGCCCGGTGGGTAGCCAGGAAGGCTGACATGAAGCTCACATCAGTCCCTGATGTCCGGGTATCCAGTAGGTGTCTGACCAGGGCCTCCAGAGTGCCAGCTCGGAGCCGTCGGGAGGAACGTGGGGGAGGCATAGGGACCTGGAGAACACAGAGAGATGATCGCTAACCCTTTCTCCCACTCTGCACCTAGATTTCTGAGGACAATCCCAGACCCAGGAGATGTTCCAGACTCATTTTTCTGATATTCAGAGAGGGCAAGAGTCTTGGCCTATGTCACACAGCAGAGTCCAGGACTCCAGAACTCCAACCTAGCACTCTGGCCAGAAAGTCAGCCAGAGGAAGGAAAACTGGGAATGAAGAGTCAGAGGTGAGAAGCTAAAGTCATGATCTCACCAAGGGATCAAGAGGTCGATATTGGCGGCTTGTGACGGTAAACACGGCACCATCCTCCTCCTCATCCCAGACGGACACAGGGGCCTGGAGGAGCAAGGAAGGGGAAGTCAGACAGTTCCACACCACCCCCCATTGCCCTCAGCCTTCACCCCAGGCCCTGCTCCTCCCTCTGTACCCCTCACCTGTGGTGGCAGGGCATAGTACCAGCGAGTGCGAGGAAGGGTTGGGGGAGCTGGTGACCCCAGGTCTCCCCCACTGGGGCCCAGACAGCCCCACCCCAGCCGCCTCAGGGCCCCGGTGGAGTCGAAGGGGCTGCAGTGGAGGCGTGGATGGAGTACAGGAATTCTGATCCTGGAGACCCCCAAAGCCCCTTCTCCCCAGAGCTGAACCCACACACGACAGAGAAGCAGGGTACAAAGGGCAGGAGAGGGAAGCGAGAGGCAGCAAGCCAGAGGCAGCGACTAGGGGTAGCTGAAACCTCAGTCCAGGCACTGCCGCATGCCCCGCCCCTCCCGGCCAAGGACTATACCAGCCCAGAGAATTAGTCTTTTTCAGGACCCCTTTCACCCTGGTCCCTCGGGTAGCGCCTCCACTATCTCAGCCCTAAGGGACCCCCGAAGGTAGCAGCTCCAATCCCAGTACAGGAAGGAAAAGGGGAAGTGGGATGATAGGGGGTTGGGGGCGGTAGACTCAGAGAGTCACGTGGCCCCAGCCCCTCCCCCGACCGATCCCGAAAAACCAGCCCTGCCAGTCAACCTGCCCTCACCTAGGATCTGGACCTAGGAGTTTAGGGCCTCGGGGCCCCAAATCCAAATTCTGGCCCCTCCTGAGGCCCGAAATCCTGCTCCTGGCCACCACCATTAATCCCTAATGAAAACAGATGACCACTCTCTACCCACCCTAGGATCTTTCCTCCAGGTCCCAGAACCGTGGCTTCCCGGCCTCTACCCAGGACCGGGGCGGGGCGGGGGGGCGGGGGGAAGGGGGAGAGAGGGAAGGAGGGGTCACGAAATCTGAGGGTTCCCTCCCCAATCCCAGAGTCAGAGGAGCTGGTTACTGTGGAAACAAACCCCTCCCCGCCAAACAAAAACAAGGAGGGAGACAGGGACCAAGACACGACTGCTCAGAGAGGTAGGCACACTCAGGCAGGCAGAGGTGGAGGGCCAAAGACCCGCAGGGACAGGACAGCCAGCCAGAAGTTCCAGGCAGGAACAGGGCAGGTTCCTGCGGGCAGGTCCTGAGTCACACTGACAGAGAACCACGGAGACGCCAGGACTCCCCGCAGCAGAGAAACGGGCCGACACCCAGGGAGGCGCGAGAATAACTGAGGCAAGGAGGAGGAGATGTAGGGACCCAGAGACAAGAGAAAAGTGGAGACTTCAGAAATACATACGCCCCCTACCTCCCACCACCCGCGTCTCACCTCTTCTTCTTCCTCCTCCTCTTCCTCCTGCCCCCCGCCCACGACCAGGCCACCTGGGCCCCCACCCTCTTCGGGGTCCCGGCTTCGGAAGCTGCTCAGTACGACTCCCCCGGGGGGGCTCGTGTCCAAAAGCAGCCGCAGGGGCCGCGGGAGCATGGCCGAGTGAAGGAATCAGCGGGGTCGGGCCATGGGGGCGCCTGGGGAGAGACGGGGTGGGGTGGGGGTGGAGAGTCAGGCAGGCGCGGGGGAACCGGGCAGGGAAGGGACGTGGGTGGGTGTCAAGAAGACCGGAAGGGAGTTCTGCAGGAAGGTTGGGGGAGGGGGCAACAGAAGGGTGGAATAGGGGGGCCCTTGGTGCTGTTGGGGAAGGAGGAGGTCACGAGTACGGGGACGCGCAGGGTGCTCAGGCTCTGACCTGCTCGGGAGGGGTGGGGGCAGCGTGGGTCCTGAGCCGCTGTTGCCGTCGGTCTCCGGCCCCGGACCGAGTCCCCTCCCCGGCTTTTCCGTACCCCCTTGAACCCCCCCGCCGGGCTCCTGGGCCCTCCCGCCCTTTCCGCTCCCCCCCGCGTCCGCCCGCTCCGAGAGCAGGAGCCAAAAGGGGAAGGAAGTGAGGACAGGAGCCAGGGCCGCGGACTAGGGGAGCGCTGGACGCTCAGGGACCAGGACCCAGGCGCCCGAGTCCCCAGCTCCACTGTCCTCCGCCTCTACACTCGGGGATTCTGGAGACCACGTCGACCCGCAATGAACTGGAATAAAGATTCCAGTCTCCAGCCCCTGGGGGAAGGCAGGAGCAGAATTTGACATTCCCTTCCCCAACAATAACACGGCTAAAACTCCCGCGGGAAGCGTTTCAGGCGGAGAGAGAGCCGGTCACTCCATCCCCACGGGATTACCCTCCCTACCACAACCCACGAATGTAGCTGACCGAAATCCCGGCCGGGTTTTCCGAAGGGCCCTCGATTCCCGCCCCCTCGGCAGGGGGCGGGGCAGGAAGCAGCCACATCCGGTTCCAGATTCGGCTCTCAGAGGCTTCCGGCGCCGAGACCGAGATCCCCGTCGGCTCGGTGTATCCTCGCTGGTGGAGTACCCTCTGCTTGAGCGCATCTCATGCGCCAGTAGTGGCGCCCGCCCCGAACGGTGTCGACGGGGCGTTCTCTGAGCGGTTCAGGGTCACTGGAAGGGACCAGAGGTGATTGGAATATTCATTGAGCTTGGAAAGGGGTTGGAATGAGAGAACCGTTTGGAAGCACTGGAATACAGCTTTATTCCTACACGATTAGACCCGTTACCCCGTGGGTCTGGCCGACCGTCCTGACTCGGAGATCCCTGAGCTGCGCCGCCGCTTCCTTCGTCAACATCCAGCAGCTACTTGATGAGCGCCCTCCAGTGGGCCTTAGGTCCCTATGCCGGCGCGGGGTTACAGCAGTGGACAGACAGGCCAGTCCCTGTCCTCGAGGAGCCCATGATCCGCGGGGAGACAGGCATTTAACGACGACTCACACGATCACTTAAATACAACTGTGGTGAACCGCACAAGAGGGACGCGCGGCGGTCTGCGGGGAATGACGAGGCCGACCTCGTCTGCGACCCAGGGAGGGCAAGGGTGGACCAGGCAAAGGGAACAGAGGACTGGGACCTGGAGGTGGGCGGGAGGCGTTTGGTTCATTGGAGGAAAGGAATAGCCCTGTGTGTGATGAGCATTGAGAGGAGGTCTGGCGAGCACCATCTAGGGCTGAAGAACTAGGCAGTGGCTCCAGCGCGGGGCGGTGGGGGGGACAAGTGAGCCAGGGCAAGAAGAATGGATTTGGCCCTAGAGTACGGGTTCTCCAAATGTAACCTCGGCCCTACAGATCTCTGAGACTATGTCAGGGGGTTTGTGAGATTTTATAACAAAATTAAGATGTTAGTACAATATCGTGTTTCGCCGCCGGGCGCGGTGGCTCACGCCTGTAATCCCAGCACTTTGGGAGGCCGAGGCGGGCAGATCACAAGGTCAGGAGATCGAGACCATCCTGGCTAACACGGTGAAACCCCGTCTCTACTAAAAACACAAAAAGTTAGCCGGGCGTGGTGGCGGGCCCCTGTAGTCCCAGCTACTCGGGAAGCTGAGGCAGGAGAATGGCGTGAACCCGGGAGGCGGAGCGTGCCGTGAGCCGAGATCGTGCCACTGCACTCCAGCCTGGGCAACAGAGCGAGACTCTGTCTCAGAAAAAAAGAAAGATTATTTGCAGCCGGGCGCGGTGGCTCACGCGGGTAATCCCAATACTTTGGGAGGCCGAGGCGGGCGGATCACCAGGTTAGGAGATCGAGACCATCCTGGCTAACACGGTGAAACCCCGTCTCTACTAAAAAATACAAAATATTAGCCAGGCATGGTGGAGGACGCCTGTAGTCCGAGCTACTTGGGAGGCTGAGGCAGGAGAATGGCGTGAACCCGAGAGGCGGAGCTTGCAGTGAGCCGAGATCGCGCCACTGCACTCCAGCCTGGGCGACAGAGCGAGACTCCGTCTCAAAAAAAAAAAAAAAAAAGTTTTTTGCCTTCTTCATTCTATAAGTGTACAGTGGAGTTTTTCAGAAGCTACATGATATGTATTGACACCATGGTTCCCACGATGAATAGAATGTGTGCCTATGTATTCTCGTGTTTTAAATTTTTCTCACTTTTAAGTTCTAGTACCATAAATATTGATAGCTATAACCCACATACCCAAAAGCTTTTTGGGGTCCTTGATGATTTTTAAGAGGTCCTGAGAGAAAAAAATTTTGAGAACCACTGTCCTAGAGCTCCAAGAAGGTGAATGCCATAAGATGTGTGTTTTTTAAAAAAGCATTTCTCGGGCCTGGTGTGGTGGCTCACGCCTGTAATCCCAGCACTTTGGGAGGCTGAGGTGGGCAGATCACCTGAGGTCAGGAATTCAAGACCAGCCTGGCCAACATGGTGAAACCCCGTCTCTACTAAAAATACAAAAATTCACTGGGTGTGGTGGCATGTGCCTGTAATCCCAGCTACTCCGGAGGCTGAAGCCACAGAATTGCTTGAACCCAGGAGGCGGAGGTTGCAGTAAGCCAAGATCATGCCACTGCACTGCAGCCTGGGCGGAAGAGTGAGACTCCGTCTCAAAAAAAAAAAAAAAAGAAAAATTATCCCTTATATAAGTGAAAGAAAAAAAAAAAAGCATTCCAGCCACTCAGTGGAGAGAGATTGGAGGGATTAGGAGCAGATGATAGGGTATTATTTTAGGGAGCTACTACAGAAGCTTGGGCCAGAGATGATGGTGGCTTCCACAGGATGGCAGTGAGTGCCCTCACTCTGCTTTCTGGAAGAGAGGAAGGTGGTGAGGAATTCAGGATATTAAAAGGCAGTTGAGGTGTACATGGTCAGTTTAGAGACATATAAACTATCATGGGCACAGATGATGGGAGAAGGATGAGGCTAATATTTTCTGCCCTCCAGACACTGCTGAGTGCTGTATCTCCTGCATCTTCTTAAGGAGATACACTGTCTTCCTTAATCCTCCTAAAAGTCCTCTCAGGCTCCGCTGTCCAATATGACAGCCACCACCCACATTAGGCTATTGAGCATTTGATATGTGGCTAGTCCGAATTGAGATGTGCTGACTATTTAAAATAAACACCTGTGTTTGAATACTTAAGGTGAGAAAAGGGCTGCAATTTATTTTCTTTTCTTTCTTTTTTTTTTTTTTTTTTTGAGACAGGGTCTCACTTTGTCACCCAGGCTGGAGTACAGTGGGACAACCTTAGCTCATTGCAGCCTCACCCTCCCAGATTCAAGCGATCCTTCTGCCACAGCTCCCCAAGTAGCTGGGACTATAGCTGTGTGCCACCATGCCCAGCTAATTTGTTTTGTTTTGTTTTGTTTTGTTTTTTGAGACAGAGCCTCACTCTGTTGCCCAGGCTGGAGTGCAGTGGTGCGATCTCGGCTCACTGCAACCTCCACCTCCCAGGTTCAAGCAATTCTCCTGCCTCAGCCTCCTGAGTAGCTGAGATTACAGGTGTGCACCACCATGCCCGGCTAATTTTTCTGTATTTTTAGTAGAGACGGGGTTTCACCATGTTGGCCAGGCTGGTCTTGAACTCCTGACCTCAGGTGATCCGCCCTCCTCAGCCTCCCAAAGTGCTAGGATTACAGGCGTGAACCAACGCACCTGGCCAAGACTGTAATTTCTTTTTCTTTTTTTTTTGTTGTTGAGACGAAGTTTTCCTTTTGTCACCCAGGCTGGAGTGCAATGGTGTGATCTCAGCTCACTGCAACCTCTGCCTCCCAGGTTCAAGCGATTCTCCTGCCCCAGTCTCCCGAGTAGCTGGGATTACAGGTGCCGTCACATCTGGCTAATTTTTTGTATTTTTAGTAGAGATGGGGTTTCATCATGTTGGCTAAGCTGGTCTTGAACTCCTGACCTCAGGTGATCCTCCCGCCTCGGCCTCCCAAAGTGCAGGGATTACAGGCATGAGCCATCGCACCCGGCCTGTAATTTCTTATATTGTTTACATGTTGCAATAATATTTTGGATGTACAGGTTGAGCATCGCCGATCCAAAACTCTAAAATCTGAAATGTTCCAAAACCTGAAATTTTTTTAGTGCCAACATGATGCCACAAGTGGAAAATCCCACAGCTGCCCTCATGTGATGGGTCACATATATTATTAAAAATATTGTGGTCGGGTGCAGCGGTTCACACCTGTAATCCCAACGCTTTGGGAGGCCAAGGCAGCGGGCGGATCACCTGAGGTCGGGAGTTCGAGACCAGCCTGACCAACATGGTGAAACCCCGTCTCTACTAAAAATACAAAAATTAGCCAGGCGTGGTGGTGGGTGCCTGTAATCCCAACTACTCGGGAGGCTAAGGCAGGAGAATCGCTTGAACCTGGGAGGTGGAGGTTGCAGTGAGCCGAGATCGCACCATTGCACCCCAGCCTGGGCGACAGAGACTCTGTCTCAAAAAAAAAGAGAAGGAAAAAAATCTTCAGGCCATGTGTATAAGGTGTATAGGAAACATAAATGATTTCTGTGTTTAGATTTGGGTCTGATCCCAAAGATATTAAATATATGCAAATATTCCAAAGTCTGAAAAAATCCAACATCCAAAAACACTTCTGACCCAAGCATTTCAGATAAGGGACCAGAATTATTAGATTAAATAAGGTATATTATTAAGTTAATTTTACCTGTTTCTGCTTATTTTTTTAATGTGAGTACTAGAGTATTTAAATTTACATATGTGGCTTGCATTATCTTTCTATTGGACAGCACTGCCTAAGTAACTTTTTAAAATCCCTACACCCAAGGAAACATATAGATTAAGTAGCATGCTCAAAGAGTCCTACAGTTAGGATATAGTGCCAGGTTTTAACCCAGATCAGTGTGAATTCCAAGCCTAGGTTCTGCCTACCACACCAGCAGCCTCCCTCCATGGGTTTTGAGATAGGATGAGGAGATAAAGTGACAAGGGAAAGATACAGAGAGGTGGAGCACTGTACCTTCTTTGAATCCTTGCAGGTGGACAGGTAGACAGCTGTGGGGAAAGATTGAGAAGGGATGGGATGCTGGAGTGGTAGAGGTGGAGGGCAGAGGGATGGGTGTCAGGCTCTTGGGAGTAGGTGGGGAAAGTCCACCAACCTCAGGTCATGGTCAGGGTAGGGCTGACACTTACCAGCCCAGCCCAGTGCCTTGAAGAGCCCAAGCAGAAGAAAGGCAGACAGGAAAAGGCCTACGCTGTCCTCAAGGGAGGGCCCTGAAAGACCTGGCAGGCAGAAGGGGTGAGAGTGAGCTCCTGTCTTCCTGGGTGCTGGCTCAGATTCCGCAGAGCTCCCAGCTCTTACCTGCTACCTCCAGGGTGACCTCAGCGCTGCGCCCCGAGGCAGGCAGGCTGGGATGGTGAATTCGACAGGCATAGCGTGCCCCATGCTGCTCAGTGGTGACTGGGGGCGGCTGCAAGTGCCCAGAGAGGCTGACAGAGCCATCGGAATGGTGGCGCAGGGCCGAGAGCCACCTCTGCCCCTCGGCCTTCTGAGAGCGGCCCCCTGGGCCACCCCGGAGTTCCCACTCCACCTCCAGGCCCCCAGAAGGGTAGAAGTGGGACACAAGGCAGAGCAATTCCGGGGGTGCCTCCCCTGGGGCGGCCCGTGCAAGGGTTGCTGGCATCAGGGACACTTTGGGGGGTTCTGGGGAAAGAGGACGAAATGAGCATAGGGAAATCAGTCCATACTGTCCTCCCTAAGAGACCCTCAGTTTGCCTGCTGGCTTCCTCAGAACTAAAGAAGGTTAGGTTTCTTCTCCTGAAATAGGGAACCCACTGTCTCTCCATTGGTGCGTCACAGAAATACCCATGTCAAAGCCCCTCAAATTTCCAGGAAACTTCTAGCCTCCCATTACCCCTCTAACTCCCAGGAACCTCTTTCTATCTCTACTTACTTGCCCAGGCACCCTCTTATCCATCATCCCTCCCCCTATTACGGTCCCCACAATCCAGTGCCCACCCTCTACCCCTGGAGACCTCTGTCCCCCAACTCACTGTACACAGCAAGCTCCAGGGTGACCTGTCCTTGCAGGTATGGCAGGTGTATGGTGGCCAGATAGGTGCCCTCCTGAAAGGGTTGAACTGTAGGCAGCCAGAAGGTCCCATTTCCGGTCCATGGGCCCCATGGCTCATCATCATCCCAAGCAGCAAATGCCACGGCCCCTTCTTGGGCTGCTGGCATCTGGCCATTCAGCCCAGGAGTTGCAGCCAGGAGCAGATGTCCCTTACCCAGGTGCTGGCGTCGCCACTCTAGCCCAAAGGGAGGGGGACCCGGAGCCAGAGATGAGGCGGCCTCGGAGGTGGGGGGCATGTAGGCAAAGCTCAAGTCCAGCAGAGCATCTTGTCCCAGTCTCACTCGAGGGGCAGGGGTGTGGGTGAGGACAGTCAGTACCACTGAGGAAGACAGGGAGATGAGGGGTTGGGAGGGGCATGAGGGAGAGAAAGAAGGAGAAAAAAATAGAGAAATGCAGTTATTGGGGAGGGCTAAACTGCAGTTTACCCACCCCTCAGAGGACACCTTTTCTGATACTCACCATTTCCTAGCCCTCCCTGCAAACTCCTTTTGCTCTGCGACTGGGTGGCACCTAGTGTGGCTGAGGGTGAGCAGAGAGGTCTAGGGGTGGTGAGTAGGGGCAATGAGGGGGTATGGCCTTTGAAGCCTACTCTGAACACATAGCACACTCTAGCTCGGGGGACTGCAGAATCCGAGGCCACTTCTGACACAACCTGAACCACTCTATCTCCAAGCACCACCCTTGAGGAACCAGGCCTTTCTTGATTACAGGCGAAGACAATGATTGAGCCATGACTGTCAGTCTTGTGGTGCTGTACAGAATATTTACTGACTCTAGAAGGTTCCAGCTCTAGCCTAGACCTGAGCACAGACCTCTATGCTCTACTGAAGCAGTACAGTGCAGTGGCTAAGTGCCTGGAGCCTGGCTGACCGGGTTCAAATCCCCTCTGCAGCTTATTTATATGGCCTTGGGCCACTTCCTTTTTCCATGGCTCAGCTTCCTAATCTCTAAAATTAAAAGTTGATGATAATAATAGTACCTACTTCATGAGGTTGTTGTGATGGTTAAATCATTAATACCTCTTGCTACTCAAGTCTATTCAGTTCCCAATTTTAGATAACAGAGACACCTACCCATGAAGGGTGCTTACAACACTGTCTGGAACACAGTAAGTCTACACGTGTTTGCTATAGTTACACCTAACTTAGCATACCCCAAGTCAACAGCATCTCTGCAACATTCCCCACCCTGCTCCAATGCCCATCTTCCCTGTCTTTGATGAATGATCACCAAGCCCGCCAGACACTAAAAGCAAACCCTTGGAGTTACTCAGACTCATTTATTCATTCAGCAACTATTGAGCACTGAAGATGTTCAAGGTATCCTGGTAGAAGACAGAATGGTGAACAAGACAAGCAGTCCCTGCTCTCAAATTGCCTATAGTCCAATGACAGACAAGCAAATTGTCAAAAATAATGTGCTATGTGCTATCCCCACCAGGACCTAACAGATCTCACATCTGTTTCCAATTTAGGTTCTCATCAATGTACGTTTAGACAATTACAACAGCCCTCCTGTCTGGTCTCCCTATTCTCAGTCTCTCCTTCAACTCCTTCTTCACACTGTAGCCAAACAAAGTGACTACAAGTCTGATCCCATCACCTACCTGTTTAAAAATCCCAAATATGGGCCAGACGCAGTGGTTCATGCCTATAATCCCAGCACTTTGGGAGGACGAGGCGGGTGGATCACCTGAGTTCGGGAGTTTGAAACCAGCCTGACCAACATGGTGAAACCCCGTCTCTACTAAAAATACAAAATTAGCCTGGTGTGGTGGCACATGCCTGTAATCCCAGCTACTCGGGAGACCGAGGCAGTAGAATTGCTTGAACCCGGGAAGCAGAGGTTGCGGTGAGCCGAGATTGTGCCATTGCACTCCAGCCTGGGCAATAAGAGGGAAACCCCGTTTCAAAAAAAAAAAAAAAAATCCCAAATACGGCCAGGCGTGGTGGCTCACACCTGTAATCCCAACACTTTGGTAGCCTGAGGCGGGTGGATTACCTGAGGTCAGGAGTTCAAGACCAGCCTGGCCAACATGGCAAAACCCTGTCTCTACTAAAAATACAAAAATTAGCCAGGTGTGGGGGCAGGCACCTGTAGTCCTAGCTACTTGGGAGGCTGAGGCAGAAGAATCACTTGAACCTGGGAGGTAGAGGTTGCCGTAAGCTGAAATCATGCCACTACACTCCAGCCTGGGCAACAGAGTGAGACTCCGTCTCAAAACTAAATAAATAAATAAAATAAAAATCCCAAATACCTAGGAAGTCAGCTGATAAAGGCATAGGCTGAAGCTATATGGCCTGGGTTCAATTTCTAGCCCTGCTTCTTTTTTTTTTTTTTTTTTTTTTTTTTGAGATAGAGTTTTGCTCGTCACCTAGGCTAGAGTATAGTGGTGTGATCTTGGCTCACTGCAACCTCTGCCTCCCAGGTTCAAGTGAGTCTCCTGCCTCAGCCTCCTGAGTAGCTGGGATTACAG
This sequence comes from Homo sapiens, assembly GCF_000001405.40. Classification (NCBI taxonomy): domain Eukaryota; kingdom Metazoa; phylum Chordata; class Mammalia; order Primates; family Hominidae; genus Homo; species Homo sapiens. The sequence continues at coordinate 33,307,545 of NC_000006.12, forward strand.
GCGTCCACAACCGTGCCCAGCTAATTTTTGTATTTTTGGTAGAGATGGGGTTTCACCATGTTGCCCAGGCTGGTCTTGAACTCCCGACCTCAGGTGATCCACCTGCTTTGGTCTCCCAAAGTGCTGGGATTACAGGCATGAGCCACCACGCCTGGCCTCTAGCTCTGCTTCTTACACACTGTGTGTCCTTGGGCAAATTATTTAACTGGTTTGTGTCCTATATTTATCCATATGCAATACAGGGATAATATTAAAACCTACAACCTATGGTTGTTGAGAGGAATAAGTGAGATTATGCATATAAAGTGCTTAGAACAGGGCCTGGCATATAGAAAATACTTGATAAATGTTAGCTGTTACTATTTTCATTACCTTCATCACTATCATGGACTTGCTGGTTAACTTGGAAAAATCATTTAACCTGTATTTTCCTCACTAGTCCAAAGATCTGACCTTTGCCTATCTTTTAAAAGAATCAAGTAAAATAACAGGCTTTTTCCGGGCATGGTGGCTAACACATGTAATCCCAGCACTTTGGGAGGCTGAGGCGAGTGGATTACCTGAGGTCAGGAGTTCGAGAGCAGCCTGGCCAACATGGTGAAACCCCATCTCTACTAAAAATACAAAAAAAAAAAAAAAAAAAATTAGCGGGGCGTGGTTGTGGGTGCCTGTGATCCCATCAACTTGGGAGGCTGAGGCAGGAGAATTGCTTGAACCCAGGAGGCAGAGGTTGCAGTGAGCCAAGATCACCCCATTGCACTCCAGCATGGGTGACAAGAGTGAAACTCCGTCTCAAAAAATAAATATGTACATAATAAAAACAGGCTTTTTAGAATAACACGCCCTCCAAAAGAACTTCTGATGGTTCGCTCTCACCTACAGAACAAAGCCCAGCTTTCAAGGTATTTGAACATTCAGCCCCTAACCCACCCTTCCAGGCTTCTCCTGCACCCTACAAACCAGCCACATAGAACCCCTTTCTTGTGCCTAGTAGAAGTGGTCATCATTGGTCATCTCTTTGCTTTGGTCATGAGGTCCCTTCAGTTTACATTGTCTTTCCCATTTTCTCCCAAACATCTATCAAGCTTGTCCAACCTCCAGCCCAGGGACCACATGCAGCCAAGGACGGCTTGGAATACAGCCCGACACAAATTCATAAACTTTCTTAAAACATTATGAGATTTTTTCACATTTTTTTTTTTTAGCTTATCAGCCATCGTTAGTGTTCGTATATTTTATGCATGGCCCAAGACAATTCTTCTCCCAGTGTGGCTCAGGGAAGCCAAAAGATTGGAGACCCCTGATCTAAATACTCCATGTACATGAAGGTCACTTTCACTGCTGTTTCTTCCCAGAAATGTCTAGGTCCTTCAGGTAGAAGTAATCTTTTTCTTCTTGTAATTATTTTTATGTTCTTTTTAATCCTAGCTTCTGAGGCCTATAAGGTTAAACTGTTCTCATCTTCATGGAATTGTTCAGTAGAGTAAAAACAGTATGCAATTTCACTTAGTTTGTCAAAATCCAGAAACATACTTTTGAATTGTTAAAAAAAAAAAAAAAGATCCACAGGCTGGGCACAGTGGCTCACGCCTGTAATCCCAGCACTTTGGGAGGCCGAGGCCGGTGGATCACCTGAGGTTGGGAGTTTGAGACCAGACTGGAGAAACCCCGTCTCTACTAAAAATACAGAATTATCCGGGCATGGTGGCACACGCCTGTAATCACAGCTGCTTGGGAAGCTGAGGCAGGAGAATCACTTGAACCTGGGAGGCGGAGGTTGTGGTGAGCCGAGATCATGCCATTGCCCTCCAGACTGGGCAACAAGAGCAAAACTTGATCTCAAAAAAAAAAATCCATAGAATTAATAAACAAAACCTGGCTGGGCAGGGTGGCTCAGACTTGTAATCCCAGTACCTTGGGAGGCTGAGGTGGGAGGATCACTTGAACCCAGCAGTTTGAGACCAGCCTGGGCAACATAGCAAGACCCCATCTCTATTTAAAAGAAAAAATTTAAAAAAATAATAAACAAGACCTAAAGGTTTTACAGTTTAACTCTTTTTTTTTTTTTTTTTTTTTTGGAGACAGGGTCTCACTCTGTCACCCATCAAAGGTGCAATCCTCCCAACACAGCCTCCCGAGTAGCTGGGACCATAGGTACATGCCACGACACCCAACCTTTTTTTTTTTTTTTTTTTTTTTGAGACAGTTTCACGCTTGTTGCCCAGGCTGGAGTGCAGTGGCATGATCTTGGCTCACTGCAACCTCCGCCTCCCAGGTTCAAGCAATTCTCTTGCCTCAGCCTTCCGAGTAGCTGGGATTACAGGCATGCACCACCATGCCTGGCTAATTTTGTATTTTTAGTACAGACGGGGTTTCTCCATGTTGGTCAGGCTGGTCTTGAACTTTCGACCTCAGGTGATCTGCCCACCTCGGCCTCCCAAAGTGCTGGGATTACAGGCATGAGCCACTGCGCCCAGCATTTTTTTAATTTTTAGTAGAGACAAGGTCTGGTTATGTTGCCCAGGCTGGTCTTGAACTCCTGAGTGCAAATGATCCTCCCACCTAGACCTCCCAAAGTGCTGGAAGTACAGGCGTGAGTCACCTCACCTGACTCCATAATATTTTAAAAGAATGGTGAGAATTAAACACTATACACACAAAGTATATTAAGAAAGTATAGGCCTGGCGTGGTGGCTCACGCCTGTAATCCCAGCAATTTGGGAGGCTGAGGTGGGTGGATCACCTGAGGTCAGGAGTTCAAGACCAGCCTGGCTAACATGACCAAACCCTGTCTCCACTAAAAATACAAAAATTAGCTGGGCCTGGTGGTGGGCGCCTGTAGTCTCAGCTACTTGGGAGGCTGAGACAGGAGAATTACTTGAACTCAGGAGGCAGAAGTTGAAATGAGCAGAGATCACACCATTGCACTCCAGCCTGGGCAACAGGGTGAGACTCTGTCTCAAAAAAAAAAAAAAAAAAAAAAAAGTATATTTGGGGCCAGGCAGCTCACACGTGTAATCCCAGCAGTTTCGGAGGCCAAGGTGGGCAGATCAATTGAGCCCAGGAGTCCAAGACCAGCCTGGGCAACCTGACAAAAACCCATCTCCACAAAAAAAATACAAAAATTAGCTGGGCATGGTGGCACATGCCTGTGGTCTCAGCTACTCAGGAGACTGAGGCACGAGGATCACTTGAGCCACGGAGGTGGAGGTTGCAGTGAGCTGAGATCATGCCACTGCTCTCCAGCCTGCACTGCACTCCAGCCTGGGCGACAGAGGGAGACCCTGTCTCAAATAAATAAATAAATAAGCATATTTGTCAATAAACATTTAAAAATATTTGATAAGACAAGTATAAATGTATATTAGCAAAATCATGAATGATCTTGGACCCTGGAGAGATTTCATTTCTAATTTTACATCAGTACAACAGCTTTCATTTTCTTAAATCCCTGATCAAGCAGAAATGCTTGAAAAGAAAGAGCACAGCAGGCCGGGCGTGGTGGCTCATGCCTGTAATCCCAGCACTTTGGAAGGCCAAGGTGGGTGGATCACCTTAGGTCAGGAGTTCAAGACCATCCTGGCCAACATGGTGAAACCTGTCTCCAATAAAAATACAAAAATTAGGTGGGCGTGGTGGCACAAGCCTGTAATCCCAGCTACTGGGGAGGCTAAGGCACAAGAATTGCTTGAACATGGGAGACGGAGGTTGCAGTGAGCCAAGATCATGCCACTGCAACTGCACTCTAGCCTGGGCAATAAGAGGGAGACTCCGTCTCAAAAATAAATAAATAAATAAATAGCAGGCAGGCGCAGTGGCTCACGCTTGTAATCCCAGCACTTCGGGAGGCGAGGTGGGAGGATCACCTGAAGTTGGGAGTTCGAGACCAGCCTTACCAACATGGAGAAACCTCATCTCTACTAAAAATACAAAATTAGCTGGGTGTGGTGGCAGGCACCTGTAATCCCAGCTACTCGGGAGGCTGAGGCAGGAGAATTGCTTGAACCAGGGAGGCGGAGGTTCCGGTGAGCGTGAGATCACGCCATTGCACTCCAGCCTGGGCAACAAGAGCAAAACTCTGTCTCAAAAATAAATAAATAAATAAAATAAAAATAAATAAATAGCACAGCACCTTGCTTTGACCCCAGTTGTTTGTGAAATACAGACAATCTTACCACCCGGGCACTTCCAGGGCTCCCTGTCTGCATGTCCTTCACTTTCTACTTTACATTAGGATTATCCGTGGCAAATACGCCCAGAACCTCCTGGAGAGCAGAGTCTACATCAGATCATCTTTGTGACCCTTAAGGGCACCCAGGGCCACCCCAGAGATTCTGATTTAATCGGCCAAGCTAAGCATGGGATTGAATCAGGTTTCAGTATATTTTAGAAACCTCCAACAGTGTGGACTGAGAACTGCTGAGTCCTAACTCATTCTTGGTGCTAAAAAGTATTTATTGAATCAATGGATAAATTAACACAGTGCCATCTCTTGATAGTCACAACAAGAAAAGCAGCTGGGAAATAGTATCCACATTTTACAGTTGGAAAAACAAACTCAGAAAGCAAAGACCATTCTCATCATCACCTCGGTGGAGCCAGTAGCCCTAGGAAATATTCCACCCCACCAGAGAGAGCTACTGTCTACACAAGAGCAGTGTTCCTCAGCTTCTGCCAGGGTGGGGGCTTGAGACTAAGAATGGAGGTATAGGCAGAGGTGAGGGTTTCAGCGTGGGTTTCAAGTCTGTCTCCCTGGTTCTGTGGGTAATTCTCAGGAGGGTGGAGGGAAGGGAGGGTGCAGGGATTGGTTGGGGTTGCCCTGTCCATCGGGCTGTGTCGCTGACATAAAATCCAGATAGAAAAGCTAAGAACTCTACCGGTATTCTACCCCGGAATACCCCGCCTCCGCTGCCAGGAGGGAGAGCTCCCAGATATCCAGGTCAGACTCTCCTCATTCTTGAATTATCTGCACAGTCCCTCCCACGTCCCAGCCTAGAAAAGCTTCTGACTCCTGGGCCTCAAACTGCAATGCACCTTTCAGTGCAATAGGAGCTATCCAATCTCCAGCCGCGTCCATCCGCCCACTCGAGCCCACCTGTTTGCGGACCACAGAGCGGCAGCACATCCCTACACGGGGCTGTCAGGCAAGGTCAACGCGCTAGAGTGCAAGAGCCTTTGCTTTGCGGATTGCCGCAGCGCCGGGTGTGGGCGCAGGTGGGGATAGAGTGCTGGGTTTTGAAAGAGTGACCCGCAAAGCTGAGGGTGCAGAGCAAGACACAGATCTGGGAAGAGCAGAGAAAAAACGCTCCTGCTTCTGAACCCCTCCCACCTCGCATCACCTGACAAGTCTCTCAAGGTCTGGTGTCGGGAAACCCCACCTCTTCAAAGCCCCGCCCTTCGAAACACCAGAAAGTAACCCCCCTGCCCGGCCCTGCTTTCCCCCTACCCCCTGCCAAGCTGCAGTTTTTTTTTTGTTTTTTTTTTTTAACTGGGTGAGGGCTAGAAGGAGCGGTAGAGATTGATTCATTCTAGCCAAACCACCTCTCTTAACAAAAAAAGGAAACTGAACCCCGATTGGCGAAATGTCTTGCTCAAGTCCATAAAGCGAGACCACCGGCTGATCTGGACCCTTAGAATCTACCCACCCTTCTCCACCTCCCCTCCCCAGCTACCTGTTGCCATGGTGATGAGAACAGGCTCCTGCTGAGGCTCTGGCTGTGGTCGCAAGAGGCTGGAGAGGCTGAGGACTGGGCTGGATATGCTGACCATCAGCCAAGCCCCATCCAGGGCCCGCGGGCAGTTCTGCGCGGGGGTCAGGCCGCTGGCCCATTTCGCAGAGGCGGGGAGAGGCACGAAGCGGCTCATCTCGCAGTGTGGTGCGGGGGCGCCCCGGGGATACCGCCTGAAGGCAGCCTGGAGGGCGCCCGCGGGGTCTGAGTGTAGAGAAGGAAGTTGCAGCTGTAGAGTCACCGCCGGGAAAGGGGCTGGAAGGGCAGCGTTCGGGGAACTTCAAATGCACAGACTACCCCGTAGTGAGACTCACTTTACAAAGGGGAAGCTGAGGCCTGAGGTCACTGCCGGATCTAAAGAGGAGGGGGTTTCGGTGGAGGCGACAGAGGTAGGGGGGCGGCGAGTCCCTAGAGACTCACCGTGTACACTGAGATAGAGCTCAGGGTCGAGGTCCGGCCGGGGCGGCGGTTCCCCCGGTCCCTGGCGCAACAGCAGTGCACCGGGTCTCTTGGCCAGGCCCTTTCCGCTCGCATCCTCCACGAACCAACACTCGATCACCGCGGGTCCTGCTGAGACGGCGGTCGCCAGGCCTGGCGTATAGGGACGCGAGTGAGGAGCGGTTTGTATGTCTGGTGACCTGCCCCACTCCCACCCTGGCATCGGCTCCAGTGGGGCCACCTCCCTCCGCTTCCCTCTAGTTCTTGGGCGATGAGTCGCGGGGTTCGCTCACCCAAAGCCACAGCGAGGAGCAGAGACAGGGACTTCATGGCGCTGCGACCTCCTCAGCCATGAAGCCTCCTCTTCCTCCTTTCACTTTCACTTTCCTCCAAAGGGCGGCATGAGGGGCGGTGGAAATCCCCGCTCTGGTTAGGTGAAGGTGCCTGGGGGACCGGTGTTTCCCCACTGGCCAGGCAGGGACCCGGGTAGATCCTCTCCAGTTCTCACCAGGACACCCCAGCCTTACCGCGCCCTCCTGGACTACCCAGCAGCCCCGAGTTCGAGCCCTCCCCAACCCCAGGCCCTCCCCCGCCCCCCAACTCCTGTGTGTGCTCTCCAACATCCACTTGCCCGAAAACCATTACTCCGGCTTCCCCCTATCTGTGCCGCGTCCCCAGCAAACACACGGGTTATCGGGAAGCCAAGTAAATGACCAATAAATATTTTAATCACTGTTAAAAAAAATAAAAACCTTGTACTCCTACGACTTACTCCCTCCTTGTCTCCACCCACTCCTCCATGAGAACCGAGTTGGGAATTTCCACGGGAAGTCGGGGGTGGCGGGGAGAGACAGGGTAGAAATAAAGAGCGCATCCTTGAGAGGGGGTAGGTTCTAGGACAAGGGTGGGGCTCAAAGGCCTTGTCTCCACGACAACACAAACACAGACTTCAGGCACAGACTACAACCACCTGACCCCTGACCCTGTGACTGCAGGATGTTCAACACGCCCCCTCTCCCTCCCTCCATGTGCAATCTACTCTGTGGAGCAGGGGCTTCAGTGTACCCATCAGAGGGAAAGGAAGGGTTTAGTTCTGGAAATACCTTGGGGGGGAGGGGTTGAGTAGTAGAATGGGCGGGCGATGGTGAAACTGTGGTTCCCCTTCCAGAATATATACAAGTCCACAGAGATAAAGGAAGACAGTAAGTGTGGTGGGAGATCACCCGGGGGCCACAGCGCCCTTGCATCGTGCTCCTTATTCCCTTTCCCGAAAGCTACCCCACCCCAGTAGCCTGCCCCTTCAGTTTGCTCCTCCACCTCCACCGAAGCCCATCTCCACCTTGTGGACTCTGGGTGGGGACCAGACACGTCTGCTGGACGGGGGCGTGGCCGCACTCGCTTCGTCGCCGCTGCCCCCGCCCACTCCGGGAGACTCTCTCTTGGACGGCAAGGATGGCCCCGTGGGAGTCCCAGGCCCAGGTACGGCCCCGACCCCGCCCAGGCGGTGCCGGCGCTCACAGTGTCCTCGGTGGCGCATGAAGCTGTCTCGCCACATGAACTTCTTGGCGCAGACTCCGCACTCGTAGGGCTTGAGACCTGTGTGCGTCTTCATGTGCTCAGTCAGATGGTGCTTCATCTTGAACTTTTTGTTGCACACGGGGCAGTCAAACGGCCGCAGATTGAGGTGCATGTTCACGTGCCGGTCCCGCATGCTCTTGTGGGAGAAGGCCTTCCCACAATGGCACAGAAAGATCTTATTCCCGTCCCCACTGCCAGTCCCTCCAGGGACCCCACCAACGCTACCCGGCACACCCAGGCTCCCCACCGACGTGCCCCCCACGGTCACTGCCCCGTGTTCTGCTTGGTTCCCTGGTGGTTGGCCAGGAGCCTGTGAGGATGAGGATGAAGACGACGACGGGAAGACCAGGATCTGGTTGCCCTGCATGTCCAAGGGAAGGAGCGGTCGAGGAGGGTGGGAGGGGGCATAGGAAGAGGGAGTTGGCCCCCCTGAGTCATCAAGACCTGCCACAGGACCCCCACCCTCATATGGGCCAAAGTCATTGGAGGACTCACAGAAGTTGACCTGCTCCTCCCCCTTGTCTGGGGGCTCACTCAGGGTACGGACATCACTTATGCTGAGGGTAGCCTCAGGCCCTCCCCCCACTGGAACCCTGGAGCTACCCCCTAGTTCTTCATCTTCATCATCCTCACAGGTCAACACCAGATCTTCCTCCTCCTCTTCCTCCTCCAGATCTGGGTCTTGGGGAACCAGGGGTGTTGGCGCTGGGCAATTACCACCTCGCTTCACGTATACCCAGTGTTTCTGTGGCATGATGCTAGGGGGTGTGTAGGTGGGTCTCCGGAGCCCAGCCCCAGGAACCACTGCCCCCCTCCCATCCCCACCATCATCGCACAGCTCATCTGCCTCCAGCAGCAGCTTTCCAGATGTGGCCCCTCCACTGCCAACGACAGGGGCTGGGAATACAGGGCCACCTCCTCGACGCTCCCCACTGCCCACTGCAGAAGCTGCAAATGCCTCTTGGGAGGAAGATGAGAAATCAGTGGACTCCCTGGGGCTGAAGTAGTTGCTGCTGCTGGGAGATTGATTCTCACTGGCCCGGCTGGAGGCATGGGAGCGCGCAGAGCCCATGGTAGCAGGGGCCACAGTGCCCCCACTCCCGGATGGCACCCCAGCACCAGGGACAGTGACAGAGGTGGCTGCAGCAGTAGTGATGGTGGTGGTAGCTGAGGCCCGGCCTTCTCGGAGTAGTTCAGTGCACTTGTCCACAATGTGCCACATTTGGAGCACAGACCCCACTGTAAGGAAGTTGACAATGTCAGCAGCAGCCATGCTGAGGCGGCCAGTGTAAGCGGAGGCTAGGACAGTCTCAAAGGCGCCTGGGTCCATGACACTGGGCAGCGAGATGGAGGTCATGCCTTTGAGTAGGACCTGATCATGGAAGTAAGGGGAGGAGGCAGCCAGGACAGCCCGATGAGCCCGGAACTCCCGGCCCTGCACTCTGATAGATACATCGCAGAGCTGGCCCTGCAGACGCTGCTGATTGAGGGACTCCAAGAGGGCACTGGTCACCTCAGGGAAGGACACATGTACCACTGCAGCTGCTGGCAGGGGTAGTGGGGGCGGAGCCAGCGACAGCGGCAGGGGAAGTGCTGCCCCACTGGGAGACAGAGGAGATGGCTCCATGTTGTGGAGGGAGGGGATACCCCCCCAGCCACAGGAACAAAGAAAGGAGGAGGGCGGCCGGGGGGGTCTCTGGGAAGAAAAAGAGAAAAGAATAATGATAACATCTCATAACGACACAGCCCGTTACAACTCAAAAATATGTTCACGCTCATTATCTGTGTAACTCCCCACAACAGTGAGGTAGGTATTCCTCTCAACCCCATTTGACAGATGAGGAAACTAAAGCTCAGAAAGATTAAGAGATTATCCAAGGTCACACAGCAAGTGGCAGCGCCAGCAAACACAGGTATCTGACAAATCTTGTGCCCTTTCCTTGGAGGTTAGAGAAATAAGGTGCTCTTAGGGGCTGGAGTGGCTTCCTTCGGAATTATACCCTATTTCCGACTTACCTGAGAGCCTGACATTCCAAAATCTACCTTTTTGGTGTTTTGCACCCACTTTTTGGGAGGGGGCAGGGCAGCTCTGCTACTGAAAACCAACGCTTGCTCCATCTCCCCTCAGGCTATGCCCCCCAAGCTCTCTCGCCGACCACGCCCCCTTTCGCCCCAGCTTCTCTAGCCCCGCCCCTTTCCAGGCCCACCCCCCCGTGCCCCGCCCACTATCGGGCCTTTCGACCCCGCCCCTTGTCTACCTCCGCCCACAACGGACCCCGCCCCCCCCCGCTCCGCCCCAAGCGCTACCTCGGCCTCTTCTCCCACCCGGAAGGCGCCCCCCAACCTCGCGCGTCCCCGCTTACCGGGCCGCGCGCCCCCGGGCCCCCCCCGCCCCTCACTCGGCGGCCAGAGCAGCAACCTGGGCCCCTCCCGCCGCCATCTTGCGCCGACTCCCTCCGCCCTCCGCCTCCGCTCCGCCTCCCGCCCCTCCGCCTTTAAAGGCACAGCCGGGCACCCCGCCCGTGCCGCTGGGCAATACTCGGCCGACTCGGCCACTTTGCCTTTAAAGAAACATCGCCACATTCCACCTTAAAAGATCAGGTCCCCTCCTCCGCTGGGAGCTCAGGACTTGGTTCGGCCGAAGCATTTATTCCCCTTTAAAGCTATAAGCCTGCCTTTTCCCATTGGCGATGGGTCCAGGTATCGTTCCCCAGGCTCCGCCTCTGAGCTGTGACCATTAGCTGGTTGGTGGGATCTAATCGCCCTCTTCCTAGCTCCTTACAGTCCCACTGAAGCCCCGCCCCCTTTCTCCGGGCCTGGATTGGCTAAATAACCTTGAGTCGGCCCCTCATTGGCTTTCTCACTCCTACTGCACGAAGTGAAAAAGTAAAGTGCGTTAAGGCGGCTGAAGCACTTAAAAAAAAAAAAAAGTACTGCCTGAACAACGTGGCGAAACCCCGTCTCTACAAAAAATACAAACAACAAAAACAAAAATTAGCCAGGCATGGTGGCACGCGCCTGTAGTCCCGGCTACTCGGGAGGCTGAGGCATTATCGCTTGAGACTGGGAGGTCCAGGCTGCAGTGAGCTGTGATCTCACCACTGCACCCTGGCCTGGGCGACACAGCGAGACAAAAAAAAAAAAAAAAAAAAAAAGGCCAGGCTAGAAAGGACAGAGCGGGACTACCCCGGGGATACTGGGCTAACCCTGAGCAAGGGGACAGCTAATGCCAATCTGTAACAGTAGAAGGACAAGAAAAAGACAGTGATACAGTAAGAAAAGAACTTTATTGTTTATTAATGTTTCTGTGTAAAACTTAAGCTTTTTTTTTTTTTTAAAGAAACACCACCAAAAGGGGATTAGCTTAGTCCATCCCTTCCTCAGTCATCTGCTTCCCACCTTCCTCCAAATGTTATCCCAGAACATTCTGGAGGCAGGGAGAAGGGGAGGCAGCTAATCAGAGTCTGAGAGCACGATGATCTCTTCTGGATCGCATTGTGTGGCCACACTTGTCTGCAGGGAAGTGAGAGACAAAGAGTCAAAGAGATCTGGAGTACAGGAGAAAAGAAACAGGAGGATTTAGAGGATAAAATGGGTGGGAAAAAGGAAGAGACAGGATGTGGCACGTGGAATATTCAGACAGAGCAGCTGAAACAGCCAATGAAAGAGAACAAATTGTCAGAGGAAACACGCCCTCCCCTTCTTACCTTGCAAGTACCAGGCCGAGGAGGCTGTGAATGGGGGGTTTGGGACAGCCGGGCTGGAGAAGGGATGCAGAGGGAGCTGGTCACCAGGCCATGGCTGGGAGAGTCCACCCTCGTGGAGGAATCAGCAACTGGGGCCAAGGAAGCCAAGGGGGAAGGTGGGCTGGGCAGGGTACATATCTTTTTCCCATTCTTCTCATGCACTGACCTTTGCCTTTCCACATAGCTAGAAACAGAAACATAAATATGTGGAGGGGTACGGGAAGACTGAGGCTGGAGGGGGGCAGTCCAGTCTCTCCCAGCAGACTCAGTTCCCCAGTATTGCTCTCCGAAAGTCCCCTGCAATCCCTCCTTGGCTTCCCTCTTCCTCCTCCTCTTGTTATTACCTGTTTCCTAATGGCCCTGATCCTGTTTGCTTCTTCTCCTTCCGAGATTTTTTGCAGGGGGGACCAGAATCTCCCCAGTTGTGAGGAGAGACGCCTCCATTGAAGGAAGTAGAAGAGACCATGCCTGCTCCATTCTCTAAGACAGTGGTGAAGGGCTCCTCTGATTGCTTCCTGGAAGAGGAAATGTCCGTCTCCACAGAGGAAGGGGTATCCAGGGGCAAAGCTTCAATCTCTAGCTCAAAGAGCTGAGACACAGGGCTTTCTTCCTCCAGGGTCAGCTCCTCAGGCTGTTCTCCATTGCTTTCAGCATCTATGCTGGAGGGGGCCAGGGGTTCTTCTGACAGTAACGATGGTGACACTATGCGTCCTTTGTTTTGCTGCTCCCCTGAAGATCTGCTGATCTGTTTGCCAGGTTCCAGGTTCTTTTCATTGGAGATCTGTAGTGAGGACATGGGGCTCTTGTCTCCATCTTTACCTGGAAAAGAAGAAAAGGGGAGAGGGTAGCCTGAGAATGAGGGGGAAAAAATACTGCTGAGAGGACACTAGGAGGAGGAAGGGAAAGGTTTCAAACAGGTGGCTCATGCCTAACAAAACAGAAATGACAGGTGAGGAGAATGTTCCCTTGACATACCTGCTGCTGCTTCTTCCTCTTCGTCCTCCTCTTCATCATCCTCCTGACCCTCCTGCATCTGTTCCAGATCCTCCTCCTCTTCAGAATCTGTGGCCTCCTCCTCTTCTTCTTCCTCCTCCTCCTCCTCTTCCTCATCACTCTCCTCATCGTCTTCGTCATCTGTCTCAGCTCTGGAGGCAGAAGGGCACCCCTGGGATGCCATTCCACTAGGGCCCTGGGAGACAAAGAAGTTTCTCTAAGGAATCCCTTGCCCCAGAGGGTTTGGTTCTTGCTTTCCTTCTCATGCTCCCCCATCAGTCAACCTGGACTCCCTGGTGGCCAGTGCAGGGGAAGGACAATGTCTCTCTGAAGGCTGTACCCCATCCACACCTCACCAGAATCCAAGGAGGCTTCGGGGGTGTCTGCAGAGTGGGAAGAGGTGCCTTGGAGCCGAGCTCTTCTCTTTTTTCTCTCGCCCTCCTCACTTTTGTCTTGCAACATTGCATATTTGGAGATGACCTCATCCAGCCGACTCATGGCCAAACTCCGGTTTTCCCGAAGGCGCCGGGCCAACACAGGATCTGATAGTGCAGGGTCAACGCCTACGTGGGAAGACATAAAGTCAGAGCACTCAGCCCTTGAAGGGACTAGAAGAGTAAAAACCCTAGAAAGGACTAGAGAGATGCCCCATCCGCCTCATACCTGACATATAAGGGTCACTGAGAGGCATCCCACCAACCCCCTACCTGGCCTATAGTCATCTGTGAGGTGGCAGCCAAAGTTGTAGATGAGATCGAGGTGACGTCGCTCCTGTAACCTGATGCCCACATCTCGGAAGGCATCCTGAGCCATGAGCTGGAGCTGCTGTCGGGGGAGGCCAAGGCTGTGTCGGGCAGCTGCCTTCTCTACAGCCCGAAGCACATCCCCATAGTCAGGGAAGGTATCAGGCCCTGGCTTGTTGATGAGCCGCTCAATGCGCCTGTTAACCTCTGGGTAGCGGGTGCCACGGTAGGGGATGCGCTGCTCTATGACACGGCCGGTCAGTGAAGAGCAGTCTTTCAGCTCACATAGTCGCCCAAAGAGGCGGATCAGCTTACGCTTCAACCGTGCCTCCTGCAGGTATGCGGAGTCTGGGTCATCCAATTCTGAGAGATCCAACTCCTTTTCCTGCAGCCGCCGGATCTCTGCCACATAGAGCGCCAGCAGCTGCTCCAAACGCTGGATCTGCCGCCGGGAACCACGGGTCCTTGGAGACTGAGAGGCAGTGTTTTCAGCATTTGTGGGGTCCAAGGAGAGGTGTGTGGGAGGGTTATTCCCAGAGGGCTCATTGGAGGTGGTGGCGGCAGGGGCCAAGTTCAGCTTCTTTTTGGCTGAGTGGGCCTTGAGAACAGTGCAGAGCTCATTGATGTAGACATAGAGCTTGGCTGGCCGGCTCCGGGCCCGAGACAGGACCCTAGAGAGGATGTTGCAGAACTCCGCCGAGGCCAAAAACAGAGAGTGGGCACGTTGCTGCCGGTTATAGAGGAATGGGACCACCTCAGGGTGGTCTGCTGTCTGCATCTTACAAAGTTCAAGGAACTAGAAGGTTCAGGGGAAGAAGGAAGGGGAAGAGAGACAAGGGAGGGGGTTGAGAGAAAGGGGAGGTGGGGTTAGTGGGAAAGAAAGGACAGGAGAACCAGTCAGCCATCCCCCTCCCTGGGGTACAACAATCTTCCCCGCTAAAGCTCACCTCTTCGAACAGCTTCTCATTCTCCAGCTTGTAGCATTTCTTGCCGCCCGAACTACTGCTTCCTCTGGCCCCATGAGGCTCAGAGGAGCTAGGGGCTTCTGCCCCAGGTGAGGCCGCATTGGGGAGTGGGTGGGAGGGCCCTGGCTGAGCAGCTGCTTCATCTTCGTCATCATCATCCAGCACGATGATGCTGTTAGCGGTGGCCATAGGGGATCAAATCCCCCGGAGGGAGGAAGTGGTGGGGATTTCAGAATTCCTGCTGGAAGGGGATGGGGCCTCAGAATGAGCCCCTCCAGCATAGCCCCATCCCTTCACCTCACACATTTTCTGAACTCCTTGGGTTTCAGTAACATCCAGCCCTGACCAACACTGTCTTCACCACCTGATTTCAATAACCATTAGTTCTATATGCTTTTTGGGGCCCTTCAAGTGGTGTGGGGGGGGGGCAAACCACCCCCACACCTTAAGTTGCCACCTTCTGCTCCACCCCTCACGTCGATTTCCGGTCTTTCTGTTGCATTTCCCCCCTATTTCTTAGAGTTGGCAAGTTGATTCTTCCTCCCACACTGCACCCCAAATCGTCCTGACACCCCCTTGCACAGACAACACACTCCTGTGGGCGCCACCTCATGTGTTTGCCCCCTCTGCTCTCAAACAAGTCAACCCCACACCCACCCTATCCTGAATGATCACCCCAACTCCTAGACTCTCTGAGGTGAAAGAGGTTCCCTCCCAACAGTCCGTTCTCTTTTCTCCTCCTTGAATTATCTCCATATTTCACCCTCCGATGAGTCTCCTCAAACTGGGGCTTTAGGTTGAAGATATTTTACCCAAGTCCCCTCCCTTTCACCCCACCCTAATTTTCCCCATTCTCTCGGTGACCCGTAACTGATCAAAAGTCCCCCCGCACCGCGCTACGCTCTCGCGATTCCTCTTAGATCCCAACCGTGGGTCCGGCCGGTCCGCTAGATGCGCTTCCCGCCAAATCCCCCTCCCCCAGTTCAGCCCCCGGCCGCTCCACTCCCTTTCAGGGACAGGAAGGTACCACAGCTTTCCCCTCAGACTCAGCGCCCAGCTCTCCCCAATACCTCTCCCTCTATATCCCCGCCCCCGCCTCTGATCCCCGCACCGTCCGGCCCCCACCTCAGAAACCGTCTCTCGAGGCGACCCTCGCCGCAATTCTCAGAACCTCGCATGGTTCCCTCCGCCTTCCTTCCCACTCCCACCGCAGGCCCCACTACGGACCGGAAGTCACAGAGTTTCCGCCTTCATGCAACTAAGCGCCGCCATATTGTCGTACGGAACACAGGCTTCCTGTGGCCGGAGGTGACAGTAGGCCCGCCCCGCGAACACCTCCAGTGCGGCCCACATAGTCAGCGGTCTCTTCCAGGTCGGAGTTTGTCTCCCCGAACCCAGGCGTCCCAAAGCAGCTGGGGGCCGCCATTTTGCCGTACGGCACTGGCTACGCCCGGACTCCGGTGCGCAGCCAGTGGAGCTCTTTTCACCCGGTGCTTCTACGACTCCGCCAATCAGAAACTTCCTGCCTGGGGCCCAACCGCCGGAGAGTAGCGCGTAGGGAGGACCGAGCCTCGTTTCCAAGGAGGGGCAGGGGAACCGAACAGGGTGGATTAGGAATTGGGCTTTCCAAAGCTGTGCAGAGTTTCAGGGAAGGGCAGAAGTCTCTTAAAAGGGAAGTAAAACCTTTTCTTTCAGTTGGGCTATTGGCAAGCTATCTGGCCCTGCTTTCCTGTCCCCCAGGTTCCCATTTCCACGGCTTATTCGGCTGACCCAGCCCCTTCCCCTGCAAGGGCGGCGCGCTCCTTGCCGCTGTCCAGCAGCTGTTTCTACTGCCAGGTGCTGCGTCCCGCGATCGTTATAACACATGCGTACAAATGAGCACAACGCGCCATAAAAGTGTTATTGTTATTACTATTGTTGCTGATTTGCTTTTCAAGCTTCACCACAGAACTAATGACCAGCCAGACCGTTGGGACCTGAATGGTTCTTCTCCAGAGGGGGTCCTCGAAGGGCCGTCTGTGCTGACCAGGTGGCCGTGCTTTGTCGTGGGAGGCCTAGGGTCTGCGGATGGGCGATGATGGGGTGGGGCTTGGAGGAGAGTTTGTGCAAATTGCCGCTGCGAGGGCTGCTGTGAGGCGAAATGAGGCTCATAAAATACTTTGGGTCTCCTCCTCCTCCTCTTCGGGGAGAGGGGAAAAAAGAATGAAGGATGAAGAAACAGATTTGATACCCA
The DNA here is from genome assembly GCF_000001405.40 of Homo sapiens. Classification (NCBI taxonomy): domain Eukaryota; kingdom Metazoa; phylum Chordata; class Mammalia; order Primates; family Hominidae; genus Homo; species Homo sapiens. The sequence continues at coordinate 33,323,970 of NC_000006.12, forward strand.
CCTCGTTGTGTTTAGGGAGGCTGGAGGGACTCGTGGAGGCAAGGCTGGGTCCAGAGGTGAGCTTATGAGGAAACCAGAAAGATTAACAGGGTCCCAATCGCTAAGATTCCCATTTCCACAAGTGGTGGGCATCTTGCCACTTAACTAGGGTCACAGAGCTTATTAGATCCCTAACGCTGAGTCCTAGAATCGCAAACACCCGTCCGTTGAACAATCCCACATCACTTCTCTCCAGTCGTCAAAGTCTACAGCTTTCAAAATGGGGAACATAAAAACTCTCCGCGAGGACTGGGACTTGGAAGATGTAAGGGATTTAATTTCAAGAACCTCAACTTTCCCAAAATTGGTCTTCCTAAGGAAACACCTGCAGTACAGGTTCTCATTCTTCACTTCTCCTTTTACAATAGAGTCACCCTCTTAAGAAAAAAAAAAAAAAGAATAGTTCTCTTTTTTCCCCTCCCCCCTCAAAAGTATAGTTCTCAACCATGAAATCTCCTGGGGGTAATCTTACCTGTTTAAAATAAAGGGAAATGTACCCTGTTTCTTTCACCAAGGCACCATGAATACCACCTTTTCTTTTTTTTTTTTTTTTTTTTCCTTTCTTTTGTCTTTTTTTTTTTTAAATGCAGGGTCGGCCGGGCGCGATGGTTCACGCCTGTAATCCCAGCACTTTGGGGGTCCGAGGTGGGCGTATCATGGGGTCAAGAGATCGAGACCATCCTGGCCAACATGGTGAAACCCCGTCTCTACTAAAAATACAAAAAAATTAGCTGGGCGTGGTGGCAGGCGCCTGTAGCTCCAGCTACTCAGGAGGCTGAGGCAGGAGAACCGCTCGAATCCGGGAGGCGGAGGTTGCAGTAAGCCGAGATCGCGTCATTGCACTCCAGCCTGGGCGACAGAGCGAGATTATCTCAAAAAAAAAAAAAAAAAAAAAAAAAAAAAAGGAAAAAAAAAGGGTCTTGTTCTATCACCCAGGCTGGAATGCGGTGGTACGGTCATAGCTCACTGTAACCTCAAATTCCTGGGCTCAAGCCATCCTCCCACCTCAAGTAGCTAGGACTACAGGCGCACACCACCTCACCTGGCTAATTTTTTTAAAAAAAGTTTTTTGTGGAGGCTGGGCGCGGTGGCTCATGCCTGTAATCCCAGAACTTTGGGAGGCCGAGGCGGGCGGATCACCTGAGGTCGGAAGTTTGAGACCAGCCTGGCCAACATGGTGAAACCCCGTCTCTACTAAAAACACAAAAATTATCTGGGCTTGGTGGCACGCGCCTGTAGTCCCAGCTACTCGGGAGGCTGAGGCAGGAGAATCGCTTGAACCCGGGAGGCGGAGGTCGCAGTGAGCTGAGATCAGCCACTGCACTCCAGCCTGGCGACAGAGCAAGACTCTGTCTCAAAAAAAAAAAAAAAAAGGTTTTTTATAGCGACAGGGTCTTACTGTGTTGCCCAGATGGATCTTGAGCTCCTTGCCTCAAGCAATCTTCCCACCTCAGCGTCTCAAAGTGCTGGGATTATGGGCGTGAACCGCCACTCCCAGACTACTATCTTATTAAATATTTCTTTTTAACAGTTATAAAAATGTTTACGATCGGCCAGGCACGGTGGCTCACGCCTGTAATCCCAGCACTTTGGGAGGCCGAGGCAGGAGGATCACGAGGGCAGGAAATCGAGACCACCCTGGCTAACACGGTGAAACCCTGTCTCTACTAAAAATACCAAAAAAAAAAAAAAAAAAAAATTAGCTGGGCGTGGTGGTGGGCGCCTTGTAGACCCAGCTACTCCGGAGGCTGAGGCAGGAGAATGGCGTGAACCCGGGAGGCGGAGCTTGCAGTGAGCCGAGATCGCGCCACTGCCCTCCAGCCTGGGCGACAGAGCGAGACTCCGTCTTAAAAAAAAAAAAAAAAGTGTACGATCACATGTTTATAAGAACATTCTGTTCTTATAATAATTGTAACAGTAACTCCTCCAGAATAATTTTTAACAACTAGAGTCTTACAATCACAAGAAAGATATTTTTCATCTCAATTAATATACATGTATATGCAGGAAGATGTAAAAGATTGGTCAATAAAGGACTTTCAAGTATAAAAGCATAAAGTTTGTGGGGAAGTGGAGTAGTAGTAGGAGCTCAAGGAAAAAAGAGGTGATGAAAGAAAAAAGGAATGATTCCCAACTGGTAAGAACTAATTTATACTTTTTTTTTTTTTTTGAGATGGAGTCTTGCTCTGTCGCCCAGGCTGGAGTTCAATGGCACAATCTCTGCTTACTGCAACCTCCCACTCCCGGGTTTAAGCGATTCTCCTGCCTCAACCTCCTGAGCAGCTGGGATTACAGGCACACAACACCATGCCCAGCTAATTTTTTGTATTTTTTGTATTTTTTTTTTTTAGTGGATATGGGTTTTTGGCATGTTGGCCAGGCTGGTCTCAAACTCCTGACCTCGTGATCCACCCAACTCAGCCTCCCAAAGTGCTGGGATTACAGGCGTGAAGCACCGTGCCCGGCCATCACTATGATATTTCAATTCCACTGGACAATAAATGGTGATCTAATTGTTTTATTTTAAAATGTGGGGCCAGGCATGGTGACTCATGCCTGTAATCCTACCACTTTGGGAGGCCGAGGCGGGCAGATCACTTGAGGTCAGGAGTTCGAGACCAGCCTGACCAACATGAGGAAACCTCGTCTCTACTAGAGATACAAAAAATAGCCAGGCGTGGTCGTGGGCGCCTGTAATCCCAGCTATTTGGGAGCTGAGGCAGGGGAATCCCTTGAATTTGGGAGGCAAAAGTTGCAGTGAGCCAAGATCACGCCACTGCACTCCAGCCTGGGCGATAGAGCAAGACTCTGTCTCAAAAAATAAAAAAATAGGCCGGGCGTGGTGGCTCAAACCTGTAATCCCAGCACTTTGGGAGGCCGAGGCAGGCAGATCACCTGAGGTCAGGAGTTCGAGACCAGCCTGCCCAACATGATGAAACCCCGTCTCTACTAAAATTACAAAAAAATTAGCTGGGTGTAGTGGCGGGCGCCTGTAGTCCCAGCTATTTGGGAGGCTGAGGCAGGAGAATCGCTTGAACCCGGGAGGCAGAGGTTGCCGGAAGCCAAGATCGCACCACTACACTCCAGCATGGGCAACACAGAGAGACTGTGTCTCAAAAAAATAAATAAATAGGCCAGGTGCAGTGGCTCATGCTGTAATTCCAGCACTTTGGGAGGCCGAGGCAGGCAGATCACGAAGTCTAGGAGTTCGAGACCAGCCTGGCCAATATGGTGACACCCCCGTCTCTACTAAAAATACAAAAATTAGCTGGGCGTGGTGGCTCGCGCCTTTAGTCCCAGCTACTTGGGAAGCTGAGGCAGAAGAATCGCTTGAACCCAGGAGGCGGAGATTTCAGTGAGCCAAGATGGTGCCACTGCACTCCAGCCTGGGTGACAGAGCAAGACTCTGTCTCAAAAAATAAATAAATAAAATAAAATGTGGCCAGCTGTGGCTCACCGCCTATAATCCTAGCACTTTGGGAAGTTGAGGTGGGTGGATTGCTTGATCTCAGGATTACAGACCAGCCTAGGCAACATAGTGAGACCTCATCTCAATAAATCAATAAATAGGCTGGGCGCAGTGGCTCATGCCTGTAATCCCAGCACTTTGGGAGGCTGAGGTGGGCGGATCACTTGAGGTCAGGAGTTCCAGACCAGCCTTGCCAACATGATGAAACCTTGTCTCTACTAAAAATACAAAAATTAGCTGGGCACGGTGGCACACACCTGTAGTCCCAGCTATTTGGGGGCCTGAGGCAGGAGAATCGCTAGAATCTGGGAAGTGGAGGCAGGCTGCAGTGAGCAGAGATCACTGCCACTGCACTCCAGCCTGGGCAACAGGAGACTCTGTCACAAAAAAAAAAAAAAAAAAAGAGTTCAAGACCAGCGTGGCCAACATGGTGAAATCCCCATCTCTACTAAAAATATAAAAATTAGGGGTGCTGGTGCACACCTGTGGTCCCAGCTACTCAGGAGGCTGTGGCAGGAGAATTGCTTGAACCCCAGAGGCAGAGGTTGCAGTGAGCCGAGATTGCACCACTGCACTGCAGCCTGGGCGACAGAGCAAGACTCCATCTCAAAAAAAAAATAAAAATTAAAAAATAAATAAAATGTGAATATTTTCAATATGCCAGAATTACATCCTTGAAACAATTTTTATTTATTTATTTTTATTTTTATTTATTTATTTATTTATTTTTGGAAGGAGTCTCGCTCTGTCACCCAGGCCGGAGTGCAATGGTGCGATCTCGGCTCACTGCAACTGCCTCCCGGGTTCAAGCAATTCTCCTGCCTCAGCCTCTGAGTAGCTGAGGCAGAGAATCAGGTGCCCACCAACTTTCCCGGCTAATTTTTGTATTTTTAGTAGACATGGGGTTTCACCATATTTGCCAGACTGGTCTTGAACTCCTGACTTTAGGTGATCCCCCTGCCTTGGCCTCCCAAATTTCTGGGATTACAGGCATGAGCCACTGTGCCCGGCCACAATTTTAATTTATGATGAAAATTTTTAGATACCTACTTAAAGATATATGAAGGAGTATATACTTCTTCAAAATTATTTCCCTGAGTATAGGTGCAGAATTTAAGACTGCTGCCCTGGCCGGGCGCAGTGGCTCACACCTGTAATCCCAGCGCTTTGGGAGGCCAAGGCAGGCAGATACCTGAGGTCGGAGTTGGAGACCTGCCTGACTAACATGGAGAAACCTTGTCTCTACTAAAAATACAAAATTAGCAGGGGGCGGTGGCGCATGCCTGTAATCCCAGCTACTCAGGAGGCTGAGGCAGGAGAATCCCTTGAACCCTGGAGGCAGAGGTTGCAGTGAGCCAAGATTGTGCCATTGCACTCCAGCCTAGGTAACAAGAGCAAAACTCCATCTCAAAAAAAAAAAAAAAAAAAAAAAGACTGCTGCCCTAAGCTATCCAAGCATCTCCTCCATAGCCCCCAACACTCCCATTTCCCTCCTGTCTCCCCTCTCACCTCCTTGGTGGGGAAAGAAGATGTTTATAGGAAAGGTGGTCACAATTCCAGCTCCTCCTCCTTCTGAGGTGTCCCCAGGAGCCAGTCCCCTAACTTTGCCCATAGTAGTAACCACAGCAGCTTATAAGCAGCCTCCAGCATCAGCAGTGTCAGGAAGAGGGCCAGGAAGATAAAGAAAGCCTTGTCCAAGGCACGTCGCACGGGACCCCTGGGAGGGGAGGGACCCTGGGCAAATGCCAGGAACACATCCGCCTCGTCCACATCACCTTCCTCTGCCATCCTGACTCACAGTCAGACAGCTGGCTGGATCAGGGGGCTGGGATGCAAGGCCTTGCTCAGCACTGCCAGGATTAAGGAGCATGGCTGTGGCAAGTCCTGCACCTGCCAGTCCTGACCTTAATTCCCACACCTAAGAGAAAAGAGAAAGGACCCTATGAGCCTTCAGATCAATTATTTAAACATCCAGTGTGATGTGAAAGGTCTGGACTAAATGATCCATGAACTCTATTCAGCTTTTTCATAGTATAATTCTGTGATTTGGAAACTGAAGGCCCAACATGAAGGCATAAGCTAGAACTGCCTGTCACTCTGGGTCTCAAGTCTCAAAGACTCAAGGCTCAAAATCTTGGGCCCCAACTGATAGAGAGTGAGGAAATGGACCTACCATGCATCTGTGAGCCATGGTCAGTCAAGGATCTAAAGCCCCTTCTGGCTGGATGGTAGGGGGTGAGATGGTCTATCCTAACCAAGGCGGGTAGGAACAAGCAGAGGGGACTTGAGTTCTCACAGGAGTAGTTCTCCCCACTGGGTCTGCAGGCAGCTAAGTTTGAGATGGTATAACCCAGAACACTCTCTTCCTAACTTTTGGTCTCTGCAGTACCAAGGGAGGATTATCATTGACTGCATGAGCCCAAGGGGAGGCTTATAAAAAGACAAAGACCGTGATGGATCAGCAGGGCAAGGGTATGTGATTGGGACTTGGCTGTTGGGTTGGGGTTATTTTACTTTACTTTACTTATTTATTTACAGACGGAGTCTCGCTCTGTCTCCCAGGCTGGAGTGCAGTGGCACGATTTCGGCTCACTGCAACCTCTGTCTCCTGGGTTCAAGAAATTCTCCTTCCTCAACCTCCCAAGTAGCTGGGACTACAGGCATGTGCCACCATGTCCGGCTAATTTTTTTGTATTTTTAGTAGAGACGGGGTTTCACCATGTTGGTCAAGCTGGTCTGGAACTCCTGACCTCAAATGATCCACCCACCTTGGCCTCCCAAAGTGCTGAGATTACAGGTGTGAGCCACTGCACCCAGCCAGGGTAATTTTAAAGAAGAGTGAAGTTTTGCCATCGATGGTCCAGGTCTCAGAGGCTACCAGTGGAGGATGTGGTTGAGGAGGTTGTAGGAGCAAGGACTGAAGACCTTTTCTTTTCTTTCTTTTTTTTTTTTTTTTTTGACTGATTGAAGACCTTTTCTTAGGCCAGGCGTGGTGGCTCACGCCTGTAATTCCAGCACTTTGGGAGCCCGAGGCGGATGGATCAATTGAGGTCAGGAGATCAAGACCAGCCTGGCCAACATGGTGAAACACTGTTTCTACCTAAAATACAAAAATTATCCGGGAGTGGTGGCGCATGCCTGTAATCCCAGCTACTCGGGAAGCTGATGCAGGAGAATCTCTTGAAACTGGGAGGCGGAGGTTGCCATGAGCTAAGATCATGCCACTGCAACTGCACTCCAACCTGGGTGACAGAGTGAGACTCCGTCTCAAAAAAATAAAAATAAAAAAAGAAGATGTTTTATTGACCCTGTTCCCCAGGCATTGGCCTGAAGGTTGGGTAATGAAATTGAAGCCCATCTGGAAACAAGGGATTCGCCCAAGTGAGGCTGAGGGAGGGGAGGGGGAACGGTGGAGGAAGCAGTGTGTGTAGTAGTGAACCTTATACTGGGAACCTTTGGAGCCTCCTACCTAAACTATTTCATTTTCATTTTCACCTCAATAGGAAGATCTTGTTCCTTTTTTTTTTTTTTTTAACCGGATCTTTTTTTTTTTTGAGATGGAGTCTCGCCCTGTCCCCCGGGCTGGGGTGCAATGGCACGATCTCGGCTCACTGCAACCTCCGCCTCCCGGGTTCAAACCATTCTCCTGCCTCAGCCTCCCAAGTCGCTGGAATTACAGGTACGTGCCACCACGCCTGGCTAATTTTTTGTACCTTTAGTAGAGACGGGGTTTCACAGTGTAGGCCAGGCTGGTCTCGAACTCCTGACCTCGTGATCCACCCACCTCAGCCTCCCAAAGTGCTGGGATTACAGGCATAAGCCACCGCACCCGGGCTACAGGATCTTGCTCTGTCACCCAGGCTGGAGTGTAGTGGCTCAAACGTGGCCCACTGCAGCCTTGATCTCCCCAGCTCAAGCAATCCTCCCATCTTAGCCTCCTGAGTAGTTGGGACCACAGGTGTGTGTCACCACGCCTGGCTCATTTTTGAATTTTGTAGAGACAGGGTCTTTCTATGTTACCCAGGCTGGTTTTTAACTCCTGAGCTTATTAAACAATCCTTCCACCTCAGCCTCCCATCATTCTGGAATTACAAGCATAAGCCACCATGCCTAAGAATACCTTCTTTACTTGGGAAGTCAGGTCACCCCCCAAAAGAGCAGAAATGATGTTATAATGTTGTTTTGAGGGCTGGGCGCGGTGGCTCACGCCTGTAATCCCAGCACTTTGGGAGGCCGAGGTGGGCGGATCACAAGGTCAGGAGATTGAGGCCATCCTGGCAAACACGGTGAAACCCCGTCTCTACTAAAAATACAAAAAATTAGGCCAGGCGCGGTGGCTCACGCCTGTAATCCCAGCACTTTGGGAGGCCGAGGCGGACAGATCACGAGGTCAGGAGATCGAGACCATCCTGGCTAACACGGTGAAACCCCGTCTCTACTAAAAATACAAAAAATTAGCCAGGTGTGATGGCGGGTGCCTGTAGTCCCAGCCACTTGGGAGGCTGAGGCAGGAGAATCACTTGAACCCGGGAGGCAGAGTTTGCAGTGAGCCAAGATCATGCCACTGCACTCCAGATTGGGCGATACAGTGAGACTCCGTCTCAAAAAAAAAAAAAAAATACAAAAAATTAGCCGGCTGTGGTGGCGGGAGCCTGTAGTCCTAACTACTCGGGAGGCTGAGGCAGGAGAATGGCATGAACCCCAGAGGCGGAGCTTGCAGTGAGCCGAGATTGCTCCACTGCACTCCAGCCTGGGCGACAGAGCGAGACTCTGTCTCAAAAAAAAAATGTTGTTTCAAGTCATGCCGCATTGTCTTTTGCTGCAGCTGCAAAGGAGTCTCGAAAAAGTGAAAAAACCCTGGACTAGAATTTAAACTGATCACTTAGTTGTGTGAAGCTGTGGACAAGTCACATGACCTTTCTTTAGTGTTTTGTTTTGTAATAAAATCAGAAAAAGCTCTTGCCTCCCAGAATTATTCTGAGAGATAAATGAAATAAAGGTTTTTTGATGTTGTTGGTTTTTTGTAAATTATAAAGCACTATGTAAATGTAACATATTAATCTGATACCCTCACTTACATCCCAGGCAAGTGTGCAATAAGGCCACACAAACACCTTTATTGTCTCTTTACATGGTAGGTTCAGCACCAACATCTTGTGTAATAAATAAACCTAGCATCTTGTTGGAATTTTTTTAATTTTGAAATAATTTTCAGCTTACAGAAAAATTTAAGAACAGTTCCAAGAACTTTGGCATGTACCTCTTTCACTCAGATTTTCCATTTGTCAACACTTGGCTGTATTTGTTCCATCTCGCTCTCAACCCCAGTATAACCATGTGTTACAGGTTGAATTGTGTCTCCTAAAAATTCATATGTTGTGCAGCCATAAAAATGAATAAGGGCTGGGCTGGGCGCAGTGTCTCATGCCTGTAATCCCAGCACTTTGGGAGACCGAGGCGGGCAGATCACAAGTTCAAGAGATCGAGACCATCCTGGTTAACACACTGAAAGCCCATCTCTACTAAAAATACAAAAAACTAGCCGGGTGTGGTGGTGGGCGCCTGTAGTCCTAGCTACTCAGGAGGCTGAGGCAGGGGAATGGCTTGAACCCGGGAGGCGGAGGTTGTGGAGAGCTGAGATCGCACCACTGCACTCCAGTCTGGCAACAGAGTGAGTTGTTGCCAAAAAAAAAAAGAAAAAAGAACAAGATCAGGCCAGGCGCGGTGGCTTATGCCTGTAATCCCAGAACTTTGAGAGGCCAAGGTGGGCAGATCACAAGGTCAGGAGTTTGAGACTAGCCTGGCCAACATGGCAAAAACCCATATCTACTAAAAATACAAAAATTAGCTGGGCATGGTGGCAGGCCCCTATAATTCCAGCTAGTGACATGGGAGGCTGAGGCAGGAGAATCACTTGAACCCAGGGGGCCGAGGTTGCAGTAAGCTGTGATCTCACCATTGCACTCCAGCCCCACTGACAGTACGAGACTCCTCTCAAAAAAAAAAAAAAAAAAAAAAAGGTGAAGAATTCATTTGTTCGCATGTTCTCACTTACAAGTGATGATGAGAATACACGGACACACGGTGGGAAACAACACAACTGGGTCCTGTCTGGGGGAGTGGGGGAAGGAAGGGCACCAGGAAGAATAGCTAATGGATGCTGGGCTTAATACCTGGGTGATGGGATGATCTGTGCAGCAAATCACCATTGCACACGTTTACCTATGTAACAAACCTACACATCGCACACATGTACCCCTGAACTTAAAATAAAAGTCGAAGGAAAAAAATAAAATTTATATAATGAAGTCCTAACTCCCAGTTCCTCAGAATGTAACCTTATTTGGAAATAAGGTTGTTGCATATGTAATTGGTTCAATGAGGTCATACTGGAGTTGAGTGGGCCTCTCACCCCCTTTATAAGAAAGGAAGTTTGGACATAGGCTTGCGGATAGAGAGAATGACATGTGACCATGAAGGCAGAGATCAGGTTGATATGTCAAAGATTGCCAGCAGGCCAGGCACCATGGCTTATGCCTGTAATCCCAGCACTTTGGGAGGCCAACACAGGTGGATCACCTGAGGTCAGGAGTTCGAGACCAGCCTGGCCAACATAGTGAAATCCCATCTCTACTAAAAATACAAAAAATTGGCCGAGCACAATGGCTCACGCCTGTAATCCCAGCACTTTGGGAGGCTGAGGCGGGCAGATCACGAGGTCAGGAGTTCAAGACCAGCCTGGTCAACATGGTGAAACCCTGCCTCTACTAAAAATACAAAAATTGGCAGGGCATGGTCATGGGCACCTGTAATTCCAGCTATTCTGGAGGCAGGAGAATTGCTTGAACCTGGAGGCGGAGGTTGCAGTGAGCTGAGATCGTGTCACTGCACTCCAGCCTGGGCGACAGAGCGAGACTCTGTTTCAGAAAAAAAAAAAAAAAAAAATACAAAATGTTAGCCGGGCGTGGTCGTGGGTGCCTGTAATCCCAGCTACTCAATCGGGAGGCTGAGGCAGGAAAATTGCTTGAACCTGGGAGGCAGAGGTTGCACTGAGCCGAGATCTTGCCATTGCACTCCAGCCTGGGTGACAGAGCAAGATTCCGTCTCAAAACACACACACACACACACACACACACACAAAAGACTGCCAGCAAACCACCGGAAACTAGTAGAAAGGCCTGGAACAGATTCTCCCTTACACCCCTCAGAAAGAACCAACCCTGCCTACACCTTGATCTCAGACTTCCAGCCTCCAGAACTGTAAGGCAATACATTTCTGCTGTTTAAGTCTCCCAGTTTGTGATACTTTGTTATGGCAGCCCTAGCAAACTAAAACACCATTCTAATCAGGAAATCAATATCACTCTTCAATTCATAGATCCCATTCAGATTTCACCAGCTGTCCCAGTAATGACCGCCTCTTCTTTTTTAAATTATCTTTTTTTTTTTTTTTTTTTTGGAGACAGGTCTGTCACCCAGGCTGGAGTGCAGTGGTGCGATCTCGGTGCACTACAACCTCCACCTTCCGGGTTCAAACAATTCTCCTGCCTCAGCCTCCCAAGTAGCTGGGACTATAGGCACACGCCGCCACAGCCAGCTAATTTTTTGTATTTTAGCAGAGACGGGGTTTCGCCATGTTGTTCAGGCTGGTCTTGAACTCCTGAGCTCAGGCAATCCACCCGCCTAGGCCTCCCAAAGTGCAATTATCTTTTCTTTTAACAGCTGTTTTTTTCTTTTTCTTTTTTTTTTTTTTTGAGATGAGGTCTCACTCTGTTGCCCAGGCCAAAGTGCAGTGGTGCTATCAAGAGCTCACTGCAGCCTCAAACTCCTGGGCTCAAGTGATCCTCCCACCTGAGCCTTCCAAAGTGCTGGGACTACAGATGCGTGCCACCATACTTGGCCTATCTGTCCTTTCTAGTCCAGGATCACATACTGCATTTGACTGTCACATATCTATCTGTAGTCTCCTTCAATCTGGGAAGTTCTCAGTCTTTCCTTGTCTCTCATGAATTTGACAGTTTTGAAGAGGTCTTTCATTTCTTTCTTTTTTTTCTTTTCTTTTCTTTTTTTTTTTAAACAGGTTCTTGCTCTGTCGCCCAGGCTAGAGTGCAGTAGCAGGATCATAGCTCACTGCAGCCTCAAATTCCTCGGCTCAAGCAATCCTCCCACCTCAGCATTCTGAGTAGCTGCGGCTACAGGTGTGTGCCAGCACATCCGGGGAATTTAAACATTATTTGTAGGCTGGGCACAGTGGCTCATGCCTGTAATCCCAGCACTTTGGGATGCCGAGGCAGGCAGATCACAAGGTCAGGAGTTTGAGACCAGCCTGGCCAGCGTGGTGAAACCCCATCTCTACTAAAACTCCAAAAAATTAGCCAGGCATGGTGGCACATGCCTGTAATCCCAGCTAGCTACACAGGAGGCTGAGGCAGGAGAATTGCGTGAAACCGGGAGGCAGAGGTCACAGTGAGCCGAGATTGTGCCAATATGCTCCACCCTGGGAGTCAGAGCAAAACTCCATCACAAGAAAAAAAAAAAAAAAGACAGGACTTTCTACTTGCTAGCCTCTCTATTGCTGGCTTTGATGATGTAAGATGCCATATTGGAGAAACCCACATGGCAAGAAACTAGGTGTGGTCTCCAAACACTAACCAACAGGGAACTGAGACCCTCAGTCAAAAAACCCTTTAGAAACTGAATCCTGCAAACAGCTATGTGAGTGAGCTTAGAAGCAGAACCTTCCCCAGTTAAGCTTTATTTTTATTTTTATTTTTATTTTTATTTTTTTTGAGACAGAGTCTTGCTCCGTCACCCAGGCTAGAGTGCAATGTGCTATCTCGCCTCATTGCAACCTCCACCTCCCAGGTTCAATCGATTCTCCTGCCTCAGCCTCCCAAGTAGCTGGGATTACAGGTGCCCGCCACAACACCCAGCTAATTTCTGTATTTTTAGTAGAAACCGGGTTTCACCAGGTGGGCCAGGCTGGTCTGGAACTCCTGACCTCAGGTGATGCACCTGCCTCAGCCTTCCAAAGTGCTGGGATTACATGCATGAGCCACTGAGCCCGGCCCTGAGCTTTCAGATGAGATCACAGGCAACTCATAGACTGCAGTCTTATGAGAGCCTCCGAAGCAGAGGATCCAGCTAAGCTGTTCCCAGATTTCTCCCCCACAGAAGCCATCAGATAACAGTGTGTTGTTTTGAGCCACCGGGTTTTGGGGTAATTTGTTACACAGCAATAGATAACTCATACACTGTGCTAGAATTGAGCACCAGATCTTCAGTAACAGATACACCCATATATTCCTTCCAAATTTATTCTTTTAACATTTATGATATGTGGGGCCTTCTGAAATGTGGGGCTCCAGGCAGGATCTCCTCTTGCTTGGATATAAGAGCAGCACTAGAATTAGTCTATCAGTCTTCACATTTTCTTGCTTGCATGCTCCTTAAAAACATTTTGGAAAATTATGTGCCATTTTGTATATATTTTTATTTGGCATCTAATTTTTTTCCTTGTTGATTTAAATAACTGCAAAGAGTATAACAAATCGGCTTGGTGCAATGGCTCACACCTGTAATCCCAGTACTTTGGGAGGCCGAGGCAGGTGGATAACGAGGTCAGGAGTTCAAGACCAGCCTGGCTAACATAGTGAAACCCTGTCTGTACTAAAAATACAAAAATTAGCTGGGCATGGTGGCGTATGCCTGTAATCCCAGCTACTCGGGAGGCTGAAGCACAAGAATTGCTTGAACCTGGGAGGCGGTGGTTGCAGTGAGCCGATATCATACCACTGCATTCCAGCCTGGGCAACAGAGCGAGACTCCATCTCAGAAAAAAAAAAAGAGTGTAACAGATCTTGTGTCTTATATAAATATTGACATTGTAAAATAAAACTGTCAACTGGGCACGGTGGCTCACGCCTGTAATTCTAGCACTTTGGGAGGCCGAGGCAGGCGGATCACGAGGTCAAGGGATCGAGACCAGCCTGGCCAACATGGTGAAACCCCATCTCTACTAAAAATACAAAAATTAGCTGGGCGTGGTGGCACGCGCCTGTAGTCCCAGCTAATGAGGAGGCTGAGGCAGGAGAATAGCTTGAACCCAGGAGGAGGAGGTTGCAGTGAGCTAAGATCACACCACTGCACTCCAGCCTGGCTGACAGAGCCAAACTCCATCTCAAAAAAACAAAAACAGGCTGGGTGCGGTGGCTCACGCTTGTAATCACAGCACTATGGGAGGCCGAGACAGGCGGATCACGAGGTCAGGAGATCGAGACAATCCTGACTAACACGGTGAAACCCCGTCTCTACTAAAAATACAAAAAAATTAGCCGGGCATAGTGGCGGGCGCCTGTAGTCCCAGCTACTCGGGAGGCTGAGGCAGAATGGCGTGAACCTGGGAGGCGGAGCTTGCAGTGAGCCAAGATCGCGCCACTGCACTCCAGCCTGGGCAACAGAGCCAGGCTCCATCTCAAAAAAACAAACAAAACAAAAACAACAAAAAAAAACAAAAAACTGTCTGGCTGGGTGCAGTGGCTCACGCCTGTAATCCTAGCACTTTGGGAGGCTGAGGTGAGTGGATCACCTGAGGTCAGGAGTTCAGACCAATCTGGCCAACATAGTGAAACCTTGTCTCTACCAAAAATACAAAAATTAGCCAGGCATGGTGGCACATGCCTGTAATCCCAGCTACTCCCGGGTTCAAGCAATTCTTGTGCCTCAGCCTCCCAAGTAGATGGGATTACAGGTGTGCACCACCACACACCTGGCTAATATTTTTGTATTTTTAGTAGAGATGGGGTTTCACCATGTTGGCTAGGCTGGTCTGGAACTCCTGACCTCAGGTAATCTGCTCGCCTCAGCCTCCCAAAATGCTGGGATTACAGGCATGAGCCACCACACCTGGCCACAAAATAAATAAGGAAATAAATAAATATATATATGTAAAATATATATATGTAATATATGTAAAATATATATGTTATATATGTAAATATATATATATATACACACATATAGTTTGTTTGTTTTTGAGATGGAGTTTTGCTCTTGTTGCCCAGGCTGGAGTGCAATGGCACGATCTTGGCTCACTGCAACCTCCGCCTCCCGGGTTCAAGCGATTCTCCTGCCTCAGCCTCCTGAGTAGCTGGGAATACAGGCATGCACCACCACGCCTGGATAATTTTTTATTTTTAGTAGAGATTGGGTTTCTCCATATTGGTCAGGCTGGTCTCGAACTCCTGACCTCAGGTGATCCACCCACCTCGGCCTCCCAAAGTGCTGAGATTATAGGTGTGAGCCACTGCACCCAGCCCGCTCTGTCTTAAATATGAGTGCCCAGTTAAGGAACACCAGATATTTGAGGAAGACTTCAGACATGAGCAAAAACCCAAAATTAAAAGTAAAAACGACACAGCATTGTGCTCTTCGCCTTCCCTCATCGTCTGGCGCAGGGCAGCCCACTTCTGGTGTTTGGCGCTGGAATTAAACAACCACCATGTGGAGCAAAAAGGCAAGACCAAGACCACCAAAAAGCTCCCTCAGCGCACAACATCCAACGTGTTTGCCATGTTTGACCAGTCACAGATTCAGGAGTTCAAAGAGGCCTTCAACATGATTGATCAGAACAGAGATGGTTTCATCAACAAAGAAGATTTGCATGATATGCTTGTTTCCCTAGGGAAGAATCCCACCGATGCATACCTTGATGCCATAATGAATGAGGCACCAGGGCCCATCGATTTCACCATGTTCCTCACCATATTTGGTGAGAAGTTAAATGGCACAGATCCTGAAGATGTCATTGGAAATGCTTTTGCTTGCTTTGATGAAGAAGCAACAGGCATTATTCAGGAAGATTACCTGAGAGAGCTGCTGATAACCATGTGGGATCGGTTTACGGATGAGGAAGTGGATGAGCTGTACAGAGAAGCGCCTATTAACAAAAAGGGGAATTTCAATTACATCGAGTTCACATGCATCCTGAAACATGGAGCAAAAGACAAAGACGACTGAAAAGAACTTTAGCTAAAACCTTCCAACTACATTGTCTTACTCTGTTTTATTTCTCAGACACTTCCCCCATCCTCATAGAACCTGTTGCATGCAACTTAGTTTCACAGCTTTGCCTCTTTTTTTTTTTTATGTATTTATTCCAGACCTTTCTGTCACACAGCACTTGTATAATCAGACTGAAAATGGGGATGAGGGTGTAAATTGTATTGAAAAAGAGATCATGGCCGGGCGCAGTGGCTCACGCCTGTAATCCCAGCAACTTGGGAGGCCGAGGCGGGTGGATAACCTGAGGTCAGGCGTTCAAGACCACGCTGACCAACATGGTGAAACCCCGTCTCTACTAAAAATACAAAAAGTTAGTTGGGCGTGGTGGCGGGCACCTGTAATCCCAGCTACTCAGGAGGCTGAGGCAGGAGAATCGCTTGAACCCAGGAGGCAGAAGTTGCAGTGAACCAAGATCACACCGTTGCACCCCAGCCTGGGCAACAAGAGCAAAATTCAGTCAAAAAAAAAAAAAAGAAAGAAAGAAAAGAAAAGAAGGCCAGGCACGGTGGCTCACGCCTGTAATCCCAGCACTTTGGGAGGCTGAGGCGGGTGGATCACGAGGTCAGGAGATCGAGACCATCCTGGCTAACACGGTGAAACCCCGTCTCTACTAAAAATACAAAAACATTAGTCAGGCATGGTGGTGGGCTCCTGTTGTCCCAGCTACTCGGGAGGCTGAGGCAGGAGAATGGCATGAAGCCAGGAGGCAGAGCTTGCAGTGAGCCGAGATTGAGCCACTGCACTCCGGCCTGGGCGACAGAGTGAGACTCCGTCTCAAAAAAAAAAAAAAAGAAAAGAAGAAAAAGAAAAAGTGATAGCAAATAAAAATCAACAAATGTGAAAAAAAAAAAGTAAAAACAAACATGGAGGAAAGAGACAGAAGAGGAAAACTTCATATAAACTATAATAAATTTCCACACTGATGAGAGAAAATGAGTATCAGAAGAAGAAGAAGAGTTGTAAGATCAACAGGATATGAGAAATGAAAACTTGAGCCAGGTGCAGTGGCTCACACCTGTAATCCCAGCACTTTGGGAGGCTGAGGCAGCCAGATCACTTGAGGTCAGGAGTTCAAGACCAGCCTGGCCAACATGGTGAAACCCTGTCTCTACTAAAAACACGAAAATTAGTCGGGTGTGGTCATGGGTGCCTGTAATCCCAGCTATGCAGGAGGCTGAGGCAGGAGAATCGCTTGAGCCTGGGAGGCGGTGGTTGCAGTGAGCCGAGATCGCACCACTGCACTCTAGCCTGGGTGACAGAGTGAGACTCCATCTCAAAAAAAAAAAAGAAGAAAAAAGAAAAAAAAACTTGAACCCAATTATAAGATCTAGATTTTGGCCAGGTGCGGTAGCTCATGCCTGTAATCTCAACACTTAAGAGGCTGAGGTAGGAGGATTGCTTGAGCCCAGACATTTGAGACCAACCTGGGTAACATAGGGAGACTTGTCTCTACAAATAATTTAAAAATTAACAGGCAGGGCGCAGTGGCTCATGCCTGTAATCCCAGCACTTTGGGAGGCCAGGGCAGGCAGATCATGTGAGGTCAGGAGTTCGAGACCAGCATGACCAAAATGGTGAAACCCCATCTCTACTAAAAATACAAAAAAAAATTAGCGGGGCATGGTGGCTCGCACCTGTAATCCCAGCTACTTGGGAGGCTGAGACAGGGGAATTATTTGAACCCAGCAGGTGGAAGTTGCAGTGAGCCAAGATCGCACCATTGCATTCCAGCCTGTGTGACAGAAAGACTCTGTCTCAAGAGGAAAAAAAAAAACATTAGCCAGGGCCGGTCGCGGTGGTTCATGCCTGTATTCCCAGCACTTTGGGATCCCAAGGTGGGCAGATCACTTGAGGTTAGGAATTCGAGACCAGCCTGACCAACATGATGAAACCCCGTCCCTACTAAAAATACAAAAAAATTAGCTGGGTGTGGTGGTGCATGCCTGTAATCCCAGTTACTCGTGAGGCTAAGGCAGGAGAATTGCTTGAACTTCGGAGATTTTGCAGTGAGCCAAGATTGGGCCACTTGCACTCCAGCCTGGGTGACAAAGCAAGACTTCCTCTCAAAAAAAAGAAATCCATGGCCGGGCGCAGTGGCTCACGCCTGTAATCCCAGCACTTTGGGAGGCCGAGATGGGTGGATCACGAGGTCAGGAGATCTAGACCATCCCGGCTAACATGGTGAAACCCCATTTCCACTAAAAATACAAAAAATTAGCCAGGCATGGTGGCGGGCACCTCTAGTCCCAGCTACTTGGGAGGCTGAGGCAAGAGAATGGTGTGAATCCGGGAGGCGGAGCTTGCAGTGAGCCGAGATTGTGCCACTGCACTCCAGCCTGGACAACAGGGAGAGACTCTGTCAAAAAAAAAAAAAAAAAAAGAAATCTCAAAAAAGAAAGAAAAATGGCCAGGCACAGTGGCTCATGCCTGTAATCCCAGCAGTTTGGGAGGCTGAGGTGGGCACATCAACTTAGGTCAGGAGTTCGAGACTAGCATGATCAACATGGTGAACTCTGTCTCTACTAAAAATACAAAATTAGCCTGATGTAGTGGCACATGCCTCTAGTCCCAGCTACTCAGGAGGCTGAGACAGGAGAATCACTTGACAGGAGGCAGAGGTTCTGGTGAGCTGAGATCACACCATTGCACTCCAACCTGGGCAACAAGAGTGAAACCCCAGTTTAAAAAAAAAAGGAAAAAAAAAGAAAAAAAAAAAACCACGGTAGCGTGCACCTGTGTTTCCAGCTATTCAGGAGGCTGAGGCAGGAGGATCATCTGACCTGGAGGTCAAGGCTGCAGTGAGCCATGATCACACCACTGCACTCCAGCTTGGGCAACATAGTGAGACTCTGTCACGAAGCCTGCAGTGCAGTGACGAGATCTTGGCTCACTGCAATCTCTGCATCTCAGGTTCAAATGATTCTCTGCCTCAGCCTCCCAAGTAGCTGGGATTTACTGGCATTTGCCACCATGCCTGGCTAGTTTTTGAATTTTTTTAGTAGAGACAGTGTTTTGCCATGTTGGCCAGGCTGGTCTGTACCTAATTTTGTATTTATACTTTTGGTTTTTTTTTTTTTTTTGAGACGGAGTCTCGTTCTGTTGCCCTGGCTGGAGTGCAGTGGCGTGATCTCAGCTCACTGCAACCTCCGCCTCCTGGGTTCAAGCGATTCTCCTGCCTCAGCCTCCTGAGTAACTGGGATTATAGGCACTCACCACCGTGCCTGGCTAATTTTTATATTTTTTTTTAGTAAAGATGGGGTTTGGCCATGTTGGCCAAGCTGGTCTCAAACTCCTGACTTCAGGTGATCTGCCCACCTCGGCCTCCCAAAGTGCTGGGATACTTTTGGTATTCTTTCTCTTAAAACAGGTATCCAAAATTGTACACGTGTCAGCCTCCCACCAACCTACATCTGCTGCACTTGCAGAGATAGAGTCTATATATATAAGCATGTATTAATATATATAAGTGTATATGTATAAATGTATACATACATATAAATACATGATCACTACTCTTTTCCTTGCTTTTCCTCACTTAATACCTTGAAATCAAACAGAGAGGTGCTTCCTTCTTTTTTTTTTTCGGAGTCGGAGTCTTGTTCTGTTGCCCAGGCTGGAGTGCAGTGGCCCAATCTCGGCTCACTGCAACCTTCACCTCACAGGTTTAAGTTTTTCTTCTGCCTCAGCCTCCCAAGTAACTTGGACTACAGGCGCACACCACCATGCCTGGCTAATTTTTGTATTTTTAGTAGAGATGGGGTTTCACCATATTGGCCAGGCTGGTCTCGAACTCCTGACCTCATGATCCTTCTGACTTGGCCTCCCAAAGTGCTGAGATTACAGGCTTGAGCCACCACGCCCAGCCTCTTTTTTTTTTTTTTTTTTTAAATTTAATTTAATGGAGATGAGTTCTCTCAATATGTTACCCAGAGTAGTCTCAAATTCTTGGGCTCAAGTGATCCACCTACCTTGGCCTCCCAAAGTGCTGGGATTATAGGAGTGAGCCACCGCACCCGACCCCTTGTTTGTTATAGTGCTCCCTTGACTCTCAAAAATGTCCAGTGTAGGCCAGGCGTGGTGGTTCACACCTATAATCCCAGCACTTTGGGAGGCCAAGGCAGGTGGATCACTTGAGGTCAGGAGTTTAAGACTTGCCGGGCTAACATGGTAAAACCCTGTCTACAAAAAATACAAAAATTAGCTGTGCGTGGTGGTGCGCACCTGTAATCCCAGCTACTCAGGAGGCTGACTGAGGCAGGAAGACTGCTTGAACCTGGGAGGCAGAGGCGGAGGTTGTAGTGAGCTGAGATTGTGCCACCGCACTCTAGAGCAAGACTCCATCTCAAAAAAAAAATGTCTAGTGTAAATGTATGTTCTTTGAAGTAGAATTGCTAGGTCAAAGAATACGTAAATACTTGATTTGGGTAGATATTTTTAAAATGCTTTCTGTAGAAGCCGCACCAGTGTACCTTCCTTCCTGTCGGCAATGTGTGACAGTACCAGTTTCCTTTCCCCACCCCATCAGCTGAGTGTGTTATCAAACTTTTTTTTTTTTTTTTTTTTTGAGACAGAGTCTCTCTCCATCGCTCAGCCTGGAGTGCAGTGGCATGATCTCGGCTCAATGCAACCTCCACCTCCTAGGTTCAAGCCATTCTCATGCCTCAGCCAATAGCTGTGATTACAGGTGCATGCCACCACCGGCTGATTTCTGTATTTTTAGTAGAGACAGGGTTTTGCCATGTTTTTTTGTTTGTTTTGAGACAGGATCTTTCTCTGTTGCCCAGGCTAGAGTGCAGTGGCATGAACATGGATGGTTCACTGCAGCCTCGACCTCCTGGGTTCAAGTGATCCTTTTGTCTCAGCCTCCCAAGTAGCTGGGATTCCAGGTGGGAGCCACCATGCCCTCCTAAACTCTACCTTTTGGTGAGAGTGACTAGCCACCAAGGCACACTGTAAAGGCCTCAGATAACAGGAAGTGGTAGAGAACTGCAGCCAATCTAACACCTAGACAAATTCAAGGTGGGACCTATCAGGTACTATGCTTGTTACTTGGGTGATTAAATTACCTGTACACCAAAGCCCCATGACACACACTTTACCTATATAAGGAACCTACACATGTACCCCTGAACCTAAAGTAAAAGTTAAAAAATAAAATAATATAATTCAAAGTTTGGGCTACAGAGTATAAGTGAGAGATATTCAGCTACTGGGAGTTTATAAAAGACACACAAACATCGCACAAGAGCAAAAGTCAATTTGAACATCCACCACAGCCAGAGGAAACCAAAACCACTTCCAGTGTATGGCCGTCAGGTAAAGCATTTTGTCCCCCTCACCTCCTCTGCTTCTGGCTGTGAGGGAGAGGGTGGAGAGTCAGACACAGGAAGGCAAGAAAGAAATTCTTGAGGAAGCCAGCCACTCTGCCAGTTTCACACTGGCAGCTTCCCATGTCAAACCACTCAGTCGGAGCTGGCCGAGAGAAAAAACGTAATTCAGAATGATGCTTGGAGGATTTTTTTTTTTGTTCCAAGGATTGAGCAGGTATGCTCTGTGGCCTGCCTGAGTTATCTTTCATGGGCAATGGAAGAACTAGCCCCACACAACATATTTAAAGGGGTGGGGACACTTGAGTGTGGGGGGTGCACAGCAACATATTCAAGCTTATGTACATGGCATCTGAGGTCGGGGCATGGAAGAATACTGAGGCACTGTGTGTATGTTATTTGTGCGTGAGAATGAAATTCCTTGACCCTGAAAACAGGACAGGGAGTGGAGTGTGTGGTGTGATAAGGAACGCTGAAAACAGCCTCCTGAGAATGCGGTTTGAGTGCTTTTACGAGGCCGCAGGTGTCTCACGACCCGACCTCAAAAAGCCATCTAGTGGATGTTTGTGGTTTAACAAGCACTTTCAATAAATACTTGGCAGACGGATGCTGGGGCGGGTTCTCTTAGAAGAAATGCCCCCCCCATTCCCCCGGCCCCACTCAGCTGGAATTGTCTAAGAACTCATTCTTGGCGTTCACTGCAAGCTATAAACTCTGCAAGTGGTGCACCCGACGTGATCGCCTTGAAGTTATGCGTGAAAGGAGGAGAGCTCATCAATTTTAAGAAAATCCCGGTAAGGGACAGTCCTGACTACCATCAGGTGGACAGGACCCACGCGAAAAATACCAGGGGTTCGGTTATCATGGGTCAGGAAATGAACAAAGAATAATTTTTTTTTTTTTTTGAGATGGAGTCTCACTCTGTCGCCCAGGCTGGAGTGCAGTAGCGTGATCCCGGCTCACTGCAACCTCCACCTCCCTGGTTCAAGCTATTCTCCTGCCTCAGCCTCCTGAATAGCTGGGATTACAGGTGCACGTCACCCCACAACAGGACTTAATTAACCTTGCCTTCAAGGTGTACAATAATAGAGAAAAGTTACAATTACTTGCCTCTGCTGTGAGACAAAACCCAGCTGCACCTCCAGCACACGAGAACTTCAAAATGCCTAAGCCGCACATGCCTAAACCGCAGTGGTCAAGCATTCCTACAGGACCTTCTTCATCAGGATCTTGCTTCAAGTGCCAGAAATCTGGCCACTGGGCCAAGAAATGCCCACAGCCCGGGATTCCTCCTAAGCCGTGTCCCATCTGTGCAGGACCCCACTGAAAATCAGACTGTCCCACTCGCCTCGCAGTCACTCCCAGAGCTCTGGGATCTCTGGCCCAAGACTCTCTGACTGACTCCTTCCCAGATCTTCTCAGCTTAGCGGCTGAAGACTGATGCTGTCTGATCACCTTCGAAGCCTCCCGGGCCATCACGGACACTTTGGGTAACTCTTACAGTGGAGGGTAAGTCACCCTTCTTAATCAATATGGAGGCTACCAACTCCACATTACCTTCTTTTCAAAGGCCTATTTCCTTTGCCTCCATAACTGTTGTGGGTATTCATGGCCAGGCTTCTAAACCTCTTAAAACTCCCCAACTCTGGTGCCAACTTGGACAATATTCTTTTATGCACTCCTTTTTAGTTATCCCCACCTGCCCAGCTCCCTTATTAGGTCGAGACATTTTAACTAAATTATCTGCTTCCCTGACTAATCCTAGGCTACAGCCACATTTCGTTGCTGCCCTTTTCCCCAGTTCAAAGCCTCCTTCACGTCCTTCTCTTTTATCTCCTCACCTTAATCCACAGGTATGGGACACCTCTACTCCCTCCCTGGTGAACTATCCACGCCCATTACTATCCCATTAAAACCTAATCACCCTTACCCCGCTCAATGCCAGTATCCCATCCCACAGCATGCTTTAAAAGGATTAAATCCTGTTATCACTCACCTGTTACAGCATGGCCTTTTAAAGCCTATAAACTCTCCTTACAATTCCCCCATTTTACCTGTCCAAAAACCAGATAAGCCTTACAGGTTAGTTCAGGATCTGCGCCATATCGACCAAATTGTTTTGCCTATCCACCCTGTGGTGCCAAACCCATATACTCTCCTATCCTCAATACCTCCCTCCACAACCCATTATTCTGTTCTAGATAAACCTAGCTGACCCCATAGATCCTAAATCCTTTCTCCTCTCCCCTTTCCATTCCTTAAAACACAGCTCCCACACTAGCTCTCCATGACTCATCCCGACCCTTTTCATTACACACAGCCGAAGTGCAGGGCTGTACAGTCAGAATTCTTACACAAGGACCAGGACCGCACCCTGTAGCCTTTTTGTCCAAACAACTTGACTTACTGTTTTAGGCTGGCCATCATGTCTCCGTGCAGTGGCTGCCACTGCCCTAATACTTTTACAGGCCCTCAAAATCACAAACTATGCTCAACTCACTCTCTACAGTTCTCATAAATCTATTTTCTTCCTCACATCTAACACGTATACTTTCTGCTCCCCGGCTCCTTCAGCTGTACTCATTCTTTGTTGAGTCTCCCACAGTTACCATTGTTCCTGGCCAGGACTTCAATCCAGCCTCCCACATTATTCCTGATACCACACCTGACCCCCATGACTGTATCTCTCTGATCCACCTGACATTCACCCCATTTCCCCGTATTTCCTTCTTTCCTGTTCCTCACCCTGATCACACTTGGTTTATTGATGGTAGTTCTACCAGGCCTAATTGCCACACACCAGCAAAGGCAGGCTATGCTATAGTATCTTCCACATCTATCATTGAGGCTACTGCTCTGCCCCTCTCCACTACCTCTCAGCAAGCTGAACTCATTGCCTTAACTCGAGCCCTCACTTTTGCAAAGGGACTACATGTCAATATTTATACAACTCTAAATATGCCTTCCATATCCTGCACCACCATATTGTTATATGGGCAAAAAGAGGTTTCCTCACTACGCAAGGGTCCTCTGTCATTAATGCCTCTTTAATAAAAACTCTTCTCAAGGCCGCTTTACTTCCAAAGGAAGCTGGAGTCATTTACTCCAAGGGCCATCAAAAGGCGTCAGATCCCATCGCTCAGGGCAATGCTTTTGCTGATAAGGTAGCTAAAGAAGCAGCTAGCATTCCAAATTCTGTCCCTCACGGCCAATTTTTCTCATTCTCATGGGTCACTCCCACCTACTCTCCTGCTGAAACTTCTACCTATCAGTCTCTTCCCACACAAGGCAAATGGTTCTTGGACCAAGGAAAATATCTCCTAACAGCCTCACAGGCCCATTCTATTCTGCTGTCATTTCATAACCTCTTCCATGTAAGTTACAAGCTGCTAGCCCACCTCTTAGAACCTCTCATTTCCTTTCCATCGTGGAAATCTATCCTCAAGGAAATCACTTCTTAGTGTTCCATCTGCTATTCTACTACTCCTCAGGGAGTGTTCAGGCTCCCTCCCCTCCCTACACATCAAGCTCAGGGATTTGCCCCTGCCCAGGACTGGCAAATTGACTTTACTCACATGCCCCAAGTCAGGAAACTAAAATACCTCTTGGTCTGGGTAGACACTTTCACTGGATGGGTAGAGGCCTTTCCAACAGGGTCTGAGAAGGCCACTGCGGTCATTTCTTCCCTTCTGTCAGACATAATTCCTCGCTTTGGCCTTCCCACCTCTATACAGTCCAATAACAGACTGGCCTTTATTAGTCAAATCACCCAAGCAGTTTCTCAGGCTCTTGGTATTCAGTGGAACCTTCATACCCCTTACCATCCTCAATCTTCAGAAAAAGTAAAACAGACTAATAGTCTTTTAAAGACACACCTCACCAAGCTCAGCCTCCAACTTAAAAAGACTGGACAGTACTTTTACCACTTGCCCTTCTCAGAATTCGGGCCTGTCCTCGGAATGCTGCAGGATACAGCCCATTTGAGCTCCTGTATGGATGCTCCTTTTTATTAGGCCCCAGTCTTATTCCAGACACCAGCCCAACTCGGACTGCACCCCAAAAACTTGTCATCCCTTCTATCTTCTGTCTAGTCATACTCCTATTCACCATTCTCAACTACTCATAAATGCCCTGCTCTTGTTTACACTGCCGGTTTACACTGTTTCTCCAAGCCGTCACAGCTGGTATCTCCTGGTGCTATCCCCAGACCGCCACTCTTAACTCCCTCTTAAAGTAAATAAATAATATTTGCTGGCAGGGCACACTCCAATACTTTCACCCTGATGAAGTCCTATTCTTTACTTTTATACTCACTCCTATTCTTGTTCCCATTTTTATGCCACCCTCTACCTCTCCCCAGCTAGCTCCACCACACTATCAATCTCATTCACTCTCTCCTAGCCGTTTCTAATCCCTCATCAAACCATTGCTGAATTTGCATTTCCCTTTCTTCCTGCGCCTACACAGCTGTCCCCGCCTTACATACAGACTGGGCAACCTCTCCTATCTCCCTACACCTCCAAACTTCCTTTAACAGCCCTCACCTTTACCTTCCTAAAGAACTTCTTTACTTTCTAGACAGGTCCAGCAAGACTTCCCCAGACATTTCACTTCAGCAAGCTGCCGCCCTCCTCCACACTTACTTAAAAAACCTTTCTCCTTATATCAACTCTACTCCCCCCATATTTGGACCCCTCACAACACAAACTACTATTCCTGTGGCCGTTCCTTTATGTATCTCTCGGCAAAGACCCACTGGAATTCCCCTAGGTAATCTTTCACCTTCTCGATGTTCCTTTACTCTTCATCTCCGAAGCCCAACTACACACATCACTGAAACAATTGGAGCCTCCCAGCTCTGTATTACAGATAAGCCCTCTATCAATACTGGCAAACTTAAACACATTAGCAGTTATTATTGCTTAGGAAGACACTTACCCTGTATTTCACTCCATCCTTGGCTACCTTCCCCTTGCTTGTCAGACTCTCCTCCCAGGCCCTCTTCTTGTTTGCTTATACTCAGCCCCGTAAATAACAGTGAAAGGTTGCTCGTAGACACTCAAAGTTTTCTCATACACCATGAAAATCAAACCTCCCCCTCTACGTAGTTACCCCATCAGTCCCCATTACAACCTCTGACGGCTGCCGCCCTAGCTGGATCCCTAGGAGTCTGGGTACAAGACACCTCTTTCAGCACTCCTTCTCATCTTTTTACTTTGCATTTCCGGTTTTGCTCCGCACAAGGTCTCTTCTTCCTCTGTGGATCCTCTACCTACATGTGTCTACCTGCTAATTGGACAGGCACATGCACACTAGTTTTCCTTACTCCCAAAATCAATTTGCAAATGGGACTGAACATCTTCCTGTTCCCCTCATGACACCGACACAACAAAAAAGAGTTATTCCGCTAATTCCCTTGCTTGTCGGTTTAGGACTTTCTGCCTCCACTATTGCTCTCGGTACTGGAATAGTAGGCATTTCAACCTCTGTCACGACCTTCCATAGCCTCTCTAATGACTTCTCTGCTAGCATCACACACATATCACAAACTTTATCAGTCCTTCAGGCCCAAGTTGACTCTTTAGCTGCAGTTGTCCTCCAAAACCACCGAGGCCTTGACTTACTCACTGCTGAAAAAGGAGGACTCTGTATATTTTTTAATGAAGAGTGTTGTTTTTACCTAAATCAATCTGGCCTGGTGTATGACAACATAAAAGAACTCAAGGATAGAGGCCAAAAACTCGCCAACCAAGCAAGTAATTACTCTGAACCCCCTTGGGCACTCTCTAATTGGATGTCCTGGGTGCTCCCAATTCTTAGTCCTTTAATACCTGTTTTTCTCCTTCCCTTATTCGGACCTTGTATCTTCCGTTTAGTCTCTCAATTCATCCAAAACTGTATCCAGGCCATCGCCAATCATTGTATACGACAAATGCTCCTTCTGGGATTACAGGCGTGAGACACCGTGCCCAGCCATTTTTTTTTTCCTAAAGATGATAACCATTCTTTTCCAGCTGTCTTTTCTTTTTTTTTTTTTTTTTTTTGAGACAGAGTCTCACTCTGTCACCCAGGCTGGAGTGCAGTGGCGCGATCTCAGCTCATTGCAACCTCCACCTCCTGGGGTTCAAGCAATTCTCCCACCTCAGCCTCCTGAGTAGCTAGGATTACAGGCACCCGCCATCATGTCCGGCTAATTTTTGTTTTTTTTTTTTTTTGGAGAGATGGGGTTTCACCATGTCAGCTAGGCTGGTCTTGAACTCCTGACCTTAGGTGATCCGCCCGCCTCAGCCTCCCAAAGTGCTGGGATTATAGGCGTCAGCCACCACACCGGGCAACAAATGCTCCTTCTAACAACCCCACAATATCACCCCTTACCACAAAATCTTCCTTCAGCTTAATATCTCCCACTCTAGGCTCCCACACCGCCCCTAATCCCGCTCGAAGAAGCCCTGAGAAACATCACCCATTATCTCTCCATACCACCTCCAAAAATTTTCGCAGCCCCAACACTTCACCACTATTTTGTTTATTAATATAAGGAGATAGGAATGTCAGGCCTCTGAGCCCAAGTTAAGCCATCATATCCCCTGTGACCTGCAGGTATACATCCAGATGGCCTGAAGCAATTAAAGATCCACAAAAGAAGTGAAAATAGCCTCAACTGATGACATTCCACCATTGTGATTTGTTCCTGTCCCACCCTAACTGATAAATATATTCTCCCCCACCCTTACGAAGGTACTTTGTAATATTCTCCCCTGCCCTTAAGAATGTAGTTTGTATGCCTATCCCAAACCTATAAGAACTAATGATAATCCCACCACCCTTTGCTGACTCTCTTTTCGGACTCAGCCCGCCTGCACCCAGGTGAAATAAACAGCTTTATTGCTCACACAAAGCCTGTTTGGTGGTCTCTTCACACAGACGCCGGTGACACTATTTTCCTAAGCCGTCTGGCTAGTAGCCCCTAATTGTTCAGCTATTCCTCTAACAGCATCTCTAGTGTAGTTAATAAATCGCTATTGGTTGTAATAGACGTAGTTTACCCAATCTACACTTTTATTAATTGTTACCCACCAAAATGTTGACTTAAATCCTGCAGCAATTTGATTTTGGGCTTTAAATTGATCTGGTATTCCCCATGGGACTCTTAATTGTGTCTAAATAGACGTGAGAGTCGAAAGACCCATAAAGGGCTTCTCTTGCTTTATGATACTTATTTTTCCTTCCTCTCGTTGATGAAATAACAGGGTGAAAGGGATAGCCAATTGGAATAAAGCACAAGTGCCATTCCAGTTATTTGGCAGTGTCCAGTAAAGATCCACCACAATACCACCACACATCCACTCGGGGATGAACAAGGGCTGACTGATTGATAAGCTCTTGAAAATTCTTAAGCTCACTGCATCCTTCAGGTCTCCAAGGAATGCTAAGTTTCCTCCCTATTGGGAGAGACACGAAGTGAACTTAGTGTTGGGAGACAGAAGCTGGATGGCCCTCGGGGGCTGACGCGCAGGGTGCCGGACTTCAGGATATAGCAGAGAGAGAGCTTGGCGTGAGTTATTACTCCAGGCTGTAGAATCCTGGAAAAGAGCTACCATGCAGCCCACACCTGGTCGACTGGAGGACCACCTTAGTGGAAAGGGGACAATCTGGGCCTCTGGCCTGCCATGTGCACAAGCATAACAATTGCTTTTGTTTAATGTGGACGGAATATTTGATCCATTCCAACCAGGCATTTGCATCTTGGTATCCTGTGTTAATTGCCAAAATGTTTTTTAAGTCTTTAACTTCTATGATCCTCTAGTAAAATGAATATATGGTTTTAGGAAATTACAAAAACTGATTGGGGCAGTCCATACTTGCTCTTTAGTGATCCACAGAACGTTGGACCGACTACGGCATAAAAGCTCTACATTGGGGGTCAAGAATCCTGGTTGACATTGGGATCTTTATCGAAATCCCCCCGGATTCAGTGGTCCTAATTTACTAATGCCCAGTGTGAGGAGAGTCAGGAGGGACAGAGGTACTTTTCAGAAGTAGAGAGCTGTCTTTGACTTGGCAAGTTCCTACGGGATATAACAAGGCAAGCACTAAATGCAATAGTTTGAGGCGAAATTGACTTGGTTATGTTAATAACTAGATGGTCAGCAATAGAGCGAGGAAAGGAGAAAGAGTAATAGAATAGATGAAAGAGTTAAATTTTTCTTAGCTTTAATTTGGTAGGGTTTCCCCCTGGGACTATGGCCCACAACTCTGGAGGGGGTGGTGCTTTCTTGACTCGGGTGTGATGAATCCATCCCTTTTTCGCTGTACAAACTGCAGTCTCGGTGGTTGGCAGCACAAGGTAGGGTCCTTCCCAGGCTGGCTCGAGTTTTCCTTCTTTCCACCCTCTGATGACAACATGATCTTCAGGCTGGTGCTGGTTTACCAGAAATTTTAGGGGTGGTACCTGTGCTAAAATATTTTTAGTTTTGAGGGAGAGGAAAGTGGAAGATAAACCAAGCATATAATTTCTAAGAAATCGACCTTTTGTTTTAAATGTGGGGACATCAGCAGTGGACTTTATAGTCCTTGGTGCCTTCTTACTGAGAAATTTCCTTTAGCACTTATTTTTATTAGTTTTTTTAGACCAAAGAACGCCAAACACCATTTTATATTTGACAGTGCTTCCTGTATGATTTTTATACCAGATAAGCTAAATTTCACCTTTATATTAGTGTGTTATTAATTTTTTTTTTTGAAACGGAGTCTCACTCTGTTGCCCAGGCTGGAGTGCAGTGGCGCGATCTTGGCTCACTGCAACCTCTGCCTCCCGGGTTCAAGCAGTTCTCCTGCCTCAGCCTCCCAAGTAGCTGGGACTACAGGCACACGCTGCCACGCCCGGCTAATTTTTTTGTATTTTAGTAGAGACGGGGTTTCACCTTGTTGCCCAGGCTGGTCGCGAACTCCTGAGCTCAGGCAATCTGCCCGCCTTGGCCTCCCAAAGTGCTGGGATTACAAGCGTGAGCCACCGCGCCCGGCCTATTAATGTTAAACTTAGTTTTAATAACACTTTGTAGACATATTTATCCAATTTTTAATGTCTGATCATAAGGTAAGTTTTTGTTTTTTGTTTTTTTTTTTTTTTTTGAGATGGAGTCTTGCTCTGTCGCCCAGGCTGAAATGCAGTGGCACGATCTCGGCTCACTGCAAGCTCCACCTCTCGGGTTCACGCCATTCTCCTGCCTCAGCCTCCCAAGTAGCTGGGACTACAGGCGCCCACCACCACGCCTGGCTAATTTTTTGTATTTTTAGTAGAGACAGGGTTTTACTTGTTAGCCAGGGTGGTCTCTATCTCCTGACCTCATGATCCACCCACCTCGGCCTCCCATAGTGCTGGGATTATAGGCGTGAGCCACCGTGCCCGGCCCATAAGGTAAGATTTTTATAGACTGTTTTTTTTTTTCTTTTTGAGAAGGAGTTTCACTCTTGTTGCCCAGGCTGGAGTGCAATGGTGCAATCTTGGCTCACTGCAATCTCTGCCTCCCGGGTTCAAGGAATTCTCCTGTCTCAGCCTCCCAAGTAGCTGGGATTACAGGCATGCACCACCACACCCAGCTAATTTTGGATTTTTAGCAGAGATGGGGGTTTCTCCATGTTGGTCAGGCTGGTCTCGAACTCCCGACCTCAGGTGATCTGCCTGCCTCGGCCTCCCAAAGTGCTGGGATTACAGGCATGAGCCACTGAGCCTGGCCTGTTTTTAACTTTTTATAATTTTTGTTAAACAGCGGGTTAGTGCTTTAAGAAAAACCCGTTGTGTTTTTATTTTAATGCTCAGTTCACAGAAAAACTGGGTGATACCCTTTTAACCTTAGCCAATATGTTTACACACATAATTTCCATTACAATTAACATTTTAAAACTTGCTTAAACCTTCAAAACAAATTTTTTTTTTCTTTTTTGAGATGGAGTCCCACTCTGTCACCCAGGCTGGAGTGCAATGGTGCGATCTTGGCTCACTGCAACCTCCGCCTCCCACGTTCAAGTGATTCTCCTGCCTCAGCCTCCTGAGTGAGTAGCTGGGATTACAGGTGCCCACCACAACGCCCAGCTAATTTTCGTATTTTTAGTTGAGACGGGGTTTCACCAGGTTGGCCAGGCTGGTCTCAAACTCCTGATCTCAGGTGATCCACCCACCTCGGCCTCCCAAAGTGCTAGGTAGGATTACAGGTGTGAGCCACCATGCCTGGCCACAAAATTTTTTTTTAACCTTTTAATGTAGGTAAAAATCCACATTCTTATGCCTCCTTATAATCCTTTTACTAAAAGTATATTTTACTTTCCTTATACATCTTGCACATAAATTGTTTCTTCAATAGTTTTACATTCAGGGTAACACCCCTGGTGGCCTTTGGAATGTGTCCAGACTTGCTGGCTTCTTGCTTCTAGCACTCCCATTATCTCAAGTAGCCATACATTTCAAAGAAAATGCTAAACCATCACATCTGTAGTTCATTAGCTTGATACATCGCTTCCTTTCAACCCCCACATCCTCACCCCCTGTTTGTTTGATCACCAATAAATAGTGTGGGCTTCCAGAGCTCCGGGCCTTTGCAACCTCCATACTAGTATTGGCCCCCTGGTCCCACTTTCTCTCTGAACTTGTGTTTTCTCATTCCTTTGACTCTGCTGGACTTCGTAGCCCCCACGGCCTGGTGTTGGGTCTGATCACCCCAAAAGGTTGATGGCCTTTTTTTTTTTTCCTGCATTGCTGAGAGCTTGGGTTATTCCTTGCACTGGGTAGGTCTTGATTTTTCACGCCTGAGGCCGCCACAATAGGGCGGGGTTCACCTCCTCAAGAGAGAGAACCAGAGACCACCCCCAGAGGGGAATGTAATCCCAGACAAGCCCCCAAATTGTTATATATAAAGTTTCGGTGCCGCAAAAGGAATATCACTCAAATATAAAATTTTCCTTTTAATTCTCAGCAAGGCTAGGTACTTCTATATAGAAGGGTGCACCCTTACAGATGGAACAATGGTGAGCGCACACTTGGACAAGGGAGGGGAAGGGGTTCTTATCCCTAATGCACGTGGCCCCTGCTGCTGTTTCGTTCCCCTATTGGCTAGGGTTAGACAGCACAGGCTAAACTAATTCTGACTGGCTAATTTAAAGAGAATGACGGGATGAGTGCTTTGGCGGGAGTCAGGGCAGAGCAGGTGGCAGGTGATCAAAATGAGTTAGGGTGGAGCAGGAGATCAGAATGAGTCAGGGTGGAGTAGGTAATCAAAAAAGATTGCTTTACGAGGAAGTTAAGTTTAAAAGTAGAAGGTAAAGAATTGAACATAATGACAATTATTTGAAAAGAAATTTAGAACTCATATCTAATACCCTGGAATATAAGAGGAAGTTGCATGCTGCCTCCTCGGTTTTATCCCAGGTAGCTCTAGCTTTCTTGCTGCCCACAGAGGCCTGGAGCAGGAGAGATGCTAAGATGCCATGGAGTGCCCATTTGGCCACTGGCAGTCTGGGCAGGTTGCCCCTTTCTGGGTTTGTGGTGACGGAGGGGAGGCCAAAAGGCGCAGACTGAGTCCCCAGGTGGCTGCAGGCAGCTCCAGCCCAGTCCTGAGGATCCTCCTCACCATGGTCACCTGCCTTAGTAACTGTGCCCAGGAAGTGGCCTGCTGCTTGCTGTGCTGCTGCTTTTCCTACTTCTGCCCTTCCCTGCCACCCCTCACATGTCTCAGTTGACAAGCAATTCCTTGTCTCCCCTGGCCCCCTAGGGAAAGGGCTAAGAAACAGTCCATGTACACCCCGACCTTACTAGCCTAAGGTGGGCAAAGGAGTGTGGAGCAGCCTAGAGTACAGAGCCCTGGGGGAGGAGCCCGCTAATAAGGGACGCTCTCCTATAGCCATATTTAAATGCTAGCTAGGCTGAGGTGGACAAGCTCTGCCAGCTGCTGTCATCTTCAGAAGATAGACGCAGCAGTAAGGAATATTTGTTTTGCTTTTTTATAAAATGTTTAAAAGCACTGTGGCTAAGAAACTTCAGGCCGGGCGCGGTGGCTCATGCCTGTAATCCCAGCACTTTGGGAAGCCGAGGTGGGCGGATCACGAGGTCAGGAGATCGAGACCATCCTGGCTAACACGGTGAAACCCCGTCTCTAAATTAGCCCGCTGTGGTGGCGGGCGCCTGTAGTCCCAGCTACTCGGGAGGCTGAGGCAGGAGAATGCTGGGAGTGGTGGCATGCGCCTGTAGTTCCAGCTACTCTGGAGGTCAAGATGGGAGTCCAGGGCGGTTGAGGCTGCAGTGAGCCAAGATCGTGCCACTACAACCCAGCCTGGGCAACGGAGCGAGACCTTGTCTCAAAAAATTAAAATAAAATAAAAACTCCCACAAGGAAGAAAGTAGTCATCTTTATAGAGTCCTCTCCATGTAGTGTTAGCACAATCGCTCAAGAGGCACCCAATGTAGAGAAACGACGGTGAGGTTAGCAGTACCAAGGAGCAGGGTTTGAATCCCGGCTCTTGCTCTTTTTTTTTTTTTTTTTTTTTTTTTTTTAGTATTTATTGATCATTCTTGGGTGTTTCTCAGAGAGGGGGATGTGGCAGGGTCATAGGATAGTAGTGGAGAGAAGGTCAGCAGATAAACACGTGAACAAAGGTCTCTGGTTTTCCTAGGCAGAAGTCCCTGCGGCCCTCGGCAGTGTTTGTGTCCCTGGGTATTTGAGATTAGGGAGTGGTGATGACTCTTAAGCATGCTGCCTTCAAGCATCTGTTTAACAAAGCACATCTTGCACCGCCCTTAATCCATTTAACCCTGAGTTGACACAGCACATGTTTCAGAGAGCACAGGGTTGAGGGTAAGGTTATAGATTAACAGCATCCCAAGGCAGAAGAATTTTTCTTAGTATAGAACAAAATGGTGTCTCCTATGTCTACTTCTTTCTATGCAGACACAGTAACAATCTGATCTCTCTTTCTTTTCCCCACATTTCCCCCTTTTCTTTTCGACAAAACCGCCATCGTCATCATGGCCCGTTCTCGATGGTCGCTGTCTCTTCAGAGCTGTTGCGTACACTTCCCAGACAGGGCAGCCTGGCAGAGGCGCTCCTCACCTCCCAGACGGGGTGGCCGGGCAGAGGCGCCCACTTCCCAGACGGGGCGGCCGAATCCCGGCTCTTTCATGTTTTAGCTGTTGGGCTTTGGGGAAGTTATTCTACCTCTTTCAGCCTGTGCACCCTGTCTCATCATTAAAAAATGAGAATGAGGCCAAGTGCAGTGGCTCATGCCTGTAATCCCAACGCTTGGGGAAGCGGAGGCAAGAGAATTGCTTGAGGCCAGGAGTTTGAGACCAGCCTGGGCAACATAATGAGATCCCAATCTCTGCAAAAAAATTTAAAAATTATCTGGGCATGGTAGCACACGCCTGCAGTTCCAGCTACTCAGGAGGCTGAGGTGGGAGGATCACTTGAGCCCAGGAATTTGAGGCTGTAGTGATTGCTCCACTGCACTCTAGCCTGGGTGACAGAATGAGACCCTGCCTCAAAAAAAAAAAAAAAAAAGTGAAAAGTGAAAATGATAATACCTACTATGAAGGATTGCTTTAAGAAGAAATGAGATAATGTACACAAAAGTACATCACATATCGCTTAGCATGTGGCTGAGACTCAGAAAAAATCCTGGCTTTGTTTTCCTGCATTGGGAGTTTATTGTTGTCAAAGTGATGGTTCCAAGAAGTCAAAGGAGAGCCAGAGAACTGGACAGCTCAGCAGCAGTTGGTTTGGGTCACCAAATGCCTCTCTTCCCTCCCTATTGCCACTGACTTAGATCCTGGAGATGTAAGGTTTTAAAAACAGCAGCCTATTATCTTTTATTTTTGGTAATCCTTGTAACCTGGTTCCCTATCTTAATGAAAAAAACCAATGGTTCTGGCTTTATTACCTAAAGAAAGGAATGACAGTATAATACCAATTATAAATAAATGGGTCAAATTTTTGGCTTTAGAGTTTCAAAGACTTATGGCATTAAAAAAAAAAAAAAGAAAAAATGGACCGGGCGCAGTGGCTCACGCCTGTAATCCCAGCACTTTGGGAGGCTGACGCGGGTGGATCACTTGCAGTCAGGAGTTTGAGACCATCCTGGCCAACATGGTGAAACCCCGTCTCTACTAAAAATACAAAAATTAGCCGGGTGTTGTGGCACGTGCCTGGAATCCCAGCTACTTGGGAGACTGAGGCATGAGAATCCCTTGAACCCGGGAGGCAGAGGTTGCAATGAGCTCACTGCACTCCAGCCTGGGCGACAGAGCAAGACTCTGTCTCAAAAAAAAAAAAGAAAAGAAAAGAAAAAAAGAGAAAATGAAGAGTTCCTTTTCTCAACACTCTCATCAATACATGCATGCACACACACTCTTGCATGCAGCCATGAATTCTCATGTGTGCATACACACATTCAAAGGACTAGATAAAGATTCTCCAGACTTTGCAATAGGGAAGTCAGGTGGAAGCAGGGAGCTAGAATGGATAATGTATGAAGAAACTATTAATGTGTTTTTTCCTTTTATACTCTTTTGCCTTCAGCAAGTAAATGACCTCTTTCTTATTTGGTTGTGGCATCAAACTGCTTGTGAGGAGATTAAGATTGTTTCAGAAGAAATATAAAGAGAAGGAAATGGTAATATGCATCTATTGAAATTCAAAATAGGATTTTGCAGCAAGACAATGGACTTGAAAACTGGACTATGAGAAAGAAATTGTTTTCTGCATTCATTTAGCTCCCATTTAACATAATCAAGAGCCAGATCTAGAATCAAGTTTCTACCAAAGGAGGAGGTAATTTAATCTCTCATCTTTGATTTCCTATATGTCCATAATGAGGATAATAACAGCTACCTCAACAGATTGTTTCCAAAGGGAACCCTTGTCTTTTGAAGTGGCAATTAGAGCTAGGAAGCCAAAGATAAGATATGAAAAGAATAAAAGAGAAGCCTACCACTTCTCATCTTGGAGTTTCAACAAGACGAAGGCAGGGAGGTGAGAGTCAAGGAGATGCCTTGGAATTGGGGGAATGGCTTCAGAAACATCCAGAAAACAGAAGAGATCACTGAAGCTGCTACAAAATTTTGCCCATTGTAGATAAGTGGGCAAATCAGGATGCACTGGCAGGGAGACAGGGTCTGTTTTGTGTTACCAGCCCTTTTCCAGTGATGGGTATTGAATTGAGAGCCATGGGCCTGCCATGGGGCATGGGGGGTAGGAAGAGGGTGACCTGGCAGCAGAGGCATGTGGTTTGCATAACTTGGTTAGGAGCTGAATGGGAGACATGGTAGAGATTCAGGGGTCCCACTGGGCTACCGAGAGCCACAGGGAGGTTGAGTCAGCCAGAAAGCACCAGTGAGATCAGATCCAGCCAAGAGATCCACGAGAAACTCTAAATGTTGACTTTAGCCAAAGGCCCCCAGGATGAATGTGACCAAGTACATACTGACTCATAAACCGGAGGAGCTGGAGGACACTCTGAGAACCCAAGGACCCTTGCTGTCCTCCTATACCTGTCCCCAGGAGATTGCTTAAGCCACTCTATTTATTTTCATGCTCATGGGTTTGTGAGTTGTCTGTGGTTTGTCTAATCAGGCTGGGCTTGACAGGGCTTGGTAGGACTCCTTTAGTCCTGGTCCAGTGTCTATTCTGGGTCACAGCTGAAGGGGCAATGGATATCTGGAATTTGCCTTTCTCTTGTCAGATCACAGGAGTGCAAGAGGCCAAGCCAAACTACAAAAGCACATTGAAAGCATCTGCTTGCATCGTGTCCTCTGACATTCTGTTGGCACAAGCAAGTCACACAGCAAAGGGGATGGATGTACACTTAAATAATAAGGAGGAAGCAAAGGATTGGGAATAACAGTCCAAACCACCACAGGGCCCTACCTACCCCCAAGAAGTAATATCCTCAGATTGATCTGGGAAATCCAAGAGCAGATGATGTTTCCCATGTGCCAAGAATATCAGTGGAGTATCACACAGAGGGCCCCAAAAGCCAGCACGCCAAGGATGATGGAGCAGGATGAAGAGACCCTGGGTCTTAGATAATATCGTTAGGGGGCTTACTGGCTGCTGACCTCCGGACATTTTTGAAATATGAAACAATTAAATGTCTTTATTAACTGACATTATTAGCTGAGTTTTCTGTTGCTTTCATCTGAATGCATCCTCACTGTTGCAGGACTCTATTTTTATTTTTATTTATTTATTTATTTTTGAGATGGAGTTTCACTCTTGTCGCCCAGGCTGGAGTGCAATGGTGCCATCTTGGCTCACTGCAACCTCCACCTCCCGAGTTCAAGTGATTCTCCCACCTTAGCCTCCCCAGTAGCTGGGACTACAGGCATGTGCCACTATGCCAGGCTAATTTTGTATTTTTAGTGGTGACAGGTTTCACCGTGTTGGCCAGGCTAGTCCTGACCTCAGGTGATCTGCCCACCTCGACCTCCCAAAGTGCTGGGATTACAGGCTTGAGCCACCACGCCCAGCCTTGTTGCAGGACTCTTATTAACCCTATTTGTCCATGAGACCCAGAGACATAAAGGCGGGAGTTTGGGTTTTTTGTTTTGTTGTTTTTTCAGGCAGCCCTCTGAACCAAAATGGGTTCAGAGAGACTCCCTGGAGGTTGGGTTTGATCTCAGACTTTGTCTCCAGAGCACATGCTTTTACCCACCATTGTGTTATCCTACCTTCCAAGCTTGCGTGAGGCTGAAGTGTCTTATGTACTTGTAGTTTATTCAAAGGATAAAGTGGTAAAATGCCCTCATAGTGAAAAAGTGAAAGGTCTGTGCATGGCAGTAAAAAAGTGCCAATGTGACCTTGGTCTGGCCGGTAGCTGGTCAACTCAGGAAAGAGTCAGCTCCCAGAGACCCCTACTCAGTTGTAAGGCTTGTCTTGGGATTGCCCCAGCTTTACTCAGAGAGGAATGTTGTAGTGAAGGTGACTCCATCCAACAATTTAGTCAAACCTGCTTGCTTGAATCAGGCCCTCTCAAGTACCTCCTCCCTTCATTACTCTATTCTCCTTTGAGATACTGGGAAGGAAATTTAGCAAATAGCTGGTCTAAGCCATCAGCTCTCAGATCCACTCTATAGATTAAGATATCTGGATCACATGGAAATATTTGTCTAAGTTGATACCAGGGACAGACCCAACCATGGTCTGCCCCCAGGAGGTGCTCAGTCAGGATTTACTAATAAACAAACAAACCATCATCTAGTATTAAGGACTGATGATTGTCACTAGGATCCAGCGATAACTTGACTTAAAGTTCTATTTGCCAGAATATTCAGGGTTATTGACATTCAAGGGAACTGACTGACGCTAGCCAAAGTCACACGAGACTGATAGGTAAGCTAGAATACCTGGGACATTGATTTTTCCAGTGAGTAGTGAATTCTTGTTCCTCAGCCTAAGGCACTTCCTGGTACTAAGGTGCAGATGCAGACTAAACAAGATGATTACCCAACATGAGCCAGAGGGTCAGAACCTGGTGAGGGAAGTTTCTCCAGGGCCCTGCAGAAGCCACTGAGCTATCCGTGCCTTGGGTGGATTTAGGAATTTTGAAAGTGTGACTTAGGCCGGGTGTGGTGGCTGACGCCTGTAATCCCAGCACTTTGGGAGGCCGAGGCGGGTAGATCACGAGGTCAGGAAATCGAGACCATCCTGGCTAACACGCTGAAACCCCGTCTCTACTAAAAAATACAAAAAATTAGCCAGGCGTGGTGGTGGGCGCCTGTAGTCCCAGCTACTCGGGAGGCTGAGGCAGGAGAATGGCATGAACGCGGGAGGCGGAGCTTGCAGTGAGCCAAGATCGCACCACTACACTCCAGCCTGGGCGACAGAGTGAGACTCCGTCTCAAAAAAAAAAACAAAACAAAAACAAAAACAAAACAAAACAAAAAAACTGGAAAATCTAGTCCTGCCCAAGCTCCTCTCTCTGTCTTTGAGGGGAGCCAATCTCCAGAAATCGCTGCTGTCTTCCCCATTACCCTGCATGGCTGCTGGCTCCCAGGTGACCATCCCAGAATCTCCAAGTGTTCAGGGCCACCTCTGCTGCATCTGCCAGAACTCCCAAGCTTCACTGACCTCCTATGATGATGGGGCCCCTGGTGCTGACACAGCTCAGCCTCTTTATGAGAGGCTCCTGCACAGAGGGACCAGGACTGCACTGACACCTCCTTGCCTAGGGCTCTGCTTCCACAGCTGGGCTGTAGCCCTTCTTTCTTCCGGTCTTCTCCTTTGTTCTGAAGCAGGAGGACTTCCCAGGGCATTCCAGTTTGCCGTGTTTCTTTCACTCATTCCGCCAAACATATTTATTGGTGGCCAATTTTGTGACATCAATGTGCTAAGCACTGGGGTAGTGGTGAACAAAAGTTAGGTCCCTGTCCATGTAGTTTAGGGTCCAGCTGAGAATACCAACATTTAATGAGACATCACAATGAAATGTGCTGAGAGTCATGGAACAGAGACACCTAATCTAGTGGGAGAGAAAGCAAAGCCCTTTCTAACAATGTGAAGTTTATGATGAGAACTGGAGAATGAGTAGAAATTAGCCCCGTAAAAGAATGGGGGCGAAGAGGCTTACTGTTTTATACAAATTGCTTCCAATAGCAGAAAAATGCTTCATGAGATAATTACCTAGATACAGAGTTATAACCAACATTAAAAACAAAACAAGCGGCCAGGCGTGGTGGCTCACGTCTGTAATCCCAGCACTTTAGGAGGCCGATGTGGGCAGATCACGAGGTCAGGAATTCGAGACCAGCCTGGGGAAGCCAACATGGAGAAACCTTGTCTCTACTAAAAATACAAAAATTAACCGGGCGTGGTGGTGGGCGTCTGTAATCCCAGCTACTCAAGAGGCTGAGGCAGGAGAATCGCTTGGACCTGGGAGGCAGAGGTTGCAGTGAGCCGAGATTGTGCCACTGCACTCCAGCCTGGGCAACAGAGCAAGACTCCGTCTCAAAAACATAAAAAAAAACAAAGAAAAGAAAACTAAAAACAAACAAGCAAAGAAAAAAAAATGCCTTTCAAAAAGAGAGTATACTTTCAAACTATTTTATAAGACTTAATATAACCTAGTCTGGTAGCAGTGGCTCATGCCTGTAACCCCAGCATTTTGGGAAGCCAAGGCGGGTGGATCTCTTGAGGCCAGGAGTTCGAGACCAGCCTGGCCAACATGGCAAAACCCCATCTCTACTAAAAATTTAAAAACATTTTTTTAAAAAATTAGGCGACCATGGTGGCACATGCCTGTAATCCCAGCTATTCGGGATGCTGAGACACAAGAATAGCTTGAACCTTGGAGGTGGAGGTTGCAATGAGCTGAGATTGTGCCACTGCACTCCAGCTTGGGTGACAGAGCGAGACTCTTATCTCAAAAAAAAAAATTAATATAACCTCTATAACAATATTAGACAAAGACAGTGAAAGAAAGGAAAGCTATAGGCTAATCTCACTGACAAACATACCTGGAAAAATCCTAAATAAAAGTTTTGCAAATGAAACCAAGCTGTGTGTGTGAGCATGTGTGTGTATTTGTGTACAATGCTAACTTGACAATGAAAAATAAAAAATCCATAAATAATGACTTATTTCACTTAGCATAATGTTTTTGAGGTTCCTCACCGTTGTAGCATATAATGTATCACTACCACATTCCTTTTTTTTTTTCTTTCCTTGAGACAGGGTCTTACCATTGCCCAGGCTGGAGTGTAGTGGTGTGATCATGTTTCACTGTAGTCTCCGCCTCCTGGGCTCAAGTGATACTCCAACCTCTTGCCTTCCGAGTAGCTGGGACCACAGGCACGAGTCACCATGTCCGGCTAATTTTTTTTTTTTTTTGAGGAAGCAATTTCTTTAATTTTATCAGAATCCAGGACACAAGAAGAAAAACACCCAAAAACCACATGGAGACAGAAGACAAGACACAACTCCTCCCCCACTGCCTCCCTGCTCTAGAGTGGGGACAAAGTGGGGGTGAGACAGCTGGGGGGAGACCTGAACCTCAGTCCAGCCCTACAGGCTCCAGGCCTGCAGGGAAGGAGGGTAACGGGGAGGCAGGGCCCAGCCCCCCAGTGTGGGGAAACAGCTGAGGGAAGGCCCCCCTCAAAAGGCTCCACCTCCTCACCAGCACTCCTGCCCAGGGACAGGGAGCCCACAGCAGCAAGGGGACCCCCGGGGCCATGGCCACGTTCATGACTGAGAAGCAGCTGAGTGGAGGCAGGAGACACAAGATTATCTGGGCAGAATCAGTTGGGGCAGGGGCCTGGGAGGGCCCCATGGGCCAAACCCTAAGGTTACAGGAGGGGGCCCAAAGTGGGGCTAGTGAGTGAGGTCCTGAGTGAGTGGGTCAGTGGCTGGGCCTCTTTCTCCAGCTGCCTGTAGCCCCTCCAATACTGCTGCCAGGGGGGCCCGCCTCCAGGGAAATGGGATAAGAAAGCAGCCTGCCCCTACTGCAGACAGAGCCAGGTGGCTGAGGCCAGGAAGGAAGGCCCAGCCAGGCCTTGCCACCTGCCCCTAGAGGCCTGTGGGAAAAGGACAGGTCAGGAAGGGTGGGGACAGGGGCTCGACCAGCTCAGACCCAAGATGGTGCCATGCTTACTTGCTGAGTCCCCCATGAGCTGGGGTACTGCACTGGGGCCAGCGACTAGTTAGACAGGAGGCAGCAGCTTCTCAAGAAATTCCTTCACAGCTGCCATCTCCTGAGGACAGGAGCTGTGCATGACACCCAGGTATGTCTGGAACTGGACCCTGGCAGGTGTGACAACAGACCGGAGCTTCTCAGCCATCAGGGCCCCAAACCGTACGGGCACCATGGGGTCCAGCTCCCCATGGCACTGGAGGATGGCCAGGTCCTTGGCACTGCCATTAGCTGCCTGGGGGAAGGCCCGGTGCAGAGGCGGCCAGCAGCTCAAAGCCAGGATGCCAGCCAGAGGGTGGGGGCAGGTGAGGGCCATGTAGAGGGACAGGGCCCGGCCCTGTGAAAAGCCTCCCAGGATGATTTGATTGGCAGGGATCCCGTTCTTCATTTCATGCTCAATCAAGGCCTTGATGTTCTCTGCTGCCTTCTTGATGCCAGCCTCGTCCTCTGGGGCATCTGGACTCAGCCCCATCAGGTCAAACCAGGAGGGCATCACCATCTTCATGTTGAGGGTCACAGGGATCCTAGGCTCATGGGAACAGATGTACTTGACGTGAGGGAGCCGAATGGTGGAGAGGGCGTCAGCCCAGCTGTGCCCTGTGTCTCCAAGTCCATGTAAAAAAATAACCACGGCCGTTTCCCGCTCAGCTCCAGACACGGTGGCAGCATCGTTGAGCAGGGGCACAGACATGGTGTTACCACACATACACCACACGGCTCCATGGCAGGGGCCTCCACTCCCTGGGACTTCTGAGGCCGCTTGGGTGATTCTCCTCTTTCTCCCGCAGACACACACTCTTCCCCCTCGGCCGCCCCCGCCGGAACACTAATTTTTTTATTTTTTTATTTTTAGTGGACATGGGGTCTCCCTATGTTACTTACCTAGCCTGGTCTCAAACTCCTAGGCTCCAGGGATCCTCTTGCCTCAGCCTCCCAAAGTGCTGGGATTACCACGCTCAGCCCATCACTCCCTGTGTTCCTTTCATTTATTTTTTTCTTTGAGACAGAGTCTTACTCTGTCACCCAGGCTGGAGTGCAGTGGTATGGTCATGGCTCACTGCAACCTCAACCTCCCAGGCTCAAGTGATCCTCCCATCTCAACCTCCCTAGTAGCTGGCATTCCTTTTTATGGCTGAATAATACTCCATTGCCTGTACAGATCACAATTTATTTATCCATTCATCAGTTAGTGGGCATTTGGGCTGTTTTCACCTTTTGGCTATTATAAATAATGTTGCTATAAACATTTGTATACAAGTTTCTGTGTGGATATATATCTTCATTTTTCGTGGGTATATACCTGGGAGTAGAATTGCTGGATCATCTCATAGATAAACAAAGCCAGACACTAGCTAAAGTGGTAAGGACAGGACAGGCACAGAGGCTCACGCCTGTAATCCCAGCGCTTTGGGAGGCCGAGGCAGGCGGATCACTTGAGGCAAGGAATTCGAGACCAGCCTGACCAACATGGTGAAACCCCATCTCTACTAAAAAACAAAAATTAGCTGGGCATGGTGGTGCACACCTGTAATCCCAGCTACTCAGGAGGCTGAGGCAGGAGAATCGCCTGAACTCGGGAGGCAGATTTTGCAGTAAACCAAGATTGTGCCATTGCACTCCAGCCTAGGCCACATAGCAAGTCTCCGTCTCAAAATAATAAATAAATAAATAAATAAATAAATAAATAAAGTGGTAAGAACAGATTTTAATCAGTGACATATTATTGCAATAGGGAAAAGAGCCTAGCTTGAACTGAACTCAACTTTGATTTGTAGAGATAACTGGGCATTTTAAAGCAAGAATGAAAGAACAGAGAGGGTGAGTGGGGACTCAATGACGTCAGAGAAGTGACAGATTACAAAAAGTGGGAAGGGGGTTGGTCTGTGTTAAGCCCACCTGGCCTTGTTAGCTGGGGCTTATCATTAGGCTCCTACACTCTCACAGCAGCTGGGAAACAGGGGCCTTACCTTCATCTGTGGGCTGGAACAAACAGTACATTCTTTTGGCAGCCTTGAGTTCTCTCAGTCAGACACTTTAAAGGGCATTAGGGTCATCCTAGAGATGTGGCCTTGAACTGTTAGAAACTATGTTAGTGTTCATGAAAGTCTTTATCAAGTCGGACGCAGTAGCTCATGCCTATAATCCCAGCACTTTGGGAGGCCGAGGTGGGCGGGTCACTTGAGGTCAGGAGTTCGAAACCAGCCTGGCCAA
Organism: Homo sapiens; assembly: GCF_000001405.40. Lineage (NCBI taxonomy): Eukaryota > Metazoa > Chordata > Mammalia > Primates > Hominidae > Homo > Homo sapiens. The sequence goes on from NC_000006.12 coordinate 33,367,749, forward strand.
CATGGTGAAACCCCATCTCTACTAAAAATACAAAAAAAACTAGCTGGGCTTGGGGGCAGGCGCCTGTAATCCCAGCTACTCAGGAGGCTGAGGCAGGAGAATTGCTTGAACCCGAGAGGTGGAGGTTGCAGTGAGCTAAGAACGGGCCATTGCACTCCAGCCTGGGGGCAACAAGAGTGAAACTCTGTCTCAAAAAAAAAAAAAAATCCTGGTTTTTTTTTTTTTACCTTTTTTTTTTTTTTTGAGACGGAGTCTTGCTCTGCTGCCTAGGCTGGAGTGCAGTGGTGCGATCTCGGCTCACTGCAACCTCCGCCTCCCTGGTTCACGCCATTCTCCTTCCTCAGCCTCCCAGGTAGCTGGGACTACAGGCGCCTGCCAACACACCCCGCTAATTTTTTGTATTTTTAGTAGAGGTGGGGTTTCACTGTGTTAGCCAGGATGGTCTCGATCTCCTGACCTCGTGATCTGCCCGCCTCAGCCTCCCAAAGTGCTGGGATTACAGGTGTGAGCCACCGTGCCCAGCCCCTGGTTATCTTTTTGTACCTTTTGAAATATATGTAAATATGCTGGTTTTGCAAACATTAAATTAATAATAAAAGCCATGCCATAGCAGACTACATCATATATAGGTATATAACCAATAAAGAATTACTGTCTAGAATTTACAAAGAACTCCACAAATCGATATGAAAAAGACAACCAACCCAAGAGAAAAAAAAATTTAAATATAGGAAAGACAATCCCTCAAAGAGAAAATAGAAAATGCAAATTAATACTGACATTTTGGGCTTCAAAAAAAAGCAAATTAAAATAACGACAAGGGCTGGGTTCAGTGGCTCACGCCTGTAATCCCAGCGCTTTGGGAGGCTGAGGAGGGTGGATCATGAGGTCAGGAGTTCAAGACCAGCCTGGCCAAGATGGTGAAACCCCATCTCTACTAAAAATACAAAAATTAGCCAGGTGTGGTGGCAGGTGCCTATAATTCCCGTTACTCAGGAGGCAGAGGCAGGAGAGTTGCTTGAACCCAGGGAGGGGGTGGGGGCGCAGAGGTTGTAGTGAGCTGAGATCATACCACTGCACTCCAGCCTGGGCAACAGTGAGACTCCGTCTTAAAATAAATAAATAAATAAATAAATACATACATACATACATAAAATAAAATAACGATGAGGTGAAAAAAATAAAATTAATAAAATTAAAAATAAAATAATAAAATAACAAGGCGACATTCATTAAATTGGCAAAGACAGGTTTGGGAATATCAGATGTTGCTGAAGCTCCAGGGCAACAGGGACTTTCTTCTAGTGGATGGGAGCGTAAACCAGAAAAACCACTGTGGAGACCATTTGGCAATATCTAGTAGAGTTGATAATACAACTCTACTTATGAGCTTATACCCAGCCTCTCCCACATTTGCTCAAGAAGGCATGCAGAAGTATGTTCATTGCAGCATTTTTTAATATAACAGTATATAAAGTAATTGGAAATACTTTAAAATCCATAAACAGAAGAATGGATACATTATTTGTGATATATTTATATAATTGAATATTAAAGAGCTGCGTTATCCCACATGGTAGCAATGAGCCACATGAGGCTATTTAAACTTAAATTTAAATAATTAAAATTACGTCTATGTTTCACATTTTAAAAATTTAAATTTAGTTCCTTGGCCAGGCACGGTGGCTCACGCCTGTAATCCCACCACTTTGCCGAGGCGGGCGGATCAGGAGGTCAAGAGATCGAGACCATCCTGGCCAACAGGGTGAAACCCCATCTCTACTAAAAATACACAAATTAGCTGGGTGTGGTGGCACATGCCTATAGTCCCAGCTACTCAGGAGGCTGAGGCAAGAGAATCGCTCGAACCCTGGAGGTGGAGGTTGCAGTGAGCTGAGATCACGCCACTGCACTCCAGCCTGGCGACAGAGCAAGACTCCGTCTCAAAAATTAGTTCCTTTGTCACATTAGCCACATTTCAAGTGCTCAGTAGCCACATGTGATTAGTGAGTACCCATATTAGACAATGCTGATATAGAAAATTTCCATCATTGCAGAAAGTTCTATTGGACAGCACTGTTCTACAACATAAAATGAGCTAACTGGGTCTAAATATTTCAAAAAGAAAAAAAAACAAAAAACATCAAAATATAAGACTCAAAAATATGAAGTTCATCAGAAAAAGAAGGCAAGTTGTAGAACACATAGAATATCCTCCTATTTAAAATTTGGTACAGCATGATGACTATAGTTAATAACAATGTATTGTAGGCGCGGTGGCTCACACCTGTAATCCCAGCACTTTGCAAGGCTGAGGAGGGCAGATCACCTGAGGTCAGGAGTTCGAGACCAGCCTGGCCAATATGGTGAAACCCCATTGCTACTAAAAATACAAAAATTAGCTGGGTGTGGTGGTGCGCACCTGTAGTCCCAGCTACTTGGGAGGCTGGGGCAGGAGAATCTCATGAACCCGGAAGGCAGAGGTTGCAGTGAGACGAGATCACACCATTGTACCTCAGCCTGGGCGTCATAGCAAGACTCCCTCTCAAAACAAACAAAGCAAAACAGGCCAGGCATGGTGGCTCACGCCTGTAATCCCAGCACTTTGGGAGGCCGAGGGGGGCGGATAACGAGGTCAGGAGATTGAGACCATCCTGGCTAACACGGTGAAACCCCGTCTCTACTAAAAATACAAAAAAAAAATTAGCTGTGTGATGGCTGACGCCGGTAGTCCCAGCTACTTGGGAGGCTGAGGCAGAAGAATGGCATGAACCCAGGAGGCGGAGCTTGCAGTGAGCCGAGATCGCGCCACTGCACTTCAGCCTGGGTGACAGAGCGAAACTCCGTCTCAAGAAAAAGACAAACCAAACCAAACCAAACCAATATATTGTATTCTTGAAAAATGTTAAGAGATTGAATGTTGTGTTCTCACCACAAAAATGGTAATTATGTGAGGTAATGCATATATGTTAATTAGCTAGATTTAGTCATTCCAAGTTTATATATGCTTCAAAATAGCATGTAATACCTATGGAAACTAAGAATTAGGCTGGGCACAGAGGCTCACACCTGAAATCCCAGTGCTTTGGTAGGCCAAGGCAAGAGGATTGCGTGAACCCAAGAATTTGAAACCAGCTTGGGCAACATAGGCAGGCCATGTCTCTACAAAAAATACAAAAAATTAGCTGGGAGTGGTGGCTGGAGCCTGTAGTCCCAGCTATAGGCTGAGGTGGGAGGATCACTGGAGCCCAGGTGTTTGAGACTGCAGTGAGCCTTGACTGTGGCAGTGCACCCCAGCCTGGGAGACTTGTCTCAAGAAAATACTGAAAATAAAAATAAAAAAGCAGGCCAGGCGCGGTGGCTTACGCCTGTAATCCCAGCACTTCGGGAGGCTGATGTGGATGGATCACTTGAGGCCAGGAGCTCAGGAACAGTCTGGACAACAAGGAGAAACCCCATCTCTATCAAAAAATACAAAAATTAACTGGACATGGTGGTGCATGCTTGTAGTCCCAGCTACTCTGGAGGCTGAGGCATGAGAATCTCTTGAATCCAGGAGGTTGAATTTGCAGTGAGCCAAGAAGATCACTCTACTGCACTCCAGTCTGGGTGACAGAGCTAGAATTTGTCTCAAAAATAAATAAATAAATATTTAATAAATAAATAATCAAACCAAAACCAAACCATCATGTCCTATATGATAAATATGTAAAATTTATCTGTCAGTTTAAAAATAATAGGCTGGGCACATTGGCTCATGCCTGTAATCCCAGCACTTTGGAAGGCCAAGGCAAGTGGATCACCTGAGGTCAGGAGTTTGAGACCAGCCTGGCCAACATAGTGAAACCCTGTCTCTACTAAAAATACAAAAATTACCTGGGCGTGTAATCCCAGCACTTTGGGAGGCCGAGGCAGGTGGATCATGAGGTCAGGAGATTGAGACCAAAAAAAAAAAATTTTTTTGAGACAGAGTACTCTGTCACCCAGGCTGGACTGCAGTGGTGTGATCTTGGCTCACTGCAACCTCTGCCTCCCCAGTTCAAGGGATTCTCCTGCCTCAGCCTCCCGAGTAGCTGGGATTACAGGTGCCCACAACCATGCCTGGCTAATTTTTGTATTTTTAGTAGAGATGGGGTTTCGCCATGTTGGCCAGGCTGGTCTCGAACTCCTTACCTCAGGTGATCTGCCCATCTCGGCCTCCCAAAGTACTGAGATTACAGGCGTGAGCCACCACACCTGGCCTCTAAGAACTCTTTTTTTTTTTTCCGAGACGGAGTCTTGCTCTGTCACCCAGGCTGGAGTGCAGTGGCCCGGCCATAAAAACTCTTGAACAAGAATGGATGGGGGCTGGGCACGGTGGCTCATGCCTGTAATCCTAGCCCTTTGCTGAGGTTGGCAAATCACTTGAGGTCAGGAGTTGGAGACCAGCCTGGCCAACATAGCAAAACACTGTCTCTACTAAAAATACAAAAAGTAGCCAGGCGTGGTGGAAGGTGCCTGTAATCTCTGCTACTCAGAAGGCTGAGGCTGGATAATCCCTTGAACCCAAGAGGTGGAGGTTGCAGTGAGCCGAGATCTTGCCATTGCACTCTGGCCTAGGCAACAGAGTGCAACTGCCTCTCAAAAGAAAAAAAAAAAGAATTGATGGGTTGGCAGGGTACTGACACTTGGAGGTGCTGGGAGGGTGGTGCCCAGATGGGCCATGGAAGCGCCAAGCCTCTTCCTCCCAAAAGCTCACCCTATGCATCTTTTAAATCCAGCTATTCATCTATATCTTTAAAACGTCCTGCATAATTAAGTGATAAACGTGTTTCCCTGAGTTCTGTTAGCAATCCTAGCAAATTATGAAGCCAAGGAGGGGGTTGTAGGAACCCTGATTTATAGCAGGTTTGTCAGAAGCACAGATCACAGCCTTGGTCTTGGAATTGGCATCTAAAGTGGGAGGCAGTCTTTTGGGACTCAGCCCTCCCCCTGTGGAATCTGATACCATCTCCAGGTAGCTAGTGGCTGAATTGAATCAAATAGGCCACTCAGTATTTGCTGGATAGTTAACTGTTTGGTGTGTGGAGAAAAAGTCCCATACATCTGGTCACAAGTGTTTTGTGTTGTGTGAGCAGACAGGGAGGGTCTTCAGGGATTACAGAAATTTAATCACCCTGAGCAATTGGCTTGTTTTACAGCCTCCTGCCGTGCAGCCTCTTTTTTCCTAAACCCTGTGTTGACTGCAGTCACCTAGTTGGTTAAAACTGGCTCCTGGCAGACCCCAGAAACTTGTAGATAAACCTGAGTGAAAGTTCCTCATTACCATGCTGAAATCTCCATCCTGGGAGGAGCTGTGGCTTCATTCTCATAGCATGTGACCTGTGTGCGGGCGTGAGGATTCACTGTGTTTCCAAAACTGGGACCCCTCCTCTACATGCAATGAGGCACCCTCTCCCCTCCCCATCACCCCCTAAAATCCTCCTGTCACTTCTCTCCGGGAGACACTGCTTTGAAGAATCCTCCCAGTGCTCTCCTTACTTGTAATTAAACTCCTGTTGATTAAAACCTGCCTTGTGGAGAGTCATTTGTTATTTGCCAGGCAAACAAACCCTGTTTTTTTTCAGGTAACAAGAGTATGGTGGAAGAAAACAGTTTAGGTCAGGCACAGTGGTGCATGCCTATAATCCCAGCACTTTGGGAGGCCGAGGCAGGTGGGAGGAACACTTGAGCCCAGGTGTTGGAGACCAGCCTGGGCAACATAGTGAGACACCCCCCAACTCCACCCCCATAAAAAAAAAAAGAAAAAAAGATGTAATCCCAGCACTTTGGGAGGCTGAGGCAGGCGGATCACTTGAGGTCAAGAGTTGGAGACCAGCCTGGGCAACATGGTGAAACCCCGTTTCTATTCAAAATATAAAAAAATTAGCCAAGCATGGTGGTGGGCGCCTGTAATCCCAGCTACTCCAGAGGCTGAGGCAGGAGAATTGCTTGAACCCGGGAGGTGGAGGTTGCAGTGAGCCGAGATCCTGCCATTGCACTCCAGCCTGGGTGACAGATCGACACTTAGTCTCCAAAAAAAAAAAAAAAGAGGCCAGGCACAGTGGCTCACACCTGTAATCCTAGCACTTTGGGAGGCCGAAGCGGGTGGCTCACCTGAGGTCAGGAGTTTGAGACCAGCCTGGCCAACATGGTGAAACCCCATCTCTACTAAAAATACAAAAATTAGCCGGGTGGGGTGGCACGGGCCTGTAATCCCAGCTACTTGGGAGACTGAGGCAAGAATTGTTTGACCCGGGAGGTAGAGGTTGCTGTGAGTTGAGATCGTGCCAATGCACTCCAGCCTGGGTGACAGGGTGGGACTCTGTCTCAAAAAAAAAAAAAAAAAAAAAAGTTTGTGTTTACAGTTGTATAAGGAAGTGGTGTCTGTGAGGTTTGCTGAGGCTCAGAAATTAATACCCCAAAATATGCCAACATGCTGAACTGAAGAAGAAACTTCAAGGTTTCTCTGACCTCTCTTCTCAACCAGCTCTCCCACAGGCAGGATGAGTTATTCTCTGAAGTTCCTTTATCTGCTTCAAGTCCAGACATACCACAAAGAATAATTGTTTTCTCTTCCCCTCCCTGTAAGATCAGGAATGGAATCACACCTGAGCAGGTCCTTTCCCAAAAGAGTCTGTCTCTCAGCTCATTCACATTCCACAGGGAACTATTCAAAACTCAATCTCTATCTCTGGGCCCATTCATTCTCCCTAATAATCGCCTATGGCCCCTCAAGAGAATTCCTGTTCCCTATCCCATAACCTGTTTTGCCAGGATGGTAAATAAGCTCCTGAACCCTGTTGTGGATTGGTTAATCACTCTGTGGTTCTCTCTGTGTACACATTAATCCATTTATATGCCTCTTCTCCAATGCACCTTTTTTTTTTTTGTTTTGTTTTGTTTTGTTTTTTGGACAGACTCTTGCTCTGTCGACAGGGCTGGAATGCAATGGCACAATCTCAGCTCACTGCAACCTCCACCTCCTGGGCTCAAGTGATTCTCCTGTCTCAGCTTCCCGAGTAGCTGGGATTACAAGCACACGCCACTGTGCCCAGCTAATTTTTATATTTTCACCATGTTTCCAGGCTGGTTTTGAACTCCTGACCTCAGGTGATCCACCCGACTCAGCCCCCCAAAGTGCTGGGATTACAGATGTGAACCACCGTGCCCAGCCTGCATCTATCTTTCGTGAGTTAATTTTCCAGCCAACCTTCAGAGGGCGAAAGGGAAGTTTTCCTTTGGCCCATACAGGTTCATTATAGCTATTCTATGTAGTTTTCTACTTAAGTATGTCATAATTTCAAAAGAGAAAAAGAGAAGGGAGAAAATTGTTCTAAGCTTTCAATGTGAAGGCCTGGCACTTTTAAAGAATAACAGCTTCTGTGGCCAGACTTTTAGTATCAGTATGGACTTTCCCTGGAGAAGTCCAGCCAGATGGGCAGACTGGGCAGATGCTTATACTGATTAGCTAGATTTAGCTAATGGGCAGAGCCGTCACAATGCACTGGTTGAAATGGTGCAAAAAAATAATGTAAGGCTTTTTTTTTTTTGGTACAGGATCTGGCTCTGTTGCCTATGCTGGAGTACAGTTGCTCAATCTTGGCTCACTGTAACCTCCGTTTCCTGGACTCATGCCATCCTCTCGCTTCAGCCTTCTGAGAAGCTGGGACTACAGGAATGCACCATCACACCCGGCTAATTTTTGTATTTTTTGTAGAGATGGGGTTTCACCGTGTTAACTAGGCTGGTCTCATAACCGCCCAATGTGTTTACCTTGCCCGCTGCCTAGACAGAGCCGATTTCTCAAGACAGAGGAATTGCAATATAGAAAGAGTAATTCACGCAGAGCCTGCTGTGTGGGAGACAGGAGTTTTATTATTACTCAAATCAGTCTGCCCAAGAATTCGAGGAGCAGAGTTTGTTTTTGTTGTTGTTGTTTTGTTCTGTTTTTTGAGATGGAGTCTCTCTCTGTCACCCAGGCTGGAGTGCAATGGCAAAATCTTGGCTCACTGCAACCTCCACCTCCCAGGTTCAAGTGATTCTCCTGCCTCAGCCTCAGTAGCTGGGATTACAGGCCTGTGCCACCATACCCAGCTGATTTTTGTATTTTTAGAGACAGGATTTCACCAAGTTGGCCAGGCTGGTCTTAAACTCCTGACCTCAGGTGATCCACCTGCCTCAGCCTCCCAAAGTGCTGGGATTAGAGGCACGAGCCACCTCGCCCAGCCTGGGGAGCAGAGTTTTTAAGGACAACTTGGTGGGTCAGGGGAAGCCAGTGAGCCAGGAGTGCTGATTGGTCAGAGATGAAATCATAGGGAGTCTAAGCTGTCTTCTTGCGCTGAGTCAGTTCCTGGGTGGGGGCCATAAGATCAGATGAGCCAGTTAATCAATCTGGGTGGTACCGGCTGATCCATCAAGTGCAGGGTCGACAAAATGTCTCAAGCACTGATCTTAGGAGATGTTTAGGGAGGGTCAGAATCTTGTAGCCTTCACCTGCATGACTCCTAAACCGTAATTTCTTTCTTTCTGTTTTGTTTTCTTTTTTTTCTTGAGACAGAGTTTCGCTCTTGTTGTCCAGGCTGGAGTGCAATGGCGCAATCTCGGCTCACTGCAATTTCTGCCTCTGGGGTTCAACCCATTCTCCTGTCTCAGCCTCCTGAGTAGCTGGGATTACAGGCACATGCCACCACGCCCAGCTACTTTTTGTATTTTTAGTAGAGATAGGGGTTCATGATATTGGTCAGGCTGGTCTCGAACTCCTGACCTCAGGTGATCCGCCCGCCTCTGCCTCCCAAAGTGCTGGGATTACAGGCATGAGCCACTGCACCCAGCCTAAACCATAATTTCTAATCTGTGTTAGTCCTACAAAGGCAATCTAGTCCCCAGGCAAGAAGGAGGTCTGTTATTGTCTTTGTTTTAAAGGGCTATTAAAACAAAGGGAAAGGGCTATTATTGTCTTTGTTTTAAATTATAAACCAAGTTTCTCCCAAAGTTAGTTCAGCTTAGGCCCAGGAATGAATGACAGCTTGGAGGTTAGAAGCAAAATGGAGTCGGTTAAGTTAGATTTCTTTCACTGTCTCAGTCATAATTTTGCAAAGGCAGTTTCAGTCTCTAACTCCTGCGCTCAAGCAATTCACCCACCTCGGCCTCCCAAAGTGTTGGGATTACAGGCATGAGCAACCATGCCCAACCTGTAAGGCCTTTTTAAAAAAATATAAAATCAGATATGAAGTTTTCTTTGGACTGGGCGTGGTGGCTCACGCCTGTAGTCCCAGCACTTTGGGAGGCTGAAGCACGTGGATCACCTGAGGTCAGGAGTTCGAGACCAGCCTGGCCAACATGGTGAAATCTCATCTTTACTAAAAATAAAAATAAAAACTATCCAGCCGTGGTGATGGGCGCCTGTAATCCCAGCTACTCAGGAGGCTGAGGCAGGAGAATCATTTGAACCTGGGAGGTGGAGGCTGCAGTGAGCCGAGATCTCGCCATCGCAAATCAGCCTGGGCAACAAGAGGGAAACACACAACTCTGTCTCAAAAAAAAAAAAAGGTTTCTTTGAAGAATTGTTGCCAGAAAGTGGTCATGATCCAAACCCCAAGAGAGAGTTCTTGGATCTCATGCAACAAAGAATTCAAGGCAAATCCATAAAGTGAAAGCAAGTTTATTAGAGAAGTTAAGAAACGAAAGAAGGTTACTCCAAAGGCAGTGCAGCCCTGAGGGCTGCTGTTTGCCCATTGTTAAGTTATTTCTTGATTATATGCTAAACAAGAGGCAAATTATTCATGCCTCCCCTTTTTAGATCATATAGGGTAACTTCCTGATGTTTCCATGGCATTTGTAAACTGTCAGGTTGCTGGTGGGAGTGTAGCAGTGAGGACAACCAGAGGTCATTCTCATCGCCATCTTTGTTTCGGTGGGTTTCAGCCGGCTTCTTTACTGCAACCTCTTTTATCAGCAAGGTCTTTGTGACCTATGTCTTGTGCCGATCTCCTATCTCATCCTATGACCTAGAATGCCTCAAGTGTCTGGGAATGCAGCCCAGTACGTTTCAGCCTCATTTTATCCAACCCCTATTCAAGATGGAGTTGCTCTGGTTCAAATGTCTCTGACAGAATGGAAGTCCCCTTTCTATTTGTTTGTTTTAAAAAATAAAGTCAGGCCGGGCGCGGTGGCTCATGCCTGTAATCCCAGCACTTTGGAAGGCCGAGGCAGGCGGCTCATGAGCCGGGCGTGGCGAGCGCCTGTAGTCCCAGCTACTCGGGAGGCTGAGGCCGGAGAATGGTGTGAACCCGGGAGGCGGAGCTTGCAGTTAGCCAAGATCGCACCACTGCACTCCATCCAGCCTGGGCGACAGAGCGAGACTCCGTCTCAAAATAAATAAATAAATAAATAAATAAATAAATAAATAAATAAATAAATAATTAAAAAAATAAAAAATAAAGTCAGAGTTTCTGCTATATTGCCCAGGCTGGAGTTCAGTGACTATTCACTGACGAGATCACTGTGCACTATAACCTGGAAATCCTACAGTCTTGAACTCCTGGACTCAAGGGATCCTCCTGCTTCAGCCTCCAGCGTAGCTGGGACTACAGGCACGCACCACCACATCAGGCTCAGAAGATCACTTTTAATTAGCAAACGGCTCACTAGCAAGATTTGAAAAACTTCAAAAAGCTAAGTATAACTCTCAAATCGAATGCATTTTTACTTTGCACATACTGTTCTCAAGATTCTGGCATCCAAGAAAAAAAAAATAATACTTCTCCTAGGGCTAATAAATTTGTAAAGACTTGCTATTACATGACTTGTTTCAAATGTTTGCAGCATATTGTTTATATAAATTATAATGGTTTCCGTGAAATTTAATAATGGTTCAAAATTTGTATCATTTGAGATAAGTGAGGCATCAGTGAATTTACTATGCTTTTCCCACGTTGTGTTATATTCAAAGACAAAAATCTATGGCTAGGTATGGTGGCATACGCCTGTAGTCCCAACTACTCCTCAGACTGAGGCGAGAGAATCGCTTGAACCTGGGAGGCAGAGGTTGCAGTGAGCTGAGATCGTGCCACTGCACTCCAGCCTGGGTGACAGAGCAAGACTTTATCTCAAAAATTTAAAAATAGGCCGGGAGCAGTGGCTCACACGTGTAATCCCAGCACTTTGGGAGGCCGAGGCAGGCGGATCACGAGGTCAAGAGATTGAGATCATCCTGCCCAACCTGGTGAAACCCCGTCTTTACTAAAAATACAAAAATTAGCAGGGCATTGTGGTTCGCACCCGTGGTCCCAGCTACTCAGAAGGCTGAGGCAGGAGAATCGCCAAGATCACGCCACTGCACTCTGGCCTAGGCGACAGAGCAAGACTCCATCTCAAAAAAAAAAAAAAAAAAAAATAGAAACACAGTGGCTCACACCAGTCAGTAATCCCAGCACTTTGGGAGGCCAAGGCAGGTGGATCACGAGATCAAGAGTTCGAGACCAGCCTGACCAACTTGGCAAAACCCCATCACAAAAAACAAACAAACAAAAAAACTCTCGGCAAAACAGAGCAAGGCTCCATCTCAAAAAAAAAAAAAAAAAAAAAAATTAGCCAGGCGCGATGGCGGTTGCCTGTAATACCAGCTACTCAAGAGGCTGAGGCAGGAGAATCACTTGAACCCGGGAGCTGGAGGTTGCACTGAGCTGACATCGCACCATTGCACTCCAGCCTGGGTGACAGAGCGCGACTCTGTCTCAAAAAAAAAAAAAAGAAAGTGATCACATTTTGGGAATGCATTGACTATACCCTAAAAAGCTCAGGAGAATATACAGTTGAGGCTGGGTGTGATGGCTAACGCCTGTAATCCCAGCACTTTGGGAGGGCGAGGCAGGTGGATCACCTGAGGACAGGAGTTTAAGACCAGCCTGGCCAACATGGTGAAACCCCATCTCTACAAAAATACAAAAATTAGCCGGGCATGATAGTGGGTGCCTGTAATCCCAGCTATTTGGGAGGCTGAGGCAGGAAAATCGCTTGAACCCGGGAGGCGGAGGCTGCAATGAGCCGAGATGGCGCCATGGCACTCCAGGCTGGGTGACAGAGCGAGACTCCGTCTTGAAAAAAATGACATCACTATACTTCACATGGGCTCATTTATTGTCATTATTATTATTATTTTTTGAGACAGAGTCTCACTCTGTCGCCCAGGCTGGAGTGCAGAGGTGTGATCTCGGCTCACTGCAACCTCCACCTCCCGGGTTCAAGTGATTCTCCTGCCTCAGCCTCCTGAGTAGCTGAGACTACAGGTGCCCGCCACCACGCCCAGCTAATTTTTTGTATTTTTAGTAGAGACCGGGTTTCACCATATTGGCCAGGATGGTCTTGATCTCTTGACCTCGTCATCCGCCCGCTTCGGCCTCCCAAAGTGCTGGGATTACAGGTGTGGCGCTCATGTATTTTGTAATATATTTTCTTTTCTTCTTTCTTTTTTTTTTTTTGTGTGTGTCTGTGTGTGTGTGTGTAGAGGCATGGTCTAAATATGTTGCCTGGGCTAGTCTCAAACTCCTGGGCTTAAGTAATCCACCCACTTTAGCCTCCTAAAGTGTTGGGATTACAGGCATGAGCCATTGTGCCCAGCCTGTTATAGACTTTAAAATAAATTTGTTTATGTATTTGCTTATACCCTGCACACCCTAAGTGCAGTGTAGCCTCAACATGTCCAAGCAGAGCCCTTGACCTTCTCCACAAAACTCCTCCTCTTTTGGTGCCTGTCTCCCTGTGACTGACTTTGCCAGCCACCCAGTTGCTCAAGCCAAAAATCTGACATTCTCCCTCCAACTACCTTCTCTGCTCGCCCCACCCATTTCATGTCTTATCCATCTCCAGGTCCTGCTGGTTCTGCCTGTTAAGAACCTTCCACATCTCTGACCTCTCTGCATCTTCACAACTACACTTTTGTTCAGGTCCTCTTGCCTCTTGCCTGGATGACTACAGTGGTGTCCTAACTATCTTTCCTCATCCTCACCCAATTACTGCCAATCTATTCTCCATTTTGTAGCTAGCGTGTTCTTTCAAAAATGCAAATACCTTCACATCACTGCCTAAATTAAAGAGCACCCCCTCTCATTGCTGAAGTGTAAAGTCCCATGATCTGATATGTTCCCTTATCAACTAACAAGGGCCCTACAGTTAAGAAAACCAAAGTTACTTCTGGCTGGGAGTGGTGGCTCATGCCTGTAATCCCAGCACTTTGGGAGGCTGAGGCGGGTGGATCATGAGGTCAGGAGTTCAAGATCAGCCTGACCAACATGGTGAAACCCTGTCTCTACTAAAAGTACAAAAAATTAGCTACGCATGGTGGCGGGCGTCTGTAATCCCAGCTACTCAGGAGGCTGAGGCAGAGAATTGCTTAAACCTGGGAGGCGGAGGTTGCAGTGAGCCGAGATCGCACCACTGCACTCCAGCCTGGGCGACAGAGGGAGACTCCATCTCAAAAAAAAAAAAAAAGAAAAGAAAAAAAGAAAACTAAAGTTACCTACAGGTAGAGGGTTCAGAGTCTGGCTGGCATGGCAAATTTCTAAATTCCTATGGCTATAAGAAAAGCCATAGTCTTACTATAAACTCTCTAACAATAGGGAGTTAGGAGCTATCAGACCCCTCTTAACTATGATTTACAACCCAGATCACTACAACTCCGAGTAGACGAAGGACAGGCCTTCCAAACATTCTGTTTTTATTTTATTTTATTTTATTTTATTTTTTTGAGACGGAGTCTCACTCTGTCGCCAGGCTGGAGTGCAGTGGTGCGATCTTGGCTCACTGCAACCTCTGCCTCCCGGGTTCAAGTGATTCTCCTGCCTCAGCCTCCTGAATAGCTGGGACTACAGGTGTGCCACCATGCCCGGCCAATTTTTTTTGTATTTTCAGTAGAGATGGGGTTTCACCATGTTGGTCAGGCTGTTCTTGAACTCCTGACCTCAGGTGATCCACCAGCCTTGGGCTCCCAAAGTGCTGGGACTACAGGCGTTAGCCACCATGCCTGGCTGAATGTGATCGCCTTCAATGATGGCAGCACCCCTACATTTTACACAGGACCACCAGTAGGGTGGATAGGTGAGCGGCCTGTAGGTGGAATGAGAAGGGCAGTCCCTTTCTTTTCCTTCTTTTTTTAGTAGAGAAGTGGTCTCACTATGTTGCCCAGGCTGATGCTGAATTCCTGGTCTCAAGCAATCCTCCCACCTTGGCCTTCCAAAGTGCTGGGATTATAAGGGTAAGCCACTGCACCAGGCCAAGCAGTCACTTTGACATAAAGAAAGTCCATCCCTTGACCAGCACAGCTAACCTGGGAGAGCAGAAGGTCAGCACATCAATTGAAGAGAAGAGAGGACATTAATGGGAAGAGCCTGTTGGGTTGTGGAACAACCTTCCTGAAAGCTTTGAGAGGAGATAGGCAGAGCTATTCCCAGAGGACAATCTGGCATGTAGCACAGAGGCTGTGGAGTGGATGGGATGACTTTCCTGGGTGCCAGTGAAGCATGTGGCGCGACACCATCAGTGAGGGACACACAGGACGAAGGACTCCTTTGACTACCTGCCACTCTAAGGTAACAGAGATACCACCACAGTTGGAACACAAAGAATGGGGGCGGGGGAGCCATCACTAGGACCCACACATACAGCTCAAGCTTAAGGGTCAAAGTGGACCAGCCGGTAGCCCAATCATGTGCGATCCATAAAAGAAATACCTCTCTGCTAGCAGAATTGATCCTACAAGGCTACAGAACCCCATGAGCGCCCAATGGGAGCGAGTTCTCTGCTGGCACAGGCTGGCCCTTGGCTCTGTAGAGTGACTTAGGAAATTTCAAGGAAGATACTCCAAAGTGCAGAGTCCCTTCAAACACAGGGTCCGAGGCAGGGCCCAGGCCACTCAGGCTACTCCACGGTACTCTGTGGAGGCATAGCAACAATGTCTAGGCTGGGTGCAGTGGCTCATGCCTGTAATCCCAGCACTTTGGGAGGCCATGGAAGGCAGATGGCTTGAGTCCAGGAGTTTGAGAAATAACAGTGGCTTAAACAAGAGACAAGTGAATTTTTCCTGTAAGCAAATTCTGAGATAACCAGTCCAGGACTGGTGCAGAACTTCCAAGATTACCAGGAAGGCAAGACATTTCTAATTTGTGGTTCTTTTTTCTTTTTTTTTTTTTTTTTTTGAGATGGAGTCTCACTCTGTCGCCTAGGCTGGAGTGCAGTGGCACAATCTTGGCTCACTGCAAACTTCCCCTCCCGGGTTCAAGCGATTCTCCTGCCTCAGCCTCCCAACTCCCAAGTAGCTGGGATTACAGGCACATGCCACCACGCCCAGCTAATTTTTGTATTTTTAGTAGAGACGGGGTTTCACCGTGTTGGCCAGGCTGGTCTCAAACTCCTGACCTCAGGCGATCTGCCCTCCTTGGCCTCCCAAAGTGCTGAGATTAGAGGTGTGAGCCACCACGCCCGGTGAAGCTTGTGGTTCTTCTATTCTCAACAAATGGCATGGTTTGACGGGGAAGGGCATACTCCTTCCTTTAGGGCTCTCCCTGAAATGTGGATATATTACTTCCATTTGTGCTCTATTGGCCAGAGCACTGTCCATTGCCATACCTAGTCTCAAGAGAGGCTGGGAGTTGAGATCTTTTTTGGTGGCCATGTGTCTTGCAAAAAAAAAAATCTAGGGTTTATTAACACGAAAAGATTGGAGAAACAATACTGGGGGGAAACTAACAGCCTCTATCAAAGGCTCAGTGTCAGTATCAGTATTATGCTCAGCTGTGAGAGGCTGGACCAAGGTTGAGAGCCTGAGCCACAGCACCCTGTGTGGGCAGGACACCCCTGGGCAGGCCTGTAGCACTCGAGGTGGCCGGGCAGAAAACCTTGCCCTGTGGGGATCTCTATAGCAGATGGTGGCAAACTGCATGATGCAGAAGAAAAGGAGTGTTTACTCTTTTTCCCCATGTTGCCCAGGCTGGTCTTGAATTCCTGGGCTCACTCCAGCACAGACTTTGCCCCTGTAAACCTTCACCCTTCCCCATCCTGGAAGTAGGGAATCCCGACCAACTGACAGATTTGTAGGAGACTCCTGCTCCTATCCCCAGGGTAAAGCCTTCATGGTCTGCCCCCTCCTACCCATCCCGCCAGCCTCAGCTCCCCAGACTGTTCCGTGCTGCAGCCCTTCTCAGTTCTGCACACTTGATGAGCCCGGCTCTGGCCTGTCGTGCCCTGCTGCTGCTGCTCAGGGATACGTACAATTGTACAGACTGTGCTAAGAACTTCACATGCATGATCTCTTTTAGTTTTTGTCGCTGCCTCTCTGCTCATCTGTACTCCTCACTGGGCAGGAACTTTGAGAAATGGAGGCCCACATCTGTTGTGTTCACTGCTGTAATCCCAGCAAGCAGCATGGTGCGGCACCTTCACAGGGCCTCTGGCTCCAGATCGTTGGCACACAGTAAGTGTTTCTTTTTTTAAAATTATTATTATTATTTTTATCGAGAAGGAGTCTCGCTGTGTTAGCCCAGGCTGGAGTTCAGTGGTGCGATCTTGGCTCACTGCAACCTCCGCCTCCTGGGTTCAAGCAATTCTCCTGCCTCAGCCTCCTGAATAGCTGGGATTAGAGGCCCGCCACCACGCCCAACTAATTTTTATATTTTTAGTAGAAACGCGGTTTCACCATGTTGGTCAGGCTGGTCTCGAACTCCTGACCTCATGATCCGCCTGCCTCACCCTCCCAAAGTGCTGGGATTACAGGCGTGAGCCACTGCACCCAGCCATAAGTGTTTCTTATGTTGAATTTGCAGCTTGTATAAAAATGAACCAAGACATTATGAAATACAGTCACTTTTTTTTTTTCCTTTTGTGACTAATTTTTCTTAAGGAGCAGTGATCAGGGAAAGGAAGATGTTTCCCTAGAACTCCTCTAGAGGGCATATCTTCCCTGGATCTTTGACATTGATTTTCGGAGCGGTAATGGATCTTACACAAGGAGTGGCCATCCCCTAGGAGGCCTGTCCACGCAGATGGAGGGTGTGGTGGTGCTGAGTGATGTCTCCCTGGCAGCTTGGACTGGAGACCCTAGAGGGAGGTCTTCATGTCCAAAGGCAGGGATCTGGAAGAAGGGGAATGTGTGTGCACAGACTGCCCCCTGCCCTTTTTTTTTTTTCTTTGAAGACAGGATCTCACTCTGTCACCCAGGCTGAAGTACAGTGGTGTGATCATTACTCACTGCAGCCTCGACCTCCCAGGCTCAGGTGATCCTCCCACTTCAGCCTCCCGAGTAGCTGGGACTACACCTATGTGCCACCATGCCTGGCTAATTTTTTGTAGAGACAGGGTTTCCCCATGTTTCCCAGGCTAGTCTTGAACTCCTGGGCTCAAGCAATCCACCCACTTTGGCCTCCCAAAGTCCTGGGACTACGGGCATGAGCTACTGTGCCTGGTCTAGACTCCCCCTTTTTTTTTTTTTTAATGAGATGGAGTTTCACTCTTGTTGCCCAGGCTGGAGTCCAATGGCGCAATCTTGGCTCACCACAACCTCTGCCTCCCGGGTTCTAGAAATTCTCCTGCCTGAACCTCCTGAGTAGCTGGGATTACAGGCATGCACCACCACGTCTGGGTAGTTTTGTATTTTTAGTAGAGATAGGGTTTCTCCATGCTGGTCAGGCTGGTCTCAACTCCCCACCTCAGGTGATCTGCCAGCCTCAGTCTCCCAAAGTGCTGGGATTACAGATTACAGGCATGAGCCACCGTGCCCGGCTTTTTTTTTTAGGCGGAGTTTTGCTCTTGTCGCCCAGGCTGGAGTGGAATGGTGCGATCTTGGCTCACTGCAACCTCCGCCTCCTGGGTTCAAGCAATTCTCCTGCCTCAGCCTCCCAAGTAGCTGGGATTACAGGCACCCACCACCACGCCCAGCCAATTTTTGTATTTTTAGTAGAGATGGTGTTTCACCATATTGGCCAGGCTGGTCTTGAACTCCTGACTTCAGGTGATCCACCTGACTCAGCCTCTCAAAGTGCTGGGATTACAGGCGTGAGCCACCACACCGGGCCTAGACTCCCATTTTTATTTAACGTCTTCCATTTCTTATCAGAGAAATGATAATAAAATATAGAAAAGCACAATTCTTTATTTTAACCCCACCTCTCGCTCACTTAAATGACCAGTTATTTCCAAGTCTGGATCTGAAAATTTCTATTATGAGAGACTCTCCAGGACCTTCATTCAGTTCCACGTGTAGTTGTGACATTGTGTGATATTGGCACACGGTTGGAAATAACACTTGTGTAGCAGTTTGAGATGAAATATAGGCAATGCCTGGCTTCTGAAAGTGCCTTCAGGCCTGATGTTACACAAGCATTCTCAGCCCAACTTGCCTCCCCTCCTATTTCTATCTCTACCTTTAGCTGGGTATTTGGATAGTTCAGGGGAAAAAGGGGTAAAGATGAGATGACAAAAGACACCCCAGCCGCTGGGCCCAGCACTTTGGGAGGCTGAGGTGGGTGGATTACTGAGGTCAGGAGTTCGAGACCAGCCTGGCCAACATGGCAAAACCCTGTCTCTACAAAAAATACAAAATTTAGCTGGGCATGGGGTGCAGGCTTGCAGTCCCAGCTATTTGCGGGGGGAGGGGAGCTGAAGCAGGAGAATAGCTTGAACTTGCAAGGTGGAGTCTGCAGTGAGCCGAGATTGTGCCACTGCACTCCAGCCTGGGTGACAAAGTAAGACCCTGGCTAAAAACAAACACACACAAAAATATATCATTATGCATTTCTGAAAGCAAATGTGCTATAATACTGCTTTGATCTGAATGTCCCCCAAAATTCATATGTTGACATTTAATCTCAACTTTGGTGGTATTAAGAGGTGAGGTTGTTTGGGAAGTAATTAAGTCATGAGGACTCCACTCCCATGAATGAATTGAGGGAAAGGGCTGGAGGGAAGGGCTGGAGGGAACTAGCTTCGGCCCTTTTTTGTCCTTCTACCATGTGAGGACACAGCATTCATCTCCTCCGGAGGATGCAACAACAAGGCTCTATGTGAAGAAGGAACCAGGTCCCTCACCAGACACTGTACCTGCCGGCACCTTGATCTTTCACTTCCCAGCCCTCCAGATCTGTGAGAAACACATTTCTGTTGTTTATAAATTACTCTGTCTCAGGTATTTTGTTATAGTAGCACAAACAGACTTAGACAAATAACGTTTTATGTTTACAACCCATAGGAGGAAAATTCTGGATTTGGAATCTATCTTGGCAAGATAATACATAGATATGATTATAAGAAAATCAGTGAGGTCATAAACAGTGGCTTACCAACATAGGTTGGTATACAAATATAACTTCACATAACAAATATAGTTGACTTGAAGTAAACAAACACAATCTACTATAGCATTCTGACAAATGTAGTTTCCTATAACAAATAATCAAAGCCTTAAGTTTCAGGTTACAGTTTTCAGAGTTAGTAGTAGCCAATTACTGCCAGGCATAGTGGCTCAAACCTGTAATCCCAGCACTTTGGGAGGCCAAGGTGGGAGGACTGCATGAGCCCAGGAGTTTGAGACCAGCCTGAGCAACATGGTGAGACCCTGTCTCTATTTTATTTCATTAAAAATTTTAAAATATTGGCCAGGAGCAGTGGCTCATGCCTGTAATCTCAGCACTTTGGGAAGCTGAGGCAGGCGGATCACTTGAGATCAGGAGTTCCAGACCAGCCTAGCCAACATGGTGAAACCCCCTCTCTACTAAAAATACAAAAATTAGCCTGGCATGGTGGTGCACACCTGTAATCCCAGCCACTTGGGAGACTGAGTCAGAGTCGTTTGAACCTGGGAGGCAGAGGATGCAGTGAGTCCAGATCGCACCACTGCACTCCAGCCTGAGTGATAGAGTAAGACTCTGTCTTAAAATAAATAAAAAAAAATTATTTAAAAAAAGAAGTAGCCTATCTCAGAGGCTACGCGACTTTATTACAGTTTTAAAAATGGAATGGTAGGCCAGGTGCGGTGGCTCACACCTATAATCCCAGCACTTTGGGAGGCTAAGGCGGGCAGATCACGAGGTCAGGAGTTCGAGACCAGCCTGGC
Organism: Homo sapiens; assembly: GCF_000001405.40. Taxonomy (NCBI): domain Eukaryota; kingdom Metazoa; phylum Chordata; class Mammalia; order Primates; family Hominidae; genus Homo; species Homo sapiens. The sequence continues at coordinate 33,387,868 of NC_000006.12, forward strand.
CAATATGGTGAAACCCCGTTTCTACTAAAAATGCCAAAATTAGCTGGGCATGGTGGCGGATGTCTGTAATCCCAGCTACTCAGGAGGCTGAGGCAGGAGAATCGCTTGAACCCGTGAGGCAGAGGTTGCAGTGAGCCGAGAACACGCCACTGCACTCCAGCCTGGGGGACAGTGCAAGACTCCGTCTCCTTGGCCAGGCACAGTGGCTCATGCCTGTCATCCCAGCACTTTGGGAGGCTGAGGCGGGTGGATCAGGAGGTCAGGAGATCGAGACCATCCTGGCTAACATGGTGAAGCCCCATCTCTATTAAAAATATAAAAAATTAGCTGGGCGTAGTGGCGGGCGCCTGTAGTCCCAGCTACTTGGGAGGCTGAGGCAGGAGAATGGCATGAACCCCGGAGGCAGAGCTTGCAGCAAGCCGAGATTGCGCCAGAGCCAGACTCTGTCTCAAAAAAAAAAAAAAAAAAAAAAAGACTCCATCTCCAAAAAATAAAAAATTTTAAAAATGGAATGGTAGTTACCTTTGCTAGAGACTGAGCATGCATAAAAGTAATCTTAAATAACTTTTTCGCCTTTGGCCAAATGTTGGTTCATTGTGATTTGGAGTCTACCATTACTATAACTGTATCTGTACCTATACCAATATCTGTACCTGTACCTATACCTACATATGTACTTATACCTATACCATCTGTCCTCCCCTGAAAGACCTCATCAAAGTTCTCATCTTGCAATGTTTCCTGTTAAATATCATCATGACTACTTTTAACCTATTTGAATCAAGGCTGAGTTACAGCCTTTTAAATTTTTGAATAATTTTTTTTTTTTTTTGAGATGGAGTATTGCCCTCGTTGCCCAGGCTGGAGTGTGGTGGCACAATCTCGGCTCACCAAAACATCCACCTCACGGGTTCAAGCAATTCTCCTGCCTCAGCCTCCTGAGTAGCTGGAATTACAGGCACATGCCACAATGCCCGGCTAATTTTTTTTGTATTTTTAGTAGAGATGGGATCTCACCATGTTGGCCAGGCTGGTCTGGAACTCCTGACCTCAAGTGGTCCTTCTGCCTTGGCCTTCCAAAGTGCTGGGATTATAGGCATGATCCACCATGCCTGGCAATTTTTTTTTAAGAGCACAAATCCACGTTTATTTATTGACTTTTCTTTTTTCTTTCTTCTCTTTTTTTCTCTTTTTCTTTTTTTCTTTTTTTTGAGACGGAGTCTCGCTCTGTTGCCCAGGCTAGAGTGCAGTGGCACGATCTCGACTCACTGCAACCTCCACCTTCCAGGTTCAAGCAGTTCTCTGCCTCAGCCTCCCAAGTAGCTGGGATTACAGGTGCCCGCCACCACACCCGGCTTTTTTGTATTTTTAGTAGAGACGGGGTTTCACCATCTTGGCCAGGCTGGTCTTGAACTCCTGACCTCGTGATTCACCCGCCTCAGCCTCCCAAAGTGCTGGGATGACAGGCGTGAGCCACCGCACCCGGCCTATTGACTTTTCATTAGTTTAAATCCTTGAAGGGTACAGCATCACTCGGATTCTGTGTCCAATAGCCTTAGTGGGAAGATTGCTTCAGAATTTGGCACGAATCATGTCACTGTTTCCGTGGGCCTGCCTCAGCCTCCCGAGTAGCTGGGATTACAGGCGGCCGCCACCACGCCTGGCTAACTTTTTTGGTTTTTTTTTTTTTTTTTTTTTTTTGAGATGGAGTCTCGCTCTGTCTTCCAGGCTGTAGTGCAGTGGCGCGATCTCCGCTCACTGCAAGCTCCGCCTGCCGGGTTCACGCCATTCTCCTGCCTCAGCCTCCTGAGTAGCTGGGACTACAGGCGCCCGCCACCACGCCCGGCTAATTTTTTTTGTATTTTTAGTACAGAGAGTTTTTCACCATGTTAGCCAGGATGGTCTCGATCTCCTGACCTCGTGATCCGCCCGCCTCGGCCTCCCAAAGTGCTAGGATTACAGGTATGAGCCAACGCGCCCGGCCACCAAATAGTGTAATTTTTACAGTTACACTTTGTAACTAGTGTTGCTGAAGACGGAAATGCAATTGATTTTGAAAATTGATTTTTTCCTCTTACTGATTTTTTATCCATCAACCTTGCTAAACTTATTTATCAATTCTATCTGAATTTTATTTTAGGGATGCTGCACATGCAATAATTTCATCTGCGAATATTAACATTAATGTTTCTTGTAGTCCTTATATATTTGTTGCTTATTGGACTGGCTACAACTTCCATTGTTTTATTGATGAGGATTATTGAGAGCAGGCATCCTTGCCTTGTTCCCCATCTTGAAAGGAACGCTTTCAACATTTCCCCATTATGGTGATGTGTTTTGCGAAATTTTTGAAGATGTCCTTTATCAGCTTCTGGAGTTTTAAAAAAAATATCAACGGGTGTTGAATATTTTGAGTGACTTTGCTGCATCAATTGAGATGAATACATTTTCCCCCTTTAATCTGCTAATGGGTCTATATTTCTCCATTCCATTTAAATTTTTTTTTAATTTGATAAATATCTTTTGCTATATGTTTCTTCTCAGGTCTCCCTTCTCAGTTATCCCCCTTTACCTTCCATTGTTGGTTTTCTCTAGTTTCTTCCTTTTCTTTTTACTGTGTTCTCTTCAAGCTCTTGCTTTTTGGAGTTTTCCCAGGATATCAAAGGTTGGGGGGATGGCAACATGGTTTTCAGACAGTGTGTCTCCCCACAATCTGCTTCTCTCTACAAGCTTGTTTGAAGCCAAGTTAAAGCAATGGATAGAAGACGGCAGCGCGGGTGTCAGACCTGCCAATTTCCAACTGCACACCAAATCCCCGAACATATGCTTGAGGCCCCTGCCTTTCGGTTTCATAAATAAAACCCTGTCCTGACTACCTCCAGGATTGGATGGAAACTCGGATGAGTAAATATGGTAGAACGACTTTGCAAACTAGCACCCTATTCACACGTAAGGGGTTGCTCTTGTCACCGAGACTGTTAGAGGCAACGTGAGTTAACAGAAATAGCTTGGATTTTGAAGCTAATGGAATCTAGATCCATTCCTAACCAGCAGTGTGACCTTATTGTGTAATCTTTCTGAACCTGTCTCCATCCATCTCTACAAAGAATGTGGCACAATGTAGGAACTCAGTGAATTTTCGTGATTAAAAGACGAGATAATACAGGTGCACAATCTGCAAAACATAAAATACTCCATAAATGGAAGCAGTAAATCTTCCCCGAGCTCGAGACTCCAAAGGCCCTGAGCCCAGTACCAGTAACAGCACCCAGGTAAGTAGGCTGGCTGAGAGAAGAGGGCTATAAAGAAAAGTTCTTTCCTGAGCTTTGAATCCCCACTGTCAGGCTTCAATGGAGCGCAAAAATTCCTAAATTTGGTGAGAAATGGCAACATTACCAGGGAATGAACAGACCAGGCCACTCACATCCACGTGAGGGCTCCAGGAGCCACTTCCGGGCCCAGTCAACCACGACCAGGAGAGGCAGCGCTGGAGCCTCAATCACGTCGACGGAAAACAAGTGCGCTCCCTACTGCAGTCACCAGGAGGCGCTAGTCCCGCCTGTCTCCCGGCACGGGTCCTCGTTTGCGCACGCGTCATTTCTTTCCTCCAGCGTCCCCGCCCCTTCTCCTCCGGCCGCCACCAGTTTCGCTTGGCCAGTTGCGTTCGTGCGGCGACGTCCACGCATTTTCTGACGTAGCGAGCGACGGCGGGGAGCCGAGCGGAAGTCCAGCACTATTGCCGCTAGAGGAGGGGAGGGGTGAGAAGCATAAGTGGCACCGGAAGTGGAATTAATCCGCCTACCTCTCCTGCGCCTGCGAAACAGAAAAGACAAGGCGCCTGTCGGGCGGGGTGTGGCTTCGGGTGGCGGAGAACGCTGCGATTGGCCCTCGGCTGTGGCGACAGCGACGATTGGTCCCTGCGTGCAGAGCGCGGTGAGAGTGGGTGGTGGCCGTTGGAATTCAAAAGTGGCGGGTGTGGCGCGGGGCTGGTAGCGGCCGGAGCCGTGCGAGTTCTCTACCCTGCTTCGCGAGCGGGCGAGAGAACGCGAGTCCCAGGATCCCCGGCACCCAGTTCTCTTCCACTGCATTCCCCCGGCGCGTGTGGGACCGAGGTGGACATGGATCCGCAGGTGAGTAGGGGCGGCGCAGGTGTCCTGCCCTGGGGATGGGGACGAAGGCTGACCGCTCCGATGCTGTCGCGCCCCCGGCTCCCGGTCGGCCTTTGTCATGTCTACCGGGAGAGCGAAGGTCCGTGCGCCCCCGCACAAGTGGAAAGGGGCGGAGGCAGGAGTGGAGACGGCTTAGAGCACCCGGGGAGGTCGGAAGGCACGTCTGTCTGCCCTCCCCTAGCTTCAAGTTTCTGGAGCCCCTCCCTTAACTTTCATGTCTCCGAGATTTCTCATTTCGAATTCTCAGGCTCGTCTGACACATTTCCACTTCTTTATTCCTACTCAGGGTGTGATTGCAGTGTGTAAGAAGGGAGAGTTCTGATATGACTTCTTCCTTTTGGGGACATGGTGTCTGAGGCCACATCCTTGCTGAGGTCCTTTTGTGTTAATCGCCTCTCCTTATCACTGCTGCTTCGGAGTGTAGGAAAGGGAGAAGGAGAGTAGGGTAATCTGGGCCAAAAGACTTCTCATTCTCTCTCTCCTTTCCCAAATTGTGCAGATTCCTGCCCAATGAAACTGATTGATTTAGTTCTTTCTCTTAAATGGTGCCCTGCTGCACCCCACAACCATATGCAGCTTCCTGTCTCCAGTGAAGAGAGATGAATGTGTGTGACAGCTGGAGTGTACTTATCTCTGGTGCCAGGAAAGGTCTGCCTGAATCCTTTGTTTACTAGTATTTCACGTTCAGGTTTCCCTGAAGTTAGGATTCAGCCTTAAGAGAGATTCTTTCTCTCGTGACAACCAGAGAGCAGAGTAGTATTATGTGACAGTAAGAAGTAGTAAAAGCCTTCTCAGATCTATTAATCAAGTATTTATTGAGCACCTACTACATGCTAGGCGTGGTTGTAGGTACTTAGGATGCAGCAGTGAACAAGGGACAAATCGTTGCCATCGTGGAGCTGCCATTCTATGGGGATACAGACAATAAATGTAATAAATGAATTATATAACTGCCAGAAGGCCGTAAGTGCTGTGGAGAAAAGGAGAAATTCAAGGTTGAGGACATAGGGGAGGCCAACTGGCGGGTTAGAGTATTAAATAGGGTGGTCTCAGTAACCCCCATGGAAAAGATGAGTTGAATAAAGACTTGAAGGAAGTGAGGGAGACAGACAAGCAGATAGTGAGGGAAGAACATTTCAGGCAGAGGGAATCTGCTAGAGCAGAGTCCCTAAAGAGTTGTAAGGAGGGAAGTGTGGCTGGAATGAAGTGAGCAAGGGGAAAAGTTGTGGGAAAGGAAGTCAGGTAATGGGTAGTGGGGTTGCTGATCACAGTTTGTCCTTGTGGGGGTCGTTGTGAG